>NC_000001.11:190059587-190684587 GCF_000001405.40 Homo sapiens | reverse complement strand
TCAAAATATTGAATATAATTTGCCTTCAGTATCAGCTTCCCATATGCTCTCTACTACTGTACTTGGTTAGACATTTTGAAGGTGCTATTATCAGTTTGGACATAAGTTTGACTTCATTTTTTTTAAAAGAAGAGACCTCTGCTTTCACCTGTGATATACACAGAACTTGAATATCCTCACATAACTTGAATATCATTGGAAATTAATGAGTTTTCCTGAATCCATTACAGAACTGATGTTGCAGTGCAAACCTCACTACAAACTCTGGAGAGACAAGTGAATCCTGAAATTCACAGTCAAAATCTGTAGAAAAAGAAAGACCTAAAATCAACTACCTAAGCCTCCACCTGAGAAAACTACAGAAAGAGTAGCAAATATATCCCAAACCATGTAGAAGAAAGAACATGTTTTTAAAAAGGAGGAAGTGATGATATTGTAACAGCAAAACAATAGAGAAAATCAACAAAACAAAAGCTAATACTTTGATAAGTTAAATTAAATTGATAAACTAAAATAATAATAAGAACGAATACACACACACACACACACACACACACACACACACACACACACACACACAATTACCCATATCAGAAAAAGAGGCGGGGACTTCTGATCCATAGAAATTACAAGGGTTGTATGGTAATACTATAAATAATTCTATGCCTGAACGTTTGATAACATAGATAAAAATCACTGGTTCAATGATAAAAAGTACCAAACCTTACTCAAGAAAAAAAGAGATAATCTGAATAGCTTTATATATATTAAAGAAATTAAGAACAAACAATCTTCCCCCCAAAAAACATAATGCTTAAATATTGGTGAATTTTCTAAAACATTGAAGAAAAACTAATAGCAATTTTTATAATATCTTTCAGAAAATACAGAGGGAACAATTCCTAAACCTTTTTATAAGCTGACATTACCCAAATACCAAAACCAGATAAGTACATTACAAGAAAAGAAACTAAAAATCAATATTTCTCATGAATATAAAGTTCCTTAATCCAGTATTAATAAACAGAATCTTGCAGTACATCAAAAGGATTAAATAGTATGCCAAGTGGAGTCATTTCAGAAATGCAATACTACATATTCAAAAATTGATAAATATAAGATTAATCACATTAAACTAAAATAAATGATATGCCATATCAATAGATGGAGAAAAAGTACTGGGCAAAATTTAAGATGCATTAATGATAAAAACTCCCAATAAACTAGGAATATATTGGGAACTCCTTTAACCCAATAAAGGAAAATATAAAATGCTACAGTTAATATCATACCTAATGATGAGTTAAATACTTTCACTCTAAGTTTGCAAAAAAGGCAAGGATGTTCTTTCTGACACTCCTCCTTATTTAAAATTGCAATAAATGTTTTAGCTAGTGAAATAGAAAAGCTAAAAGAAGTGAAAAATATACAGGCTGACAAGGAAGAAATACAACAGTCTTCATGTGTATGTAACATGATTGTCAAAATGAATGAGACTTAAGTGTAAAATGAAAAACTATAAAACTCCTAGAAGAAAATATAGGGGAAACTCCATGTAACCTTGTGTTTGGTTATCTTTATTTTTAATCTAAATCAAACACATAAGCTATGAAAGAAAATACTTTTGAGATGGGCGCTATTAAAAAAGTCACTGCAGTCTTATTGCAGAAACATAATAAAGAAAAACTAAGAAAACAAACCACTTTTTGTAGCAAAATTTTCCAAAATAATGTCAACATTTATTTCATATATCTTATTTTAATATATTCATAATTAATCTGCTTACTTATGTATATGTTTGTATTTACTCATTTATGTTTGTTTTTCTTCTAATTTCCTCATGTAACTCAGGTAACTCATGTACATATTGACTGACTTCTGATATTAAAATGTATAGACCAGTCATATTAAATTTATTGCTTGGTAATTGTGGTAATAATGAATGCTATTCTTTAACAATTTTCATTCTCCTATCTGTAAATGATAAAAATGAACTCTATACTTGGAATTAATTTTTGGATATATGTCTTGATTTGAACAATGAAATGTAAAAAAAAACTATAACTTCTCAGTGAAAACTTCAAACACATTGCACAATTAAGTTCTTTCTCTATTGATAACCCAATGTCCTTATAATGTGTACTGAAATCTACATAATCTTGGCCTTCTTATCTCTCTAGTAATGTCTGCCAACTGTTCTCCCCCTTGGTCTCTCTGCTCAGCCATATGATTATCTCACTCTGTGTGTATTTGATGTTCTGTTGTATCAAGGTATCTGTGATTGTTGTCTTCGCCTCTATTGCTTCTTTCAGGTTTCTTCTTAAGTATCACATTATCAGCTTTATTTTCAGTACCATTCTATGTGTATTAATTAGTGATGATTTTCATATATTTTATTTATTTTTCTCTCTGTGTTATATTCTGGGAGAATTTATCAGTATTGCCTTCCTAGTCAATACTCCTTTCTTTAACAACGTCTAGACTTTAAAATTATTTGGTCTCTTGAGTGCTTTTATTTTTTCTTTTTAAATGTCAATTTCTGCCATTTTTATTTTCAAAATTTCTTAGATTATTTTTGTACTGACTTATTCTTCTTACAGCTCTGCCTGTTGCAATTTTTTGTTAATATAATGTCTATTTTAGTGAATATTTATTATATCCCATGCCCCTATCTGAACATCCTAAATATACTTTATTTTAAATCTTTATCTGAGTGCTATTTAAAATTAATATGATTTAATGTACTAATAATTAATTTTGTCGATTGTCTTAGAAATAAATTTGTTTTGGAGTTTAGATATATTTGCTTGGTTATAATTTCATTTTAAATTATGCATTGTTTATTATGTGTAACTATGTAATTTTCTGCCTCGTAGTACCTGGATCTAAGTCGAAGTTCACAAGGAATTTTAGAGCTCCTTCTCAGCTTGTTCCCAAGGACATTACAGAGTCAATCACTGACTCCACAAGTGGTGTGGTAGGCAGAATAATGGCTCCCAAATGATACCCACATCCTAATCTCTGCAACCTCTCATTTTACATGACAAATGATGATTTTGCCGATGAAATTAACATTGGTAGTAAATTGACCTAAGCAGAAGGAGATCATCCTGGGTTATCTGATGAGCTTAATATCACAAGGCTATTATGAGTAGAAGAGAGTGGCAGAAGAGAGAACCAGAGAGATGACAGTGTGAGGACTCAGCCAATTTTGCTGGCTTTGAAAATGAAGAAATGGTGGCATGAACAACAGAATTTGGCATCTTTGAAAGCCAAAAAGGGGGGGAAAAATAAGTTCCTTTCCTAGAACTTCCAGAAAGGAATACATCTTTGTTTTAGGTCAATGAGACCCATTTTCAGATTTATGATCTCCAGAAATATAAGATAATAGGCTTGTATTGTTTTAACCATGAAGTTTACGTTAATTTGTTACAATAGCAAGATAAAACTATTATATTAGATGTAGCATGGTTTAGATTCTGTCTGAAACGCTGTTCCCTTCTCAGTACCTGTCCTATCTCCCTAGGTGCAGCGCTTCCATTTTCAATTGTAGGCATCGGCCGATTGCAATTTCCTAGCACCCATTATTTCTCTAAATTCATATAACACTTTCAATTAGTTATGTATCATTTTTCATATATTATGAATGAAGACACTAAAGCTCAAAATTTCTTGCCAAAATTTCAACATTCAGCAAAGCCTAGATGCAGAATTTTAACTCAGGTCTTCTAATTCCAAGTCCAAGTACCTATTGCATCCATTTCCCTACTTTGCAAAATAAAGTTTCACCTTGTGCAAAACAGTTAAAAAAGAAAGAAATTAAAAAGCTGACATTTTTACTCTCTTGTACTTTCTTCATGTTTGTTATCAAATAGCCATACACTTGTGTGTAGCACTAATGTGAAAAACTATAATGTTGTTATTGTGTGATGATATGAATTTGATTAAAATTATTATACATTTATTTTCTTTTTCATTTTTTACAGATACTCAAATATCATCTTGTAGAACTACAACTGTATTCAAGAGGTACCTTCAACATCTCTGTTCCTATTTCAGTGAGCCTCAGGATTCACTATGGACTTCTCACCTCCTCCATTTCAATGAATTTCTGTGATTCGTAGGATGCCCACAGCAACAGATAAGAAAGCAGATGCAGAAACCAAAATACTTTTGCTCTGGGATAAGAAGTCACAATTATTTCTCATCAGTGCTGCTTCACTAGCTCCGATTTTTTCCAGAGCTCTGGAGCCTGCTTGTTTACCTGGACTTAGAGGAGTTAAAAGTACTCGATAAATTATAAATGCCTGCAGGGAAAGACAAGATGTTAATCAATTTGTATTCTCTGAATCTAGCTCAGTGCTTGAATAAGGTGTCCAGTAAAAGCTGTAAAAAGAATGCATGTTGAAATCTTGCTCCTGCGTGCCTTCGATGAACTATCTTGTGAACTTCCTGACTAAAGAGCAATATTATGTATAAGTACCTGGTTACTTAGCAGGACACTGATTACTAACACTGTGTTTCTGACTATGGCAATATGACCTGAATTTAACTTGTATAATTGAAAATTAATAGCATGGCTTGAAACAATGCTTAAGCATAAACACAAAATTAACATTTGTCAAACTAAACGGGAAAAGAAAAAAAATATATTTTTTTAATTTGTTCTGGTGAACAGAATTCCTAACTTTTCTTTTTCTGCTTTTTCAATATTGCAAGTGAACAGAGATTTCCTAGAGAGCAGTGGGAAATATATAAAATTATAAAGTTTCATGCTGAATTTAAATTTTGACCAGCTCCTATAATATTTATTATTGTTGTGTGAATTGCCTTGTAGCTATGAAAACTGGTTTCTCATTTGAAGGCAGCTCGTAGTCAGGAACTGATTTTATAATTGAAGGCATTAGGAAATTCAACGTCATTAGTGTAATTATGGAAAGGTGATTCATAGCTTTGGGATATTTTTCTTTGTTCAAAGAAGACAGTGTCTCTAGGAGACAAACAAAGTAGATAGCTCAGTTTAATGAATAAATATTTGTGAAATACTGAAAACTGAAAACTTTTGGTTATAAGTGTAAGAATTGTTCATTGTGTAAAAAGATGTACTTTTACATATAATTATTGATATTTTTCTCTAAAACGTAAAATGTGAAATGTGATACAAATAATTTTTTGAAACAATCAATAGTAAGGAAAATACAATGCTTAAAACAGGCAGAGAAACCAAACAGTTACCTAATAAATTCTCACATAATATCATTTTTAATATTTGTTTTCCTCTTGAAGAATAAGTATCATTTATTAAGTATCATAAAATAAAACATTACTCACTGGCCTGGCCCGGTGACTCATGCCTGAAATTCCAGCACTTTGGGAGGCTGAGGAGGGCGGATTGCTTGAGCCTGGATTCGAAACCAGCCTGAGAAAGGTGGTGAGACCTCGTCTTTATTATTGTTTTTGTTTTTGTTTTAAATTACTTGGAGCTTCTTTCTAATGGCTTCCTTACTTTTAAAAAAGCCAAACATTCCTTCATTTATACAATGTGGTTCTAAATTCCTTCTGCAATTTATTTTTATTCCCTAAAAACATGTAGATAATAGCTATTAATAATAAGAAATCTGATTTTTCTTCTATTTTGTATCAGTCAAAAATATTATTTTAAGAACATAATGAAAAGTATTCAATATATGGTTATCAGAATTTTTTACACAATTTTAAAATGAAGAAATACCATTCGTCTAAACTAGTAGAGGGAGAACAGTACTAGGGGATTAAATTAACGTCTTACTTTTCATTATTAGACACACTTACATGAGAAAAGGCAAATAAAGCAAAACATAAGCAAAGAGACTCTTGCAAAAGTCAATGTCTATGACTTAATTAGGATAAGGCAAGTGAAGAGAAACAAATGAATATAAATAGCAGTTGTGTGCTTCCATATAAAATATATGGAAACAAATGACTACTGGTACTTTGCTCTCCATTAGGATAACATGTAAAGACGCAATCACCTTCAACACTCAAATAATAAAACCCATATTTTATCCACACTCAGCTTCTATCAATCCCACTTCATAAATGCATTTCAAACTCTTTCCACCCTCTGTATCTTCACCACCACCACATTCTTAGCTACCATAATTTCTAATCTTGAGTAGTAATGCAGTGCCCTGATAAGAAGCATTTTATAGAGAAAATGGAAAGAAGTTTGAATAACTACTTAATTATCTTGACACATACATAAATAAATAAATCTTAGACAAGGATGAATATAAAAAATAATGTATAAATGTGTCTTATAAGGCATTTAGATACAAAACCTAAAGGTCTTTTTACTTAAACCAGTCAAAATGAATATAGATAATACTGCATTTAGTCAACTATAAATGTACATTTTTCTGCATTTTTAACACCTCTGAAATTGAGATGTGTCATAATTAATGCTATTATAATTTGTAAAGTACGCTAACTCAAGTAGTTGCATATCAACTTGCGTTACCTGTTCTACCTGCTAACATTTCCACCCAGAAGAAATATTTTATTATCAAATGGCAGAAACAATTTTCACAGTAGCCACATAAATAGGCTTTGGATCACAAAAATCATAAATTACTCCCGTGTTGACCTTCCACTATCAAAAAAGTTTTAAACCCTCCCAGAAAGTTTAGTAGAAAGAGAAAGAGTCAACGGTACGGTGGTAAGAGCATGCACTCTAAATCATGTTGCTTAGAATATATACTAGATGTGTCAAGTGGCAAGACACTTAACCCTCTGTGCCAACAAACTGCAGATAACAATAATTATTTCAATGTATTTTTGAAGATTAACAGATATTACATATCACAATGCTTAATGAATAATATGTACTCCAATAATTATATTATATTTTGATGCTGATTACTCATGTTCAAATGAGGATTTAAGGCCTCATTAGAAATTTAGGCAATTGGTTAATCTACTTCTCTATTCAATCAACATATAGTCAGTGCTATATGTGCTGAAGGCACAGTATTTTCCCTGCTTTAGAGTAGCAATGTAATGAGGGAACCAAAGTTAAAAAGCAAAAAGAAGTGAATTTTAATGTTGATAAAATCATGCCATACTAAGAAATGTGCCTATATTAAGGTAAAGTAATAAACTATAAAGTTGTTTAACAACATTTTTATTCCACTTTTTTTCTTTCCAGTTCCTTATTGAGTTAAAACTTGTAAAAACTGACAGGTTTGGGTGGCTCATGCCTGTAATTCCAGCATTTTGTGAGGCCAAGGTGGGCAGATCACCTGAGGTCAGGAGTCTGAAACCAGCCTGCCCAATATGGTAAAACCCTGTCTCTACTAAAAATACAAAAATTAGCTGGGCATGGTAGCATGCGCCTGTAGTCCCAGCTACTAAGGAAGCTGAAGAAGGAGAATCACTTGAACCAGGGAGGAGGTGGTTGCAGTGAGCCGAGATTGTGCCACTGCACTCCAGCCTGGGTGACACAGCAAGACTCCGTCGTTAAAAAAAAAAAAAAGCTATTAACATAAACTTCATAGTGTTTTTTAAAGAAGCTACACATACAAGTTCTTAGTTGCTTCCAAGTTTTTAAGTTTTCATTTTTAATTTCTGTATTAAAATGCTTTTACCCTGCTATAAACAATACCTGAGACTGGATAATTTATAATGGAAGCAGGTTTATTTGACTCACGGTTCTGCATAACTGAGGAGGCCTCAGAAGACTTACAATCATGGCAGAAGGTGAAGGGGAAGCAAGACAAGAAAGGCTCTCTCATTTTTAAACCATCAGATTTCGTGAGAACTCATTATCATTAGAACAGCATGGAAGAAACTGCCACCTTAAACCAATTGCCTCCCACCAGGCCTCTCCCTCCACATGTGGGGATTACAATTAGAGATGAGATTTGGGTGGAGACACAGAGCCAAACCATATCAATTTCCAAGACCTTATCTTCTCTGTATTTTGTGTAACATATAAGGTGCCCCAATGTTACTTTTAGTTAATGTTTACATCACATAAAAAGTTACTAGTCTTCTCTGAACATGAACTTTATAAGCATAACATTTTTATCAACTTTGAATGCACATTTTAATTTTACTAAGAGTTCCATATACCTTCAGTGTTTCTTCTAGAAATAAGCCTAAACATTTCCACATGCTCACATTTGTATTAAGGAATGAGGCTAAATTAATTGTGTTTATATACTCAAAACTCTGTAAAAATAAGCATCTTATTAGAAATTAGGGTAAAAGAAAACAAGATACAAACAAAAAGCACCTTTGTCATGTCTAAGAAAACCAAATTTTCTATGCTGAGAGCCCAGTGATTTTGCTGAGCAAATTTAGGTTTTTGTTGTAATTAGTTTCTATTTTTATTTATTTTGATATTTAGAGTTCTTTTTATCTACATTAAGAAGAACTCATTGAAATCAAATTGTTAATCATAATGTTAAAAAATATGTGAAAAACAATTTTGTATTCAAATATGGTTCTGCACCAAACTCATGAGGCAACTAGCTTCTAAGAAGCAGGGTTTATGCCAGGCTATTGCTTTAGAGACCATGAATTCAATTGTGAAAGTATCATTCAAATTTAAGTATTTAATATTCTTAGTAATCTTCATTTAGTTCAGTATTAATTCTATTGAGGAAAAGTCCAAAAATGTATTTTTATTGTCAAATTAACAGAGCTAAATTGACATATCTAAATAATAATCTCTTAATAAAGCCTGAGGTAATACCTATTATGCCTCAAAGGAAAGCAATCAAATTGAAAAAGGCAATATCCTCAATATCCTCCTGGGAACAACTTTTCTTTTCTTTTTAACCCTATTCCCCAGAGTCTCATTCTTCTTATTATAATGCAAACATAAATTGCATAAACAATAAAGGAATGCATGCTTCCAGAAAAAAGCATGAGAATAAAAGAAAATCACATGGTGATATAAAATATATAAAAACAATACTCATCCTGACAGACTGTTAGCAGAATGGGAGTCCTCCTATTCGCCTTTGGAACTTAGTATTTGACCATTTTGTTAGTAACTTTTTCACAAGGGTGATGCTTAATACTGAGTGTCAACTTGATTGGATTGAAGGATGCAAAGTATTGATCCTGGGTGTGTCTGTGAGGGTGTTGCCAAAGAGGTTAACATTTGAGTCAGAGGGCTGGTAAAAGCAGACCCACCATTAATCTGGGAGGGCACAATCTAATTAGCTGCCACTGCCACCAGAATAAAACTCAGGGAAAAGAATGTGAAAAGACTAAACTGGCTTAGCCTCCCAGCCTACATCTTTCTCCTGTGCTGAATGATTCTTACCTTCAAACATTGGATTTCAAGTTCTTTAGCTTTGGGACTGGGACTGGCTTCCTTGCTCCACAACTTGCAGATGGCCTATTGTGGAACCTTGTGATCATATGAGTTAATACTCCTTAATAAACTCTGCTTTATATATCTATCCTACTAGTTCTGTATTTGTAGAGAACCCTAATACATATTTTGGTACCAAGAGTGGTTCTAGAGGAACAGAATATTAAGGATGGAGTTCTTCATTGATTTGGGAATTTCTGGAGTAGGCTGCTTATTATGATTAGACCTCAAATGCTAAGGACTCTACTTCTAATAGAATGGAGAACACTGATAGTCCTTGGCATAACCTGTTTAGAGAGTTATGCAAAATAAGTGCATGTGACACTTCTTATTCACTATTCCTGAGAGGTAAGGAGTTTAGTGACACTATACATAATGCCTTTGACTATATGTGGAGAACAAAGGAAAATAATGAAGTTGGTTTGTTCCTTCTAAGTTCTCTGGACAAAGTAATGAAAGAAAATTATGAACTCAGGGGTTCCAACTCCCAGCCTTGGAAGCAGATACTAAGCATCAAATCTGCTAAGATTGCCCTGAGTGAGAGTCTTATTGCCTGTAGAGAAAGAGCTGAAAATGTGGACAATGAGACACAAGCTCTTATCATTCAAGCGGCTGACCTGAAATGAAAGGTGCATGCACAGCCTCACCAGGTGTCTACTGTTAAAGTGAGGGCACTGATTGGAAAAGGATGGAACCCCGAAACTTAGAATGGGGACATTTGGGAGGAACCTGATGAAGCTGGACTTGTAAACTCTGATGAACATTTTGCCAGAAAAAATAGCTTTCCCATCTCCAATAGTGGCAACATTCCCTCCTTGACCCATGCTGCTGTCCCCCTTTCCACATTTGTCTGAGAAGATAAACCCTACGCTGCCTGAGGCAACAGTGATGGCCTCCCCTGAGGCAATTGCCAGGCAAGATAATGTTGATGCTCCTCAGAAGCCATCCCCAACATCCCTGTTCACGTCTAGAGCTATAACTAAAGTCCCAGTGGGCCCATAGAGATGAGGTTGAGAGTGTGACCCATGATGAGGTGTGCTACACTTGAAAAGAACTGCTTGAATTTTCTAATTTATATAAGCAGAAATCTAGAGAACAAGCCTGGGAATGGATATTAATGGTGTGGGAAGATGGTGGAAGAAACATAGAGTCAGATCAGGCTGAATTAATTGATTTGGACCCACTAAGTAGGGATTCTGCATTTAATGTTGCAGCTCAGGGAGTTAAAAAAGGTGCTAATTGTTTATTTGCTTGGTTAGCTGAAATATTAGTTAAAAGATGGCCCACTGTGAGTGAGCTGGAAATGCCTGATCTCTCTTGGTTTAATGTAGAGGAAGGGATCTAAACGCTTAGGGAGATTGGGATAGTGGAGTGGATTAATCACTTTAGACCTGCTCATACAAGCTGGGAGGGTCCAGAAGATATACCCTTGACCAATGCGTTATGAAATAGATTTCTGAGGGCAGCAACTGCATCTTTGAAGAGCCCTGTAATTGCTCTTCTCTGTATGTCAGATTTAATAGTGGGAGCTGCAGTCACTCAACTACAGAATTTAAATGCCATGGGAATAATTGTATCCCAATGTGGCAGAGTCCAAGTGGCAGCACTCAACCATCAAAGGCAAGGTGGGTGTAGCTACTGTAATGGACAGCAATGGCAAAGTAGCAATCAGAATAATCAGACTCATGCAGAGCTCTTGCACTGGCTAATTAATCACAGTGTTCCTAGAAGTGAAATCAAGAGGAAGCCTACTGCATTCCTACTTAGTCTATATAAGCAGAAACCTGCCAGGTCAAGTGGAAAAGAGACTAATCTGAATTCTAAAAACAGAGAATTACAGCCCTTCAATCAATTTCCAGACTTGAGCCAGTTTACAGACACACAACTCCTTGAATAAAGGGGAGGCTGGATTCCCTTGAGAATGGACCCCACTACACTATAGACACTTTATGCTGTTACTGTTTTTCCCATTCTTCCTCAAGGAGACCTCCAGCCTTTTACCAGGGTAATGGTATATTGGGACAAGGGAAATGATCAGATATTTTGGGGACTACTGGACATTGGCTCTGAGCTGACATTGATTCAAGGGGATCTAAAACATCATTGTGGTTCTCCAGTTACAGTAGGGGCTTATGGAGGTCAGGTAATTTATGGAGTTTCAGCTCAGGTCTGACTTACAGTGGGTCCAATAGGTCCCCGGACTCATCCTGTGGTTATTCCCCCAGTGCCAGAATACATGATTGGCATAGGCATATTTAGCAGCTGGCAGAACCCCCACATTGGCTCCCTGATTGGTAGGGTGAGGGCTATTATGGTGGGAAAGAACAAATGGAAACCATTAGAGCTGCCTCTACCTAGAAAAATAGTAAATGAAAAACAATATCGCATCGCTGGAGGGATTGTGGAGATTAGTGCCACCATAAAGACTTGAAAGATGCAGGGGTGGTGACTGCCACCACATACCCATTAAACTTTCCTATTTGACCTGTGCAGAAGACAGATGGATCTTGAAGAATGACAGATCTGTACCAGATCTGGTTTCATTGCTTGAGAAAATTAACACATCACCTGGTACCTGGTATGCAGCCATTGATTTGGCAAATTCCTTTTTCTTCATTTCTGTTCATAAGGCCCACCAGAAGCAATTTGCCTTCAGCTGGCAAGGCCAGCAATATACCTTTACTGTCCTACCTCAGGGGTATATTAACTTATGATTTGTGCCATAATCTTGTTCCAAGAGGCCTTGATCCCTTTTTGCTTCAACAAGGTATCACACTGGTCCATTACATTGATCACATTATGCTGATTGGATCCAGTGAGGAAGAAGTAACAAACACACCGGACTTATTGGTGAGACATTTGCATGTCAGAGAATGGGAAATAAATTCAAATAAAATTCAGGGACATTTTACCACAGTAGAATTTTTAGGGGTCCAGTGGTGTGAGGCCTGTCGAGCATTTCTTCCAAGGTGAAGGATAAGTTGCTGTGTGTGGCCCCTCCTACAACCAAGAAAGAAACACAGAGCCTAGTGGGACTATTTAGATTTTGAAGGCAACACATTCCTTATTTGGGTCTGTTACTATGGCCCATTTATTGAGTGACCCAAAAGGCTTTCAGTTTTGACTGGGTTCCAGACAGCAGAAGGCTCCACAACAGGTCCAGGTTGCTGTGCAAAGTGCTCTGCCACTTGGGCCATATGATCCAGCAGATCTAATGGTGCTTGATGTGTCAGTGGCAGATAAGGTGTTGTTTGGAGCCTCTAGCAGGACCTCATAGGTGAATCACAGTGGAGGCCTCTAGGATTTTGGAGCAAGGCCCTGCCATCTTCTGCAGATAACTATTCTCCTTCTGAGAGACAGCTCTTGGCCTGTTAATGGGGTTTGGTGGAAAATGAACGTTTGACTATGGGTCATCAAATCACCATGTGACCTGAACTGCTTATCATGAACTGGGCACTTTCTAACCCATCTAGCCATACAGTGTGTCATGCACAGCAGCATTCCATCATCAAATGGAAGTGGCATATACGTGATCAGGCTTGAGCAGATCCTGAAGGCACAAGTGAGTTACATGAGGAAGTGGCTCAAATGCCCATGGTCTCCACTCCTGCCACCCTGCCTCCTCTTTCCCAGCCTGTATCTATGGGCTCATGGGGAGATCCCTATGATTAGTTGACAGAGGAAGAGAAGACTAGGTCCTGGTTCACAGATGGTTCTGGACGATATGCCAGCACCACCCAAAAGTGGACAGCTGCAGCACTATAGCCCCTTTCTAGGACACCCCTGAGTGACAACAGTGAAGGGTAATCTTCCCAGTGAGCAGAACCTTGAGGAGTGCACTGGTTGTGCATTTTGCACGGAAGGAGAAATGACCAGATATGTGATTATATACTGATTTATGGGCTGTAGCCAGTGGTTTGGCTGGATGGTCAGGGACTTGGAAGAGGCATGATCAGAAAATTGGTGACAAAGAAGTTTGGGGAAGAGGTGTGTGGATGGACTTCTCTAAGTGGTCAAAACTGAAGATATTTGTATCCCATGTGAGTGCTCACCAAAGGGTGACCTCAGCAGAGGATAATTATAATAATCAATGGATAGGATGACTTGTTTTGTGGACACCACTTAGGCTCTTTCCCCAACCTCTGTCATCATCCAATGGGCCCATGAACAAAGCAGACATGATGTCAGGGATGGAGGTTACGCATAGGCTCAATGAAATGGACTTCCACTCACCAAGGCTAACCTGGCTACAGCCACTGCTGAGTGCCCAATTGGCCAGCAGCAGCTACCAACACTGAGCCCTCGATATGGCACCATTCCTCGGGATGATCAGCTAGCTAGTTGGTGGCAGGTTGATTATATTGGATTTCTTCCATCATGGAAAGGGCAGAGGTTTGTTCTCACTGGAATATATCCTTACTCTGGATATGGGTTTGCCTATCCTGCATGCAATGCTTCTGCCAAGACTGCCATCCATGGGCCCACGCAATGCCTTATCTACCGTCACAGTATTCCACAAAGCATTGCCTCTGATCAAGGCACTCACTTTATGGCTAAAGAACTGAAGCAGTGGGCTCATGCTCATGGAATTCACTGGTCTTAGCATGTTCTTCATCATCCTGAAGCAGCTGGATATATTGAATGGTGGAATGGCCTTTTGAAGTCACAATTACAATGCCAGCTAGGTGACAATACTTTGCATGACTAGGGCAAAGTTCTCCAGAAGGCTGTGTATGCACTGAATCAGCATCCAATATATGGTACAGTTTCTCCCATAGCCAGGATTCACAGGTCCAGGAATCAAGGGGTGGAAATATAAATGGCACCATTTACCATCACCAGTAATGACCCACTAGCAAAATTGTTGCTTCCTATCCCACGACATCATGTTCTGCTAGCCTAGAGGTCTTAGTCTTAGAGGGAGAAACGCTGCCCCCAGGAGACGCAACAACGATTCCTTTTAACTGGAAGTTAAGATTGCCACCTGGACACTTTGGGCTCCTCCTACCTTTAGGCCAATGGGCTATGAAGGGAATTACAGTGTTGGCTGAGGTGACTGACCTGGACTATCAAGATGAAATCACCCTACTACTCCACAACAGAGGTAAGGAAGATTATGCATGGAATACAGGAGATCCCTTGGCACATCTCTTAGTATAACCATGCCCTGTGATTAAGGTCAGTGGGAAACTCAACAACAGCTCTATCCAGGCAAGACAACAAAGGTCCTAGACCCTTCGTGAAGGAAGGTTTGTGTCACTCCACCAGGAAGAAAACCACAACCTGCTGAGGTGCTTGAAGGCAAAGGGAATACAGAATGGGTAGTAGAAAAAGGTAGTTTTCTTTTGTTAAAAACATGTTTGTGCATGTATACACTTGTACTAAGACAATACCCTCATTTTATTTCCTTTTTCCTTCACTATGTGACATAAGATTTGTTGACTTCATCTCAGCATTTAAGTGCTGTTAACTTTATGTAATAGCATTTGGATGGGGGATTGGTGCATTTCCGGTTGTATGAAGAATTGTTGTATTGTGTCAGGCATAATGATCACCTTATTATTGTCTTTATTTGAAGATTATGTATGATCTCAGGAGATGTGTATGGGTCAAGGTGACATGGGGTGGACTCGTGATGGTTAATACCGAGTGTCAACTTGATTAGATTGAAGGGTGCAAAGTATTGATCCTGGGTGTGTCTGTGAAGGTGTTACCAAAGGAGATTAACATTTGAGTCAATGGGCTGAGAAAGGCAGACCCACCTTTAATCTGAATGGGCATAATCTAATCAGCTGCCAGTGTGGCCAGAATAAAAAGCAGGCGGAAGAACGTTAAAAGAATAGACTGGCCTAGCCTCCCAGCCTACATCTTTCTCCAATACTGGATGCTTCCTGCCCTCGAACATCGGACTTTAAGTTCTTCAGCTTTGGGATTCAGACTGGCTCCCTTGCTCCATAGCTTGTAGATGGCCTATTATGGGACTTTGTGATCATGTGGATTAATACTCTTTAATAGACTCTGATATATATATTTTATTAGTTCTGTATCTCTAGAGAACCCTGACAAATATAACACATATTTGAAAATAATTAAACTTGATTTTAACCAATATTATATCTATTTCTAGTATACTAAGTATTGATTATGTTATCCTAATTATCTGTATTCTTGCTTATATCTTAATTATTTTCTGTTGATTTATGAAAGTTTTATGAAGTAAATTCATTTTTAATATATTTCTGTAAGTTCTGACTTAAATATTTAAGTGAAAGTTTTTAATGCCTCAGTATGCTCAACTGTTGTGTTCATGGTGGACTTCACTTTTGTAAATATAAAAGGTATGTGTTGCACTCACTTAATAGATTCATCTTCAGTGTTTATTATAAGTATTATAATTATGACCCCCCTTCTTTTTGCTACCAATTTCATGTTATACATGTTTATTTTTCTATCTTGTTACTTGTTCTATTTAGATATGACACTTCATTCCTTAAAAGTTTTAGTTTTGAGTTTGAAAGTTTTTGATTATAGACATCAGAAATTTTTATTATTTTCTTTTAGCAAAATTATTATTTTATAAACTGTTTTTTTTTTTTTAAATAGTGTTCTGATTCTGCATTGTTTCTTTAGTGGTAATTGTTCTTTTTTAAAATTTATGGGTTTTTTTTTCAATTTATGGTTACTGATTTTCCTTAAATATTTAAATGTTGGTGAATATTTTGGGATCTCTCTCATGAGTCAGAATTTGTGTAAATCCCTGAGAGTAAAACGTGCAACTCAAGTGATAATTTCCAAAGGAGGAAATTTCCGAATACAGTAGTCCACTCTTAAGATTGCAGGTAATGTTCTAGAAGTGAAGCCAGGTTAGTTGTTCCATTGAGGGAAGCTGCCAGCTCTTTCCAGCAACCATTAGTTACCAGGAGCTCTCTCCTCCTTCCCAGCCCTCAGAGAAATGTCTTAAAGCACATTTATTCTCACTATGAAAATACTGAAGTTTTTTCTTTTGTGTGTTTATTTGTTTTTCTTGGTGTCCTTGAGGTCCAGTATTGCATCAGGCTCTGCTCTGTCTCTCTCTAGGGCTGTCATTCAAATTTCCTGAGAAATCTTCCAGTTTTATTTGCAAAGCAAATATGAAGAGTTAGCCTGTGGATTGGAAATGGGAGGGGATTGGGAAGAGGAATCTGCTGCTAAGTCTTAGTATGTGTGAGATGGCCTACCAAAAGGGGTTGCACTTCCACAGTATTCTTTGTATTAGTTGATGTTACACATATATCATGTGAGTTTGGAAGCTTCTTTGGAAACACAATTTCCTCACTGCATGTCAGGAAGATAATTTTAATGAAGGTAATATACTTTCCACTTGTGTCCAGCACTATAGTTTTGTTTGTTCTGGTTTCTCTGTTAATTTAAATCAATTTGTTTTATTATCTTCAGGGAATTTCTTTATTAGCCAGTATCATCATAAGTTTTTTTCTGCAAATTTTTACTTCCATTTCAAGTGATTTCATATGGGAAAGGAAGTAGATCCATGTACAGTGTTTTGCTTTGGTTACCAAATTACATAAAATTCCTGTTTATTTTATTTTACTTTAAGTTCTGGGATACATGTGCTGAACATGCAGGTTTGTTACATAGGTAGACACGTGCCATGGTGGTTAGCTGCACAAAAATTCGTTTTTAATATTAAAAATATAATATGCTGCATTCTTATAAGTAGAATGTAGATATATATTTTTAAATGAACTAATACAAAATTAAAGTTTTAAAAATATATCTAAGAGTAACATTGAACACACCTCAGCACAGAAATCACAAGTTAATTGCTTTAGGAATTAAATATTTAAAGAAATATAAATTACAAATGCAGATTCTGTTGTTTCAATCCGGTCTTCTGAGAGTGATTGAAATCCAGTATAATTTTTGATTCTTAAAATAGCATATATGGTGTGACAGACACACAGCAAAGTGACCTGAGTCAAGGGCAGGCAGTAAGCCATGCCCTTGGCTGTCAATGGAACCAGCAACTCGCTTCTGGCCAATAAAATGAAGACGGTGGAATGTCATTCCCTTGATTAGGCTATGTTATATATAACCTAATATATAACTACTTTACTGTATGTTATACAGGAGAGTTTATTTAACTCTTGTCACTCCCGTGATTATACTACCTCACTTAAAACTTCATCTTAGGCCAGGCATGGTGGCTCACGCCTGTAATCCCAGCGCTTTGGGAGGCCGAGGCGGGTGGATCACGAGGTCAGGAGATCGAGAACATCCTGGCTAACACGGTGAAACCAATCTCTACTAAAAATACAAAACAATTAGCCGGGCATGGTGGCAGGCCCCTGTAGTCCCAGCTACTCTGGAGGCTGAGGCAGGAGAATGGCATGAACCCGGGAGGCCGAGCTTCAGTGAGCCGAGATCGCAGCATTGCACTCCAGCCTGGGCGACAGAGCGAGACTCCGTTTCAAAAAAGAAAAAAAAAAAAAAGAAAAAAAAACTTCATTTTGGTAGACCAGAGCAACAGGTTATCCTGTTAGCCTTAAAGAAGCAAACTTACTTTATGAACTGCCTTGAATGATTTCCTCATGTAATTCCTATTATTATTTGCTGTGAATGAGTAGGTAAAATCAGATTTATTTTGCTTTAATCTGTACCAAGACTTCTTGATACATAAGAAAAACTAATCTACTTATTTAAGTAACTCTAGTGATTTTGTAAGAGGCAGCTTATTTTATTCCTGTTAATGAATTCAGAGCCTGTTAGTAGTGTGCTGCATGTAGTTAACAACTTAAAATTTAAAATGATCTATGTAGAGAAAGAAAATTTAGGCAGGAAAGACCTACTTACTATAAGTCAAAAAGGTAGAATCTCATTTTACGCTACGGCACAAGATTTGGTTACGCTACTGCTTGCTGTTTTGTGACTCAGAGCAAATGGGAGAAAACATTTAACATTTAGAAAGTTGTAAGCTGTTTCTTTTTTGTGTGAGCTTTAAAAAAAAAAAAAAAACTCCCATAGAAGATAAATTAACTGACAGTAGAGCTGACTAATTCATAACCAAAAGATAGAAAAGAACACAACTATACTAAGAGAATAATTTAACCTTTGTGGGGAGAATGTATATTTCCTCTCCCTTGCTAACCACCTCACAGGTTATACTTTCCATATATAATAAGAAATCTAGAGGAAGAGTTGGTGCACATATTCTTTAAAACCCATCAGGAATTCAGATGCCTTCCATCTTTATGCTCTGATCTCCTTAGTATATGGATTTAATCCTATTAGTTAAAAAATTAAATATTTTATTCTGAATTCTAGGCAGAGAAAAGAAATAAATGAAAAAAGCCAAAGGATACATGCCTGCTGGGTCTATGCTTTTTAACAGATTTCTCATTCTGCTATTTCTACTTGTATATTACAGGCTAGAAATGCCTCACATTGCTACCCTACTTAGTAGGGCAGCTGGAAACCTGAGCGCTTCAGCCCACAGATATTGTTACTAAAGACTACTGTACGGTTCTGTTAAGGGAAAATGTGGAGAACAATAATTGGGCACCACTCTACCCACAACTTCTAAATTTCAGATTTTTTGTGTGTATAGTAAAGGATTGAACTAGAAAACATCTAAAATTTCACTCATCTCTAAAAGTGCATCTTCTAAACTTGTGTCTTTAGTATAACATTTATCTTTGAGATAATAGTGAAGAAGAGAAGTGAGGAGATGTAATTTTAAATGACTGCAATTGAAGCCATTTGCTTTAGTACTGCTTTCTGCACTTCTGTGGATAACACTCCTCCATGGATTTCCATTAACTTTTTCATTTCCTAAGTTTTGTTATTTCTAATAATTGTGTCACATTTTTTTTAAAATCCCAGTTTCAGCATCTCATTTGTTGACCACCACCTCCAAACTTTTCAGCAGACATAATCTAATAATGTTTCTCCAATAATTATTTTACTTCAATCAGCACTTTTAAATCCACTGACCTCATCAAATTATTGTTGCTTCTTTCTCATGAGGCCTCTTTTCTCATTACCAAAGCCCAACATTATTATAATTTGATTGCATTCACCCTTAAGTTAATTTACCTTACCTCTCTCACTTATAAACACCTGGAAAAAAACCTTACTCTTTACTTCCTCTGAGTCTACATTGTTCTGAAACCCATGGTGTAGGTAAGCATGGCTGGAGAAAACTTCATAACCATTCTGACCAGGCCCTTAAAGATATACAGAATACTTAACATGTATCTCCAGTGAGTTGTATTTAAGATAATTATTTCAACATTTTTATTCTGTACTTAAATATTCAACTAATTCTTCTCACTTTCAATGGATTACCTACCATCTTATTTCCCCGAGAAACTAGAATTAACCCAATTCACAAACCTACTTCTATACCACAATACCCCAAAGTAAATTTATTCTGTTCATAACTGCCAGAGATATTCTGAAAATCTGAGTTCAATAACTCCATATTAAAAACCCTCCAGTCATTCCATGACATTGAAAAAAATGAATATTTATCACTACCACTTTTGATAGCTGCTCTATGACCTCATCTCTGATCATCCATTGCTTATTCTGCTCTAGGCACGTGAACCTTTTTTGTTGTTCCTGAGACAAGCCAAGTTTGTTCAAGCTTCAGAATGTTCATCCCTACAGTCCCTTATGCCTGAAACACTTTTCACATCGAACTTTACACTGGAACTACTTTGCCTCATCATTCAGATCTCTACCCAAGTGACATCTTCTTCAATGGGTTCTCCCTGACTATCATAATGACTCTGCTGTTTGGCATATTTTAGCCCTGCATCTGCCTTCATATCCTTTCAAAGTAATACTACTACCTGATATTATTTTATTTTTATTTCTGTCCCACCAGGCTTTAGACTCCTGTGGGTCAGGGCCTCAATCTTTTTCCTCTTATTCTCCAGTTTTCTTAGGAGCACCTGACACAGAGCTGGCACTCAATATATATTTGTCAAATGAATGAATGACAGAGTGAACACCAGTAACAACAGTGACTAAGATAAACAGCTTACTATACAGTGTGGACTATTCTAAGACCTTACACGCATCAGTTCACTCAATTTTCAACACCACTTTTGAGATGAGTAATTATTCCTATTTTGTATCTGAGAAATTGAAGCTTAGAGAATTTAAATAACTTGTCCTTTATGACATATAATATGAATTTGATCATCTGTTACTTAGGAAAACATCTTTATAAGCTTCTTATGATGAAAACTCAATCTCTCTAAACTGGTTCAGTGAGGCAAAGAAGTGAAACAAGGTTTCTGGTCTCTCCAGCATAAGACACAATGAGAACATTTCCTACCAGAAATCTAAGGAGAGATTATCTTGAAATTTGGAGAAGGGCCTGGACAAAGAAAACTGACTCCAGAAACATAATGAGAATGTATATCTGAGCATGGAATGCCAAGAAAAATATCTGTAAAATACTCAAATTTATTTTTTCTCATAATATAATATATAATAACCTTCTATTTCTTTCAAAATTTTAGACAACTTTACACATAATATATTTACATTAGTGGTAATTTGAAGGAAATAAGAAGTAGACACTGATAAGTTTAGAATTGAACATTTAAGAGAGAAATCTTTATTTCTCACCCCCTGTCCACTTTGAAGCCAGAGGCCAGTGAGACAATCTTTGCAATTTATCCTAGGAGGACAGATTTCTTGGATTTTCAAGAGAGTACAGAGATGCCTGAGGTGGGCCTATGAGTAATGCTTTGAAGCCAGGGGGTTGACAGCAGGGGAATTGACTTTGGAGCAGATACAGAAATTCTTGTATCCCAAATGATTATAGATGAAGGTCTTCCTTGAAGGGGGAATGATAGCTAAGTCTCCATACATAATGAAAAGCCCAAACAAAGCCAGACAGCCTACAGTTCGGTTAATTCTATTTAATTAAGGTTGGGGGACTGATTATCTTTACAGTTTTAAAACTTCTTATGAAATGTGCCATTCTACCTTATGGTTTTTCTGGTGTTTATCTGAGGGAAAGACAAGTTTAATTATTAAAATGTTGGCAATGCAATCTCACATATAAGAGATAGCAATTTGTGCTAAGATTAACAGATGTGGGGTGACGGCTACTCAAATGGATGTAGCTTCTTGGAAGAAAAGCAAACAAAAATAGAAATGTGAACATGTGCATTTTAGATATAAACTTAGTAACATTTCTCTTTTAAATGCTCCATTAAAATTATAGTGTATAGCATAATTCTTTTTGTCAAAATATAAAAATAATATGTTTAAGTAAGTTGTGAGCATATTTTTATCATTTTCCAGAGTCCAAAGCAATATTTTTTAACATACAGACCAACTGCCCCCATTTGATATTATTTTGCTCTTCAATTCCCTTTTTTTTTTTTTTTTGTTCTACGTGACAAAGAGACAAAATAAAAGAAGCTTTGTTACATAAAAGAAAAAAATGGTGACTGGAACTAACTTTTACTAAGTACCTTTTGGGTTCTGTATGCTATAAAGTATTATTTAACTCTTTAGATAGTTGCATTATATTCATTTTTAGATAACAAAACAAATCAGACTTTACAATGATCAGTGATTTGTAAAATGTCACTGAGCTGAAATTACCAGCCTAATTTTGCACAAGATTGGCTTCCTATCCATTCCTGCACACCAGAATTTCTCAAAATTATATAGACACTGTTCTGGTTGACATTAATATAAGTGTCTCATAATAAAAGTTGGTGAAAAAAAACTGTACATACTTTCTCTTTTAAAAATTAAACACAAATAATATATAAAAGAGAATTTGTTTTAAATTATGAATAGCAGTTTAAAATTATTTAAGCCCAGTATTTTCTTGTTTATATATTCTGTGAAACTTATATCAAAAGGCTTTGTAACTGCATGTAGGGAAATACACCTCTGTACCATACTATTCATCAGCCTTAAATCCATTTAGTGATTTCAAAAGCATATCTACCATTTAGTATTGCCTTATGTGATAGACGCTGTTCATTGCGCTTTACAAGAATTATACTACCATCACAATACAGATATCACTAACCCCATTTAACAGAGGAAAACTGTGACCTAAAGACTTTCAGTAACTTATTGAGGCTACACAGATCATGACTGATGCCTTGAGCCTAAGTCTTTTTTATTCTAAGGAAGACTCTCAGGATTCCGTGCATCTATACTACTTCTTAAGTGTTACCCTTTTGTTACAGGTCATAAGTATATTCAGCTTCTTTTATTTTCAGATTTATTGCTTCATGAATAATAAGTCTGATCATTCTAATAATGAGTTATTTTTAGGAAAAAATCAATCATAACATTTATACAGAAATGGCACTATAAAAGGCAATTTAATAAGTTCACTTTTAATTTTTTAAAAATATTTATGGTGACAAATTATAGTTGTTTATATTTATGGAGTAAAACTGATGTTAGTACAAAGCCTCAATTAGATAGAAGTCAATTTTGACATTGCCAAATGCTAAAATTTAAAGTTTTTTTGTTTTATTATTTTTTTCTTTTTTTTTCTAGTCAACGCATGCATTAAATGTTCTAGACTCTCCATTTCTGATGGTCAGCTAAATTTATAAAACTTCTTACAATACTTCTAATTCTTATTTCATTAATTTCTATCCTATATTATTTTTTCTAGGTACATGGAACTTTTATAATTAATGAAACACTAAGCCATTCAAGAACTGATAGTCTTGAAAATGAATTTTATTAAATAACAAACTATATGCATATTTCTAAATATTGAGAGAAAAATTAAGAATTTAAGGAAAATGTATTTTACAGTATGAAACAACATAAAGGAGTTATGCTGTGAGCTATGGAGTAAATCATTCTTACTTGCCTAATGATGTCTAAAATAAATTCAATCCAGTAAGTATAATTACTTTAAATGAAAATGTAAATTGTGGTCAGAAAAATTTGTCTTACGTTTTACTAGTAACCTTCTAAATTTAAATTCCTACTTGATATCTTTTAAACGATATACCTAAAAGATAAAAACTTACATCAGTTGAAAAATAATTTTAAAAAATCAAACCTAATTGCCAAAATCTGATGTTTACACATAGTTAAGAAAAGAAAGAGCTAAATTGATTTTAAACGAGAAAATAATGCTTTGATTTATGAAAACAGCAGTATTCCTGCTGATCAGTAAGAAGTTTGGAAACAATCACTCTGCCACTATTTGCCTAATGCTAGAGACCAAGTTTTGTATTACTCACCATATTTCCATGTTCAGAGAAAAGTCTCACATGTTAGAAGCAGAAAGTTAGGCTTGACTGGCGAGACTATATTACATTAGCTCCTGGTAGGTTTAGGTCCTTTAAAGTAGGTGATGTAGTTGTGGAGAGAGATTTAAAAATAATCCTAGTGATAATACAGGCTAGGAATTTAAGATTTTAAATAAAAATTTTTCAACTTGACAGAAAAATTTAAAATGACATAGGAAAAATGTCACATGAAAAAGACAGCCCATGAAAAAGAGAAATCTACATGAGATTGAAGGATTCAAATCACAGCAAAGACGTAAAAGTAAAATAAAATGGGAGGCAGTAAAGAGTACCAGGAGCCTGTGGGAATTTTAATGCTGATGTTAAGAGCACACCTGAGAGAGTATGAGCGTACTGAAAAAGCTGAAGAGCTGAAAACCAGGAGAGAAGAGCTGAAGAAACAAAGATCCATCTGCAAATTACAGGTGTTTCAAAGGAGTGATTGCTATAAAAACTAAAATCAAACTCAAAATTGAGGGAAATTTTACCGAGCTGAAAATAGCACAAAATGTGTACTTTTAAGTGAAATTTGGAAAAAATAAAAAAATAAAAACAAAGAAAACAGAACCAGACACATTCTGGGCACTTCTGTTACTTGAAACATAGCCAGCTGAATAACCTAAGGACCCAGATGCAACAAAAGACCAGAAATGCTTATTAAAACCTTTTAGACACATGGTTGAATGTGATAGATTGTGATATAAATTCTGGGCAATAAACCATCATCAAGACAAAAAGTGGAAAGCAGGGTCTTGTGTTTCAGTTGCACAGAAGGTTCTGTTTTGGGCTCAGGATGATTGTCCACCAAATAATCAAATGGAAATTCAAAA
Organism: Homo sapiens; assembly: GCF_000001405.40. Lineage (NCBI taxonomy): Eukaryota > Metazoa > Chordata > Mammalia > Primates > Hominidae > Homo > Homo sapiens. Next base: position 190,660,087 of record NC_000001.11, on the reverse strand, counting down.
GTAAACATTTTATTTAATGTAACATTGATAAAGATGCACAAATCGATGAATTTCTTAAGATGAAGTAACCTCAAATAACTAATAGCCTGATTAAGAAATAGAATGTTAAAACCACAACAGTAACTCCTTATATCAACAATCCAGTCCTTAAAAATCACAGAGGAAAACTAAATTGAATTATCACTGATTATTATTATTATTATTTTTGAGACAGAGTCTCGCTATGTTGCCCATGCTGGAGTGTAGTGGCGCGATCTTGGCTCACTGCAACCTCCGCCTCCCAGGTTCAAGCGATTCTTCTGCTGCCTCCGGAATACCTGGGACTACAGGCGTAAGCCACCACGCCCGGCTAATTTTTGTTTTTAGTAGCGACGGTGTTTGACCATATTGGCCAGGCTGGTCTTCAACTCCTGACCTCATGGTCCGCCCTCCTCGGCCTCCCAAAGTGCTGAGATTACAGTTGTGAGCCACCGCCCCCGGTCCTATTATTTCTATTTTACAATGTTAATAAATTGAATTAAAAAACTATATGTTTTCTTTTGTTTGGAGTGTTCGCTCACTCTTGTATTTGGAGAATCTACCCATGTTATTGTATGCATTTTTACTGAATAAGTATATCATAACTTAATTATCTTTTGAATACTAATGATATTTCGCTTGGTTTAGTTTTGTTATATTAAATAAAATGCTGTTATAATCATTTTGTGTACATCTGTTTTTAAATATATATATATGTATATGTATTTCTGTTGAGTATATCTGTAGAAGTAAAATGTTGAATAATGGAGGTTAGATACAGAAGACCCCCTTATTTATGATTTTTTGCCTTCCATGGTTTCAATTATCAGTGATCAACCACAATCTGGAAAAATTAAATGGAAAATTCCAGAAATAAACAATTTATCAATTGTAAGTTGCATGTATTCCAAGTAACATGATTAAATCTCATACCGTCTTTATCCGTCCCTCTCAGGATGTGAGTCATCCCTTTGTAAAGCATATCCACACTGTATGTGCTAGGACTTTTTGGTCACTTAATTGCCATTAGGCTTATAAGATGGAAAAAAAAAAGGAATATATAGGACTTGGTACTATCCATGGTTTCAGGCACCCACTGAGGGTCTTGGAATGTATCCCCTGCAAATAAGGAAGAAAAACTGTATTTTTAAATTTTGTGATAACTGACAAAGAGTTTGCCAAAGAGGTTGTGTGCATTCATATTATCCTTAGCTTTACATAAGAGTTTCTATTGCTCCATATTCCCAACCAATACTTTTTATTGTCATTTTCTCCCACCGTGGTTATTCAAGGCATCTCTTTCTAGTTTTAATTTGCATTCACTAATTAGACAATAAATTAGATAATTAGTAATTGAGATTAAACATATTTCTATGATTTATAGGCCACCTGGGTATTCAAAAGGGAAAATAGTGTATATACATATATGTATTTTTGCATATATATATATGTGTGTGTATAGTCTTTCAAAACTTGCTCACTTTTTATTAAAATAAAGAGTCCAAGAGACTTACTCATGCATGGCCACTTGTTTTATGACCAAGTTGACAATAAAATGTGTTGAGAAAAGAATTATATTTTCAAAAAATATAGTACTAGATGAGTTGACCATTGATATGAAACGTAAAAAGAATCCTGACTCCTATCGTGTCATATACACAAAACAATTCTAGATGGATGATACACTATACCATAACAATTCTAGATGGATAATAAACTATACCATAACAATTCTAGATGGATAATAAACTATACCATAATTAATGCTCTAGAAGAATAACACAGGGCTATGTCATTATGAACATATGTTAAGCAAAGACTTTGTATCCAGGACAAAATAAATATAACCTATAAAGGAATATTTTCATTTTAAAGAGTATTTTTAAACTTAAATAAATTTAAGAGGTTGAAAAAGCTGCTACTATATATAGATACAATTATTACTTATATTAATCTCATATAATCAGAAACTTAGCTGTTTATTAATTCTAAAAGCTGAAGTCATTTATATTATAATGTAAACAACCATATTGTGATTTAATTCTCATTATCAATCTTTTTCTACAAAATAATCTAGAGTTTAAGGAACGTTATATATATAAAGTTCCTTTAATTTATATAAAAATATAGTTATAGAGAGGTAGCATATAGTTATAGTGAGGTACAAATATTATTTGTAATGACTTTTTTGTCTCTGATTATATTTATTTTACTCTACTCTTGTTTTAGCCTACGAAAGTTTTGTAAAGTTTATCTTTTTAAAAACCTACTCTTTTTTGTTGATTTTTGTACTGTTTTTCAAACCTTTATTTTATTTCTTTCTGCTATAATCCTCATTATTTCTTTTCTTCTTGAGTTTGGTTTATCTTGTTCCTCTAAATTCTTGCATTGCAAGTTGTTTGTTGAAATATTTATACTTTTATGTAGATGTTAATTTCTATAAACGTTCCTCTTAACACTGATTTTGCTGGTTACTGTAAGTTTTTGTATGTTTTTACTATTACTTATTGCAAGAAATGTTTAAATTTCCTTCTTAATTTATTTCTTGATCCATTGATTATTCAGGAGCATGTTGTTTATTTCTGTGTGTTTGTAGAGTTTTCTAAATTTTTCTTGTTATTGATTCCTAGTTTTCTTACACTGTGATTAGAATGGATACCTGATACGATTTAAATTTTTAAAAATTTGTTAACACTTTTTTGTGGCCTGCCATTATTATCTATCCTGGAAATATTCCTTGTACTGTTGAAAAGAATGCGTATTCTCTAGCTGTTGGGCGAAATGTTCTGTAGATATCTGTTAGGTGCATTTGGTCTAGGGTGTATTTTATCTTCACTGTTTCTTTGTTGAAATTTTGTCTCAATGATCTAACCATTGCTGAAAATGGGATGTGAAAGTCCCCTACTATTACTGTTTTGGAGTCTATCTCTCCCTTAAGTCTATTAATATTGAAGGGGGGAGAATCCTCCCTAACTTATTCTATGAGGCCACTATTACCCTGATACTAAAACTAGACGAGAACACAACAAAAAACACAGATTACAAGCCAGTATTCCTGATAAACATAAATTCAAAAATTCTCAACAAATACTTGCAAACTGAATTCAACAGCACACCAAAAAGACTATTCAGCACTTTGGCAGGTAGATCACTTGAGCCCATAAGTTCAAGACCAGCCTGGGCAACACGGCAAAACAATTAGCCAGGTGTGGTGACACAAGCTACTTGGGAGGCTGAGGTGGGAGTTTCCCTTAAGCCGGGGAGGTGCACTCCAGCCTGGAAGACAGAGTAAGACTGTCTCAAAAACAAAAAAAAAAAAAAAAAAAAGTACTATTCAGCCTTTAAAAAAAAGGAAATCAAGTCATTTGCAACAACATGGATGAACATAGAGGACATTATGATAAGTGACATAAGCCAGTCACACAGTCACAGGAAGACAAATACTTCATGATCTCACCTATATACAGAATTGGAAACAGTTGAACTTGTAGAAGTAAGAGTACGGAATAGTAGTTAACAGTGGCTGGGGAAAGGGGTGGATGACAGAAGTAGAGATTTGAGTCAAAAGGTACAAAGTCTCAGTTAGAACAGATAAATAAATGCTATTAATTTATTGCATGGCATAGTGACTATAGTTAATAGTAATGTATTGCATATTTCAAAATTGCTAAAACAGTGGATTTTAAATGTTCTCATCACAAAGAAATTATAAGTATGGGAGGTGACATATATGTTAATTAGTCTGAATTAATCATTTTGCATGTGTACATGTATCATAAAATTTTACCCTATTTATATATGCTATTAATCATTTAAAATACATTTTTTAAAAGTAATAAATACAGTTAATATTTTTGATGACATTTAATTCAGATCATATATGGGATAGTGCATAATCCCTTGTTTATGGGAATACATTTGTTTTTAGAGTGACCTTGTTTTAGTGAGTGACTTCTCAGTTAATATTTGACCATTATAGCAAACAGTATATGAAGAGTTAAATTTAATTAATATTTTCATTAATCCTAAAATATTTGAAGGGTAATTTCATATTATTTTAGACTTCCATAGTATGCCAGTATAATTTGGAAATGAGTGTGGTAACAGTATTTTGAAAAGTGATAGGTGTACTTTTACCCTTTCAGAAAGAGAAACAATAGATATTTTATACTTTTATATCATTAAAATAATGTTTTAATTATTTTAACAATATTAATAGAAATTAAAGCTAGTTTCTGCCAGATTTTCTGTAAAATATGGAATATATGAATAAGATACACATAAAGAACAAAACACACAAGAAAGTAATGTGAAGCCAATCATATAAGTTATGGCTGTAATTTTTCCTGAGGCCCCATAAAATATTTTATGATTCAGGAAAAGCAAGTTCTTAAAATAAAATTCATTAATTATTCAACAACCTGTCTATACACAAGGCCAGACTTGTCAAATCCCAAGATCAGGCATTCTTGAGGATTCAGGATATCGCTTTTTGTTTTGTGTTTATACTGGATATGGGTAGTGGATATTTAACTAATGGAGTCCAGATTGCTTGTTAGGAATAAACTGATCTTGGTTTGACTTGCACTTACCATAAACACTTTTAGTTTATTAAATAATAAATCTTGTATTTAATGTTTCATATAAAGTACATTTCTATTTATTCTATTTTTAAATAATTATATTTCCCTGTCTTCTTCTAATATTTTAGAGAAAAAGTTTGCCAATAGCATCACAAAAATGGTGATCAAACATGCCAAATATTCCATAATGGAGTACTTTATTTTCCTCTGTCATTCTTAGTATTCTTAATATTTAAGTATATAAAACTTGCAGTATACTTATTTATGCAAAATCACATTTAATTCTATTTAAACAATCAGCTATCTTACTGTAACTCTTTCTCACAGCCGTATACGGTCATCAACATTTCAGTTAAGTCACAGTTTGGTTACGCAGAAGGTATATGAGACTCTTACCACTTAGATTCTCTCCAATGTCCCAGTGAAGTTATTAATTTATTGGCTACTATATGAAATTTTGAGTGTATTAAAATGCTACATGGCACTTTCGTATTTAGTGTATGTCTTTTTAATAGATTTCTCTTTTGGATTTCAGAAAGATTTGCATTAAATCCACTCAGATCCCAGGTGTTCATCAGTGATGTATGTCTCAGAGGGGAAAATACGTAAGATTATTTTAATCTTCATGAGCAATCATTGAATAATTTGTGATATGCTCACAGAATGTAATAATGGCACATTTGCAAAATCATGCCTCCTCACCTGAGTCTTTTTCTCTCTGCTTTGCCAAGTTTATTTTTTCCTCTTAGGTTTTTTTCTTCATTAAACTTTCTTATAACTTAATGGAGGAATAATGATATCTACTTAAGATATGTTCAAAATAATGACTTCAATTACCCTACTCTTCGCTTTTCACCAGTTTATTATTTTTGACTCACTGTGGAGTAATGCAGAGGAGTTTAAGATAGATCCTGAAATAATATCTCTATTCACTTCAAGTTTTCCAGCTGTAACAGTGGAGATATTTTTCACCCAAGCGAACCCTTTTTTCTATCTTGTTGTTGAAGCCTTGTGGGTCTTTCTATTTAGACTATTGCAATCTTAGTTTGTTCTGGATGCCCAACACATATGAATACCGTGCCACCTGCTGTAAAATTACTTAACTAGAAATGCTGCTGCAAACCAGCGGACCTCACAACTATGGAGTTAAATTGTATCATTGTCCATACTGGAACTTTATAATTGAAGATGCTTATCTTGACCAACAATATTCTTCAAAATCCTGTTGTGACCCATTACCTATTTCTGTGTTTAATCTTTCAACATTAACTTTTTAAAATTCAGATTATCTTTGTGTTTTGTTAATGTAAAAAGAAAACTGTAAAATTTAGTAGACGAATTAAAAATGATATGAGGACTCAGAAATGCTATCAATGAGTCTTGAGTCTTCCTCTAACTAATATCATGAGGAGAGAAGTTAGTCATGGAAAACTTTTTTAATACAAAGAAATATATTTATTTTTCCTTACTTGATATGGTGTACAATGTCCATTCTCACTTATAATTTCAGTGTTTGTCTTTATAGAAGCAATGTTACCAACATTTTAATAGATATGAAAATACATTGATAATACTTAACATTTGTGTAGCAATTAATATTTTTAAAACCATATAATGTTTAACCCATTTGTTTTCCAGAAACAATTTTAGGAAATACTGTTGTCACTATGTTGGAGGAATACTGACAAGTTTGTATTACTGCAGGACAGTAAATATTAATGACCCAATGTTGGGTGAAAAAAATGTGAAGTTTTAGGATTTTTTTATTATAATTAATTATATTTAGTATACCTTTCTGGCTTTATTAAGGTATAATTGACAAAAATCATATGTATTTATGGTATACAATGTGATATTTTGATAGAGGTATAAATTGTGAAATGATTAACTCAAACGAATTAATAAATCCACTAACTCACATACCATTTTTTGTAGTGAGAGTATTTAAGGTATACCCTCAGAGATTTTCAAGTATACACTACATTGGTCGTTGCATTATTATTAGCTACAGTCACATAATATGCAATACATCCTGACACTACTCATCTTGTAAAAACTTTTACCCTTTGACCAACGTTTTCCTATCACCCCCTACCTCCACCAGCCTCTAACAATCAGTGTTCTATACTCTGATTCTGTGAGTTCAACTTTTTTAGATTCCACATACAAGTGGGATCACGCAGTATTTGTTGTTCTGTGCCTGGTTTATTTTACTTACTTTAATACCTTCTAGGTTCACTGATCACTGATGTTACAACTGACAGGATTTCTTTCTTTCATAAGGCTGAATAGTATTCCACTGTGATGTATATATATTTTTTTCTTTATTCATTCACCAGTCAATATACACTTAGGTTGATTCCACATCTAGGCAAATATGAATAATGTAGCAATGAATATGGGAGTGCAGATATTTCTTCAGCATACTGATGTTGATTCCTTTGTATATTTACCCAGAAGTGAAATTGCTAATTAGGTAGTTCTATTTTTAGTTTTTTGACAAACTTTCACACTGTTTTTCATAAATGCTGTACAAAACTACATTCCCCCCAACCATATAAAAAGGTTCCCTTTCTCTACATTCTCTTTAATACTGGTTGTCTTTTGTCTTTTTGATAACAAACATTTGAGATAATGTCTCATTGTGATTTTGATTTGCATTTCTCTAAGGATTAGTAGTGTTGAGCAATTTTTCATATACTGGTTGGACATTTGTATATCTTCTTTTGAGAAATATCTATTGAAGTCCTTTACCCATTGTTTTAATTGGGTTATTTGTTTTCTCCCTTTGAGTTTTTGGAGTTTCTTTTGTATTTTGAATAGTAATCCCTTATCAGACATATGGTTTGCAAATATTTCCTCTCAATCTGTGTCTTCCTTCTTCAGTCTGTTGATTGTTTCCTCTGCTGTGTAAAATCTTTTTAGTCGGATGTAATCCTGTTTATTTTTATTTTTTTTTTGCCTCTGCTTTTTTTGTCATATCCAAAAAGTCATTGTCCAGACCAATGTCAAAAAGCTTTTTGAAAATATTTTCTTCTAGAATTTTTGAAGTTTTGGGCCTTATATTTAAGTCTTTAATCCATGTTGAGTTGATTTTTGCATATTGTAAGAGATGTGTCCAATTTTGTTCTTCTCCATGTGGATATCAGCTTTTCAGCACTATTTATTGAAGAGACTGTCCTTTCTCTATTGTGTGTTTTTGGCCCCACTGTAGAAGATTAATTGACCATAAATGTGCAGATTTATTTCTGAGCTCTCCATTCTGTTCCATTAGTCCATATGTCTGTTTTTATGCCAGTACAAAGAGGTTTTAGATAATCTGAAAATATTTTCCAAATGTTCAACCAAAGATATGGGTTGTCTTTTCACTTTCTTGACAACATCCTTTGAAACACAAAAGTTAATTTTGATGAGGTCCAATTTTCCAATTTATGTTTTCTTCGACTTCTTATGCTTTAAGTGCCATAGGAAATAAACCACTGTCTAATTTAATGTAACAAGGATATATACATAAGTTATATTTTAAAAGTTTTATAGCTTTAGCTTTTTGCTTATGACATTTATTTTGTGTTAACTTTTGTATGTGATATCAGGTAGAGGTCCAATTTGTTTGCACGTTGATATACATTTGACCTGGCACCATTTGTTGAACAGACAATTCTGTCCTCATTGAATGGTCATGGCACCCCTGTTGAAAATAAATTGACCATTGATGTATGGGTTTATTTCTGGAATCAGAAACTTACTCTGTTGATCTATATGCCTATCATTTTGCCAATATCACACTGCGTGGACACTGTAGCTCTGAAGTAATATTATATGGCAGGAAGTATAAATATGCTTTGTTTCTTTTATTCTATATATTTTTTTCTGGATCTTTTGATATCCACATGAATTTTAGAATCAACTTGTCAATATGAGCAGAGAAGCTATCACCAATTTTGACAGAGATTGTGTTAAATGTGTAGTTAAATTTGGAGAAATCACCATCTTAACAACATTAAGTCTTGCAATTCATAAGCATTACTTGTCTATTTATTTAAGTATTTCATTTATTTCAAAAATATTTTGTATTTTACAGGTTATAGTTTGTGAAATTTATTTAACTTTACTCCTATGTATTTAATTTTTTATACTATTGTGAGTGGAATTGTTTTCTTAAATTCTTTATTAAACTTTTTATTGTTCATGTATAATATAGTTGATTTTTGTATATCTATCTTGTATCCTGTAACCTCTCTAAACTTATTTATTAGCTCTCATAGTTCTGTAGCTTCTTTTTCTTTTCCTTTTTGTTTTTTTTTTTTTTTGGCGGACACCAGTATTTTCTCTATATAAGTTTATGTCATTCATAAAAAGTGATAGTTTACTTCATCTGTTCCAATACAGGTGCATTTTAATTTTGTTTATTTTTATTTCCAAATTACCCTGGCTAGAACCTCCAGTACAATGTTAAACAGGAGTGGCAAGAATATTCATCATGTTTGCTTTCTGATCTTAGAGGGAAAGCTTTCAGTATTTTGCCATTATGTATGATCTTAGCTGAGGGGTATTTGTTGATGGTCTCTACCAAGTTGAAGAAGCTACCTTCTATTTCCACAGCGTTAGAAGTTATTTTGCATTTGAGAAGTTGTTCTATAGCTCTGTTTTTCCAAAGATTGTTTGCATCAAGTAGTATTCTTGTTTCTTAGGAATTTTAGGAGGAAGAGAGAGGAAATTAAGATTTAGTTTGCGGTGGCTCACGCCTGTAATCCCAGCACTTTGGGAAGCCGAGGTGGGCGGATCACGAGATCAGGAGATTGAGACCATCCTGGCTAACACGGTGAAACCCTGTTTCTACTAAAAATACAAACATTAGCCAGGCATGGTGGTGGGCGCCTGTAGTCCCAGCTATTCGGGAGGCTGAGGCAGGAGAATGGTGTGAACCCAAGAGGCAGAGCTTGCAGTGAGCTGAAATCGTGCCACTGCACTCCAGCCTGGGTGACAGAGTGAGACTCCGTCTCAAAAAAAAAAGATATAGTTTGCAACTATTTTTCTTAGCAGCGCCACACTGTCTTGAAACTATAGTTTTGAAGTAAATCTTGAAATCAGGAAGTGTGAGTACTCCAGCTTTGTTCTTTTTAGAAATGTTTTAAAAATTGGATTTTAAAGACTGTTTTTAAAGATCGTATAACCAGAATTATTATATTTAGAAATGTTACTAAAGCTGTTAATCTGTATAGCCTAAGTAAAAGTAATTTTTAAAGCAGCCTTGATAATAGATAATTCTTTGAATGGAGAAAATTTTAATATTTTGGTAAGAGGGTTAAGCAGTATGCTAAATGATTATCCAATTTTTTTTTGTCTTTTCTAAACTACTGAATTTAAATAGCATTTAAACTTCTGCTTCTATCTCATTTTCCAATGTATAACAATTTATCAGATATCAGAAATGATGTCAATTTAGTAGTTTATTAGTTTCCCAATGGCTGTGTGTTAACACTGTTTTAGAATTGTGTGTACATCATTGATTTAAAAAACAGAAAGAAAGGAAACAAGAAAATAAAAAGAAGGGAGGAAAGAAGTAAGGAAGGAAAAAATGAAGGAAAGAAGAAAGGAGAAAGGAAGGAAGAAAAAAGGAAGGGAGAGAGAAGAGACAAAGAGGATGAGACAGAGGAAAGAAGGAAAGGATGAAATAAGAAAGAGAGAGAGAAAGAAAGAAAAAAGAGAAAAGAAAGGCAAGAGGAAAAGGGGAAGGAAGTAAAGAAAGAAGGGAGGAGGGAAGGAAGGAAGGAGGGAAGGAAGGAAAGAAGGAAGGAAAGAAGGAAGGAATGAAGAAAGGAAGGAAGGAAGGAGGAAAGGAAGGAAGGAAGGAGGGAAGGAAGGAAAGAAGGAAGGAAAGAAAGAAGGAAGGAATGAAGAAAGGAAGGAAGGAAGGGAGGGAGGGGAATTTTGAGGAAACCTATCCAAATTTATTACACTTTACAATTTTTTTTTATGAACACACATTTTCTGTTTTCATACTGAGTTATTTAAATTAATTGACAGTTGTGTTGTAATTCTTAATATAGAATGGTAGTTTAAAAACATATTTGAGAAAATCCTTATGTTTTCTTTAGAATTATAAATTTCTGTTCCATTTTATTTTCATTTTGATATTTTACACTATTGGTATATTTTGAAAGCTATACTTTTTTCACTTTGGAGAACTTATGCAAAGATTTTAAACGTATACAGTAGATGGGCAACATTAATAGAACACTAAATGAAATATTTTAAATTGGGAATGTTAGCAAATAATAAATTCTAATAATTGAGAACTCTAAAATTTAGTGCATTTTGTATTCTTTATGACACCAGTAATAATCTTTTTTAATAAATTATTTTTTAAATTTCTGTAAATAGGGTAAAACTACTTACTTCCATGATAGTTTTTCAATATAATATCAAATTTATATTGACTATGTAAGCATTCAAAACTGAATGTTTTGAAATATGATTTGTCTGATTTTAAAATACAATCTCAACATTTTATTGACTATGCAAGTATTTTTTAACTTTAATATTTTGAAATATGACTTGTCTGGATGCTGCTTTTGCACCATAATTTTTTTTAAAAAATCATATTATTACACAAATTTGGAATAAATAGATTAAATAAAGTTAAACATTTTTTGTTTCATGATTTCTGTGCTAATTTATATATTTATAAGAAAGGTGAATTGCCAAGAAAATATATATGGTTCTTTTAGATGTCTTTGATCACAGAAATTTTTTCCTCACCTTTCAAAAAAGTCATATGAAATATACAATTTGGAAAAAAGTTTATGTCAGGCTATATAGCACTTAACCATATAGAAAATACTTGTTTTGAGAAAGAACGTTTTACTAGTTTGGGAAAAAAATTGATTAAAATAGACATTAAAAGAGGGTTTGTTCACCATGTGGCCAACTGCGAACATATTTAAATTGACTTCTGAGACCTCTTGCTTCATAAGGTAACTGGCAATGTAATGCATTACAGTAACTTGTTTTAAAACTATTTTAAAACATTTCACTAGAAACTGTAAAAAATGGAGGCAAACATTGATTTGTGACATTTGATTACTCTTAGTTACCAATACCTTTTTTTAATTAAAAATGCTGATGAATTTAATAAGAACATAGCTTTCTGTTAATGATATAATTAGTTCCCAGATTCTTGTCATTCAGGGAAAGCAGTAGGGACCACTAGTAAGAACAAATTTTATGACCTTGAACAGAAAGAATTTCAGTAATGTACAAAATAACTGGGTTTATTAGTCTGTTTTCGTGTTGCTGTTAAAGACATACTCAAGACTGGGAAATTTACAAAAGAAAGAGATTTAATGGACTCACAGTTCCACGTGGTTGGGTAGCCCTTACAATCATGGTGGAAGGTGAAAGGCACGTATCCTGTGGTGGCAGACAAGAGAAGAGACCTTGTGCAGGGAAACTCCCTTTTATAAAACTATCAGATACCATGAGACTTATTCACTATCAGAATATCAAGGGAAAGATCTGCCCCCAAGATGCAATTACGTCCCATTAGTTTCCCTCCCATGACACATGGGAATTATGGGAGCTACCATTCAAGATGAGATTTGGGTGAGGACACAGCCAAACCATATCACTGGGCTAATACATTTCCTGTCTGATTGACTTTAGGTACATTATACTAAATAATATGATCCTAAATTGCAGATTCTAGATTTCTATCAGTTGCTTTTTGAAGCAATAATATTGACTTTTGGACAAAATAACTTGTTTTTCTGATTGAACAGATCAGGTTGAAGATTGTCTGAGAATAATGGAATCCTAAATAATTTTAAGTCTTGTTAAAGGAAATATTATTCTGGTGTTGTGACATATGATAACAGATTTATCAGGCTTTTTAAGAGTTTGTCTTTCACAGATGCTAAGTTATAGAATACCTTTCGCTGATACTATTGTTTATATTTTAGGTTTGACACACACAAATGCACATGTATAGATCCATCCACACACATATGCACAATGTAAAATGTACACACGTTTCAAATATATACATCATTAAAAATGTATTTTGTGTTTCAACTTATTTTTTACTTTATGAAGTTAAATGGAGATTTTATTCTTCCTGACATGCAGTCTCTTGAAATTTATCTCTCAGACTTTCTCTGAACTCCTTAAGACATGATATCAAGAAAAGTACATAATACGTTGAGTTTATTGTGAAATGTATAAAACGAGGAGATGGAATCACCCTTGTCATTCAGAAGACACACCTTTTTATGCAGCCAAATGACACATTAATTTTTCTGACAGTCTCTAATAACATGAATAAATTATATATTGATATTTTAATCAACCTAAATCTTAATGTAGTTAGTTTATTCATGTGTTAGTTGTTTAGTTTTCTAAGTTTTAAAGCATATTTCCCAGTTTCCAAAAATAAAGTTGTGAAGGAATTCTTAAAAATTTTGATACTACCAATATAAGCACAAATTTTCTTGATGTTATATTTAAGGGGGACTTGGTTAAAAATTCTAAAATGTTTTTCCCGTTGAGATTGGATACGAAAAAAAAAAAGACCTAGAATATGAAATGAACCAGAATTTCTGTTGACATTTTGTAAGTGCATAAAAAATAATAGTTGGGGCCGGGCGCGGTGGCTCACGCCTGTAATCCCAGCACTTTGGGAGGCCGAGGCGGGCGGATCACGAGGTCAGGAGATCGAGACCATCCTGGCTAACACGGTGAAACCCCGTCTCTACTAAAAATACAAAAAATTAGCCGGGCGTGGTGGTGGGCGCCTGTAATCCCAGCTACTCGGGAGGCTGAGGCAGGAGAATGGCATGAACCCAAGAGGCGGAGCTTGCAGTGAGCCGGGATAGCGCCACTGCAGTCCAGCTTGGGCGAAAGAGTGAGACTCCGTCTCAAAAAAAAAAAAAAAAAAAACAATAAAAAATAATAGTTGGATCTTGCATGACATTAAATAGCTTATCAACCTATCAAAAGAAAGTAACTGATGGGTGAGAATAGACTGTGTTATACGAAAAAAGGAGTGGAACCTTAGGCATTGGTCTGTAAATACGAGAAATTATAGAGACATGATAAAACCTTTCAGATACATTAAATTAAATCATATAAAGGGAAGACTAGACTTCAAAGACACAGGGGTCAAAATGAAGAACAATACACAAAAACTACATGATTATTTCAAAGTACTACACACAAAAATTTGGCTACAAAGATTTTCAAAAGGAGAAGAATATTTTATTTTATTTTATTTTAGAGTTGAAGTTCTGCTCTGTTGCCTGGGCTGGAGTTCAGTGGTACAATCATAGCTCACAGCAGTCTCGGAATCCTGGGCTCAAGAAATCCTCATGCTTCAGCCTCCCTGAGTTGCTGAAATTACAAGCTTGAGACATTGCACACGACTTATGAGAAAAATCCTTTTAAAAAAACTATGAAGTTGTTTATGCAGTAAAAATATGGAATGTTGCAGAAGGATTCAAGTGCTGGTTTGTAGAGTAGATTTTACAGCATCAGAGCTCACGAAATCTCGGCAAACTTTTGATTCAACAAGACAGCACCACAGACATGAGAGATATTTCAGTAGAAACCAGATATTTGCATTTAATTTTTTTCCAATTCCATAAACTTGGGAGATTCAACAGATGGAATCCTAACAATTATATTTCTATATTAAAAATAAACTAAACATAAAATCTACTACTGAAAAACTCCTGCTTCTTACAATAAAACGATATACAATCATCCAACCCATAATAACATTTCAGTCAAGGATATACTGAATATAAGATTACAATGAAGCTAAATATATTCCATCACCTAGTGTCATTGTAGCTGTCATAATGTCCTAGTGCAATGCATTACTCACACATTTGTAGTGATACTCGTGTAAACAAACCCACTCACTGTTAGTTGTATAGAAGTGTAGTACATACAATATATACACTACATAGTACTGATAATAATAACAAATGGCTATGGTACAGGTTTATGTACATATTGAACTACACTTTTTGTCATTATCTTAGAGTGTACTCCTTCTACTTACAAAAAAAAAAATACAACTGTAAAACAGACTCAGGTAGGTTCTTCAGGAGGTATTCTCAAAGGAGTCATTATTATCACGGGACATGACAGCTCTATGTGTCTTATTGCCCCTGAATACCTTCCAGTGGGACAAGATACCTTCCAGTGGTAATACTGATTATCTTGACCCTCTGTAAGCCTAGCCTAATGTGAGTGTTTGTGTCTTCACTTTTAACAAAAAGTTTAAAAAATAAAAAAATTAAAATTAATAGTAGAAAAAAGCTTATAGAATAAAGGTATAAAGAAAGAAAACATTTTTGTACAGCTATAAAATGTGTTTGTGTTTTAAGCCAAAAGTTATTACAAGAGCCCAACAATTTTTAAAAATTAAAGAGCGTATAAAGTAAAAATCTTGCAGTAAACTAAGGTTAATTTACTGTTGAAGAAAGAACATTTTTATATAAATGTAGTGTAGCCTAAGTGTACAGTGTTTATGAAGCCTAATGTCCTAGGCCTTCATATTCACTCACCACTTACTTACTCACTGACTCACCCAGAGCAAGTTCTAGTTCCACAAGCTCTATTAATTGGTAAGTGTCTTATGTATGTGTACTATTTTTTATCTTTTATTCTATGTTTCTACTATACCTTTTCTATAGTAAAAATATAGAAGATACACAAATACTTACCATTGTGTTCTATTTGGCCACAGCATCAGTACAGTAACATTCTGTGTAGGTATGTAGCCTAAGAGCCATAGGCTAGACCGTATAGCATACGTGTGTAGCAGGCTATAGCATCTAGGATTCTGTAAGTGCCCTCTCCGATGTTCACATAACAACAAAATTACCTAACAACACATTTCTCAGAGGCTATCTTCATTGTTAGGTAATGTATGACTATACTGTTTCCCAATTTGTTTTTTACTATTTTAGTTATTAACATTTCAACAAAACTACAACCTCAACTACATTAATTTATTTTACTTAAATTGCCTTTTATAATCATGTTAATAGTCTCCATAATAAAATAAAATAAAATGTATTCATTTTCTTTTCTTACATTATCTGAAATTACATTAAAATAAAATTTTAAGCACCTCCCATATACTCCAATATTGATCTATGATATGGTCCCTAGGGTCAGATAGATCGAATTTGAATTAATTTTACTATTTACTAGTCTTGGGTTCACAGAGAAAATGTTATTCTATCAAAATCTTCAGTCTTTTCAACCTTAAAACAGATATATTAATAACTACATCAGAATGGTGTCGCATGGATTAAATGAGACTATGCATGAATGATGAATATTATAGAGTAAGAACCTTTGTGCACAATTAGGTGGTAAAGTTGACCATGCAGTCAGACTTATAGCTGAGAGAGTGAAGTAAACACTGAGAAGACTCATAATTAAATTCAATCAAAATGTTAATTCATAGTGTGGTTTTTTTTTTTTGCTATTGTTCCACTATTTGACTCATACTAATAATTGATAATCAACACATACTTTTATTCTTAGTTATTTTTAATTGGGTTTAGTGGTGTGTTATCAAGTACATACATTTCTTTATAGTAAAAAGAATAACAGATCAAATTTTAATCAGGTATTTCTGAAATAATGAATACCATTTTATTGCATAGTGCTTTAATTTAGTGAATGCCTTGCTAAAAAGATTCCCAGCGAGTATCTTGCCCCATTTTTGAAGGAAAATATCACAATGTATTCCTTTTATTTAATTACACATTGTCAAACTATGTGATCTCAGGATAGGTATTATATAATATGACGAAGTGTTTCAAAGTAGATTTCATTGATACTGTAAGAAAAAATAAGAAATTTTCTTTTGGAGAATGAAACTTTTTCCTAGAAATCATTGGTGGCATGTGTGACTTTAATGTATTATTATAACAGTATTTTGTGTACGTTGATTGACTCTAAAATTATTCATTCATTCATCTGCAAGAATATAGTTTAATCAAAACAATTGCTAATTCCTCAGACATTTCTAGGCTTTATATTAATAAGTGAGTCTTCAGTTACAGCTTCTAATTCAAATTAAAAACTCTTGCCTCGGGTTTAGAAGAAAAACTATATGGAATAGCAAAATAAAGGTAGTTGAATTACTTCTAAATATTTATTTTATGTGGCAGGAATTTTTTTATAATAACTAGCATTAAGAATACTGAGGTGCCTCGTTAGCGCAGTAGGTAGCGCGTCAGTGTCATAATCTGAAGAATACTAATGAGGAAAACAAACCAAAGACAGAGAACATATTTAGTCAGAAACGAAGGCATATAATTTTTAGATTCTGGAAGGAAATCAATAATACACATCAAATGAAAAATATCTAGTGGAATACAAATGTCTTGCCATTTACAAATTTTCCCATATTGTCTTTTATACAAAGCAGAAGTAAATATTGTAAACATATCAGAATTACAGTTTAGTTCATCATGTGCATAGTTTAGAAGGTTTAAACACTGACTTATAAAACAGTTGCCCACCATTTCACTTCTCTGCTTACTCAATCCGGGATGCCCCTTTCCTTTCATAATTTTCATTTACATACAAAGCTAGTATCTGCCACTAGGTTGAAAATAGCTACAGAACAGTGTTTAGTGTTTAGATATTTAAGTACTTTTAATTCTGTTCGCAAAGTTTACTAATGATTGCAAAAATCTAAAATTAAGTTGATAATACAAAGACATTAGTTCAAGTTGTGGAAGGTTAAGGTAACTTTTGTTAATGGCTACCTAATATACTATGAGTTAGATTTGGTTGATAATAGAAATAATAATGAATAAAATTCTCAGGAGATTTTAAGGGTTAGAAAATATTTTAATGTACTCAATTTTATTTCATCAAATTGAAAGACAGAATGAAAGATAGAATTCATTAACATTAAAACGAATAAATGATATACATGAAATTATCTATTTATTAAGTCTACATGTCACCTAATAGTTTGCTGCTGTTGTTGTTTTTTAAAAAATAGGTGATGGTGATGAGAGCAGCTGTTGGTAGACCTTAGAGATCAATGAGTAAACCAATGTCATATCAGGGCAGTGGTGGGCTATATTGTAGCTTTTGCCCACTGTTCTTGAGTGTCCCAGTCGTGGCCAGGAGGTTGTGGAGAGCAGGTAGCTGGGCAGGCAACTAGGTGCCATTATTGATGGTAATTGTCATGTCCCAGGGCATATGGGAAGTACAGGCATCCAGGCGTGTACCTGGCTATGAAGTGTAAACACTTGGTCTAGTTGTCCCTTAATTGCAAAAAAAATGCAGAGATTGAATAGTTGTCACAATAAGTGGGTGTCTTTCTCTGTGGAGTCATAGTTAATCATCTAATGAGAGCAGCATTAAAGAGTTATCACATGAATATTTTCTAAAACTCAGCTAATTATTTAAGAATGCTTACACTGATATAATAAAAGGCTTATACTTCATAAGACTTTATATATTTGACTATATCTGGTTATTTTGTGATAAAATTTATTTTAGTTAAATAATGAAAGTAGATGTCTGAATTTTGATGTTTATATTATTTTATTTTGTTTGACAAGTTTTCTTGTATACACACAAATTTAGCCACGTATAGGCTCCTGATTCATTTTTCTATTACTTGTTTAAAGGGGAGCTACTCTCAGAGTATAGCAAGCTATGTGTGTGTGTGTGTGTGTATATGTGTGTGTGTATGTGTGTGTGTATATATACACACACAATTACATGAATAAGAAGATGTATATGTATATGTGTGTGTATATATATACACACACACAATTACATGAATAGGAATATGGAAATAGTGGAAGAAAAAAATTTGTGATTTTTCTGTTATTCTTACTGTATACCAGCCATGAGGTAAAGTGTAGATTCATTTACACATCATGTCAAGTACAAACAAGTTTCAATATTCTCCCTTTTAATATAAATTTTTTAAACAGTAAAACAAGCAATTACAAGTAGGAATGAAAGAACAGCAATCCCTTAATGTTAGTTGCCAAAAAGAACGAAAAATTAGGTGAAGGAGAGTAGATAAATTGCACTTCTCCAGATAAACAAAGTTTGCAAAGATCCATCTAAGAAGAAATACAGTGCTTCCCTGATTGGTTACATTTGCTCCTAAGATCTCGCTTAGTTTTTCTATTTATCAAAGAAAGCTGAAAGGAATGTCAGTAAAATTTACCTTTTAGTGACAATTGGAAAATGGTGGCTGATTTTTTTGTCAATTAAATATTTTGTCGACTTTGATCTACTTTCTGTTACTATACAGATAAGTACTTTCACTATTTTGTATACATAGTGCTGCCAGGCAGATTCTAGTGACAATATTATTATTTATTCAGTGAAAAAAAAGTGAGCTACAATGAGAAAAATAAAGTCCAGGGAAAAAACAATATTGGCCTAAATAGGAAAAGTCAATTATGAATCTACCTTTGAGATTGCAAGTTCCCATTTCTATTATCATGAGATAACATACTAAAATTTTAAATAGGGTAAATGAAGTATATTTTCCTTTGGTATAACCGTGTAAAATTTTTAAAAAGCAATAAAAATTTTAAGAAATACTAAATGAATATAAAACTAAATGAAATTTAGCCCTTGTACCCTTTTTTTTTCTGTCTCTGTATTATAATGCTATTTCCAAAGAAGGTCTATGTGACAAGGTTCCCCTTCATTACATGGATGGAACTTCCATATATGAGCTTTATCAGAAAGAGAACAGTAGTTTGGCATTGAGTACTACCTGCATTGCAGTCACATGCAACTCAGAGATGTTAAAATTGTCCCTGTTTTGCTGATACAAGTGAGATATGACTGATTAAAATTTTTAATTTTAATGTTTAGTTTTACTTTTAAAAATTCCTATGGGTACATAGTAGGTGTATATATTGATGGGATACATGAGATGTTTTGATACAGGCATGCAATATGAAATAAGTACATCATGGAGAATGGGGTATTCATTTCCTCAAGCATTTATTCTTTGAGTCACAAACAATCCAATTACACTTTTAAAGTTATTTTTAAATGTACAATTACTATTGACTATAGTTATTCTATTATGCTATAGAATAGTAGGCATTATTCATTCTTTCTAACTAAGTACAGGAGTTAACACAGCTAGGACCACATAGACTTTAAAACCAGATCTATTTTAAAGTAGAATTTTAAGCAGTGTATCACAGGAATGCTCTATTGGGTGTCAGAGAGGAAATGTGTAATTCATGGAAGTTTAATTTCCAACACAGTATTTGTTTGCTTCCAGTAACACTTTTACTGTATTTTCATAGCTTGATATCTTTTCTTTCCTACCCCCTATATGAGCTGCTGTAGAAATAATGTAAACACAATTTAGCATTGATCATTTCCTGACTTAAACTAAATTATTTAGATTTTTTCTTTATTGATTTCCAACATCTCAAAGTCAACTGGCATTTAATTCATATACATCTGACACCTACCTTTATCAAATGTTAGCCAATAGGTTCTCCTAGCTCAGCAGACCTTTAATTCCAGTTATATTAATCTACTTATTTGTCCTCAACCTCTTCTTTACTCTTCATATATCCCTTTATTCATTCCACCTTTCCTTTACCCTGTAGCACATTTACTTAGCCATATATATTTATTAAAATTCTTCTAAAACTCAAAGGCAAATTGAATCCCACAGCCTCAAAGAAAACCTTCTAGATTCTCATAAGAAATGGTTTTTACCACTGAATCATTCTGAAGAGTAAGAATAAACTCTCATTTATCTGTGTCCATTTATTTATTCCCTACACCTCCTCGCCCCAAAAGGAAGAGTGGCAAACAAACTTTACAGTTTTCTTTTCTTTTTTTAACTTTTACTTTAGGTTCAGTGGTACATGTGCAGGTTTTTTAGATGGGTAGATTGTGTGTCACAGGTGTTCAGTGTACAGGTTATTTATTTTCCCAGGTAATAAGCATAGTACCTGATAGGTATTTTTTTGATCCTCTCCCTCCTCTCACCCTCCACCCTCCAAGTGCACATGTGTCAACGTGTACTCAATATTTAACTCCCAATTATAAGTGAGAACATGTAGTATTTGGTTTTCTGTTTCTGCACTATTTTGCTTGGGATAATGGCCTTCAAGTCTACCCATGTGGCTGCAAAGAACAAGATCTTGTTCTTTTTTGTGGCTACATAATATTCCATGGTGTATATATACTACTTTTTTTTTTTTAATCCAGCCTACCATTGATGGGTATTTAGGTTGACTCCATGTCTTTACTATTGTGGATAGTGCTGTGATGAACATATGCATGCAAGTGTCTTTATGGTAGAATGATTTATATTCCTTTGGATATATAGCCAAAAAATGGGATTAATATGTGGAATAGCAAATCTGTTTTAAGTTTTTTGAGGAATCACCACACTGCGTTGCACAAAGACTGGACTATGACAGTTATTACTCAACTATTTGACATGTTGAATCTGGTAAATATATCATGGTTTTGAAGCTCAATTTAAAGTTCTTATTCATATATTAATATAAAGTTCTTATTAAAAGACATCTAGTGCATTGCTATATGGAAAATATGCAATATGATATATGTGGTAAATATGCTATATTTATTCTATTTCCATAAATACTTTATTTCAAAATGAAAAACTTCATTTCAATAATGAAAACGACAATTTAAACTGTTTCCTAGCTATGCAAAAAGTTGGCACAACCAATTAGTTTAACAAAAGCATAACTTTGAAACTATTTTATCCAAAGTAATAATTGCCTTCAGTGCTGGTTTCCAAGCTGTGCTCCTGGTAGTCCTTGGAATTCTGTGAAGCTCTTTTAAAGGCCACCATAGCCCTATTCTCTTTCTACTTGGTCAAACTACTCTTATCTGAATTTTTAAAATAATGTGTCATAGTAAGATTGTCATTTGAAATTATGATTTTTTTTTGTAAAACCTAAATCAAATATCTTATTTGAAATGTATTGGTTAAAGTCAACCATGAGAGTATTAATAGTCCATTACTTCATATCTTTGCCTCTCTTTACACCAATATATTAAGTTTTATAAAGCTGACTAAAATTGTTTCTAGAAATCATCTTTGGATAAATATAAATAATGCAAGAGACCAGAGGTTTATATCAAAACTTTTAAAATGTTTTTTGTTGTTGTTACATATGTAATTCACAATAGGATAGTTTTAGGGCAGTAAGTATTTCTATGCTATAACTCTTTGTTTAGGACCCTTAGAAAATATGAACATTTGTTTCTTATGAAAAAAAAGATGAGCATAATATCTTAAATTCCTGTATTCATAAAATAGCTCTTTTTAAAAATAACATTTATAAAATCTATGCTGTTAATATGACTAGAATATATAATGGGATTATTTTATCATGGAGTTATAAATATTAACAAACATGATATACGATTAAACATGGTTGTTAAAGTTTTTTGTTTACTTTTATTCATTAAGTTTAATCAATAATAATAGTTTATATTAACCTGATTTTTCAAATGAAAACGCTAACTTCTAACATATTTTGCTATCGACTAACAAATACGAATGATGATTAAAGTCCACTGATTCAGAA
This sequence comes from Homo sapiens, assembly GCF_000001405.40. Lineage (NCBI taxonomy): Eukaryota > Metazoa > Chordata > Mammalia > Primates > Hominidae > Homo > Homo sapiens. The sequence continues at coordinate 190,637,868 of NC_000001.11, read as the reverse complement.
GTGAACTATAGTTTACACTTTAGTCATATGAATTGATATGTTACATGAAACTGTTTTCTAGTAAATCTATTTTCAAGCAGGTTGCTAGTTAAATTTTTAAGAGAGGTTTGATATAAAAGGGTAAGAAAGAAACAACTGACTGGCTTAGTAGATATCAACATGAAAAAATACTGCTAGATAAAAACATATTTAGCAAAGATTTGAAAAATGTATGAGGTAGAAGTTGATATTCAGACCAGACTGAATTTTAGTAAAACAATTATTTGTTTTGAAAAAAAACACAGATCAGAAATCTGGATTTCATAATGTACTGGCACTTAGACCAGAATTTTATTAACACTACAAAACAAGTTTATCTTCAGGAAGATTTCACGCTTTCTTCTTGAAAAGAGAACTACACATCCACAGAAAGGAGAACTAATGATTTGGAGAGAAATAAGGTATTTAGTGGAGAATATTTAAGTTATTAAGCTTGTAAGACTTTCACTATGCCTGTAGATGACAGGACAAGAAAGAAACCCAAAATGGAATCAGATTTCTTCCTTTATAATCACTTAACATATAATTTAGATTAAGTCATTTTAAGTAAAGAACAAATACTATTCTGAAATAAACAAAGAAGCAAGGTCAAATTTGATCATATGAATTGATAAGACAATGGATGAAGTTTTGCCATTAAGAATCCTGGTAAGACCTTTTTATGTATAGAAATGCCACAGGTAAACTAAAGGTTTGAATACAGGAAAGTGTTATACTGGTCAATTGACTCAAATCTGTGTTAAAAATTATTAAGAAGCCTATCCGTGCTTCCAACTCATATTGACAAGCCTTACTCTTGATGTAAAGAAAATTAATTCTTATATACCCGAGTAGTTATACTAGTAATTTTTAAGCAAAATTATTTGACTGAATGATAATTGGCTACAAATAAAAAGACATAGTTCAATTAAATCAATTTTGACTTAATAAAAATAAGGTACACTATATACTTGACATATGGAGTTTGTGATAAATTATGGGTCAAGACATTAATTTAATATGTTCTATTCTTTACCTCTGAGGCAAATATCACATATAGTAGCATTTAAAAAAAATGGACATACTGCATAATATATTAATATTAGATGTATTTTAAATATCAAATTAATACTTTAATATGTATAATCAAAATAGTTTGTTTAATTATTTTCATGAGTAAGGCAAAGGTAAACCATTAGATTTTATTTTAAATATCAAATTAATACTTTCATATGTATAATAAAAATAGTTTGTTTCATTATTTTCATGAGTAAGGCAAAGGTAAACCATTAGATCTTTGTATCATAAGATTATAACTTGTAATAAAATAATTAAGGTCATTGAAGATGTTTTAGAATTTCATAGTTATTTACTTTCAAATAATTATTATGTGAGTAGGTTGTGCAAATGATAATACAGTTCTAGTAGAATATTAAAATGACTATTGTCTATGGTAATTATTATGGAGTGTGATTAAGTTGAGTTTGAAGTGGTATTGTTTGCAAATATATGGTTTATGATATAACCAATAGAAAGATACATTAATTAGAATTACTAAGAGCAGTTTCATATTTATTATAAATTTCAAATAAAATATTGAGAAAAAAGTTTACTTTTCTGTTCTGATTATTTTATAGTTAGTAAAAGGGATCTGCAAAACTAGTGGATTTCTTTCAAACATGAAATGTCTAACAAAGACATTTTAAAATATTTGTATTAAACCATAAAAATAAAATACTTTTAGATCTTCTGACATATGCCTTGCCATGCATCTGTGTATAAGAACATTTTCTCCTCTTGTTAAACACATGTAAAACAAATATTTAAAAGTAAAATAAATGAAAATCATTTGTATAATTTCTAATTTATGACTGTGTATGCAAAGGAAATTATTCTAATTCCTGTCTCAGAAAATTACAAATGATGGACTAGAAAATAAAGCAGACCATTTACACTGGCAGAGAAACAGAATGTGTCTTCTAACTATATATCAGCAAGTATTTTTATTTCAGATACTGAAAGAATATGATAGAGACGGAGGGGAGGGAGAAAGGTGGCCAAATAGAGGCATCCACCAATTGTCTTCCCCATAGGAACATCAAATTTGACAGCTATCTACACAAAATAGCACCTTCATAAGAACCAAAAATCAGGTGAGCAATCAGAATACCTGGTTTTAACTTCACACTGCTGGACATGGCACTGAAGAGGGTAGGAAAAACAGTCTTGAAGCACTTACATCACAACTTCCTCATCCTCTAGCAGTGGCCCAGTAGCATGCAGACAGAATCTGTGCACTTAGGCGACAAAGAGTTCAGCAATTGCGGGAACTCAGTGCTATTATCATGGGGCAAAATTTGGAGGGAGCCCACAGAGGGAGCATTTATGCCAGCTCTAACCAGAGAGGATCAACCTATCCAAGAAACTGGAACGTAAGTTTTGGCAAACCTCGTTGCCATGAGCTACAGTGCTCTGGGATTCTAAATAAGCTTGAAAGGCTGTCTAGGCCACAAGGACTGCAATTCCTAGACAAGTCATAGTGTCATACTGGGCGTGGAGCCGGTGAACTTGTGGGGCATGTGACCCAGTGAGATGTGAGCAGTGACAGTTTAAAAAGGGCTTGCACCACTACTCCCCCAACCCTGGCAAATCAGAACACAGCTCTGAAATACAGCCCTTCCTTCTGCTTGAGGAGAGGAGAAGGTAGAGTAAAGAGGACTTTGTTTTGCAACTTGGATATTACTTCAGCCACAGTAGTATAGGGCACTGGGAAGAGTTGTTAGGACCCCATTTCATGTTCTAGCTCCCAAATGATGTTTCTAGATACATTCTGAGCCAGAAGGGACATAACTGCCTTGAAAGGAAGGACTCAGTCTTGGTGGGATTTATCACCTGACTGAAGAGTTCTTGGGTCTTGAATAATCAGCAGTTGTAATTAGTTAGTACAAACCATGGGTCTTGGGTGAGACTCGGAGGTGTGTAGGCTTCAAGTGTGACCCAGCATATTCACAGCTGTGGTGGCTGTTAGGAAAGACCCCTCCTTCTTGAGAAAATAAGAGGGAAGAATAAAGGGAACTTTGTCTTACAGTTTAGGTGCCAGCTTGGCCACAGTGAGAAATAATACTAAGTGGGCTCTTGGGGCCTCCAATTCCAGGCCTTGGCTCTTGGACAGCATTTCTGAACCTACTCTGGGCCAGAGACTAGCCTACTGCCCCAAAGAGTGAATGTGTCACTGGGTCACATGCCCCACAAGTTTACTGGCTCCAAGCCCAATACGGCACTAGAACTTGCCTAGGAGTTGCAGTCCTTGTGGCCTAGAGAGCCTTTCAAGTTTATTTAGAACCCCAGAGCACTGTAGCTCATGGAAATGAGGTTTGCTAAAACTTAAGTTCCAACCACTGGGATAGGTGAGTCCTCGCTGGTTAGGGCTGGCATAAATGCTTCCTCTGTGAACACAGGTTGAGTTCTGCCCAGTGATAGCAGGCCTAGCAACATTCACCACAACCTGACTGAAGAGACCTTGGGCCCTAAGCAAACATCAGCAGTACCTTGGCAGTAGTCCACATGGGCCTGAAGTGGTGATAGACACAAGCGGAGACTTCACTGCCTGAGGAAATGGGAGAGAAGAGTTGGAAGAACTTTGTCTTGTGATTTTGATGTCAGCTTAGCTGCAGTGAAATAACACATCATGTGTTTTTTTTGGGTATCTGACTTCAGGTACTGGCTCTCAGAGAGCATCTCTGGATTTGCCCAGGACCCCAAGTCCATGGCACTTTCTGCCATGAGGGAAGGACATAAAGACTTCTGAATAGCTTTTGCTACCAGCTGATCATACAGCCCTAGGGTCTTCAGCAAACACAGCTAGTAGCCAAACGGTGGTTACAACGGGCTTTGGGCGAGACTCAGTGCTTTACTGACCTCAGGTCTGACCCAGCACAGTCCTAGTGGTGGTGGTCACAGGGGTAATTTTGTCACCCCACACCCAGCTCCAGGCAGGTTGGCACACACAGAGAGAGTTTCCATTTAGGGGGAGAAAGTAAGGAAATAGAACAAGAGCCTCTGCCTGGTTATCCAGAGAATTCTGCCAGATTGTATCCAAGACCACCAAGGTAGTACCTCTACAAGTCTGCAAGAACTACATTAATGGGCTTGAGGTGCCCTCTACTGTAGATACAGCTGCAGTGACCAAAAACTTAGATCACAACACCCAAGTCCCTTCAAATACCTGCAAAGCCTTCCTAAGAAGGAAGGGTACAAACAAGCCAAGACTGTGAAGACTACAGTAAATGCCTAACTCTTCAATACCCAGCCACCAGCAAAAATCCACAACCATGAACACCATCCAGAAAAAGATAATCTTACCAAATGAATTAAATAAGGCACAACGGACCAATCCCGGAAAGCAGAGATATGTTACCTTTCAGATAGATAATTCAAATAGCTGTTTTGAGGAAATGCAAAGAAATTCAAGAAAACACAGAGGAGGAATTGAGAATTTTATCTGATAAATTTAACAAAGGGATTTAAATAATTAGAAAGAGTCAAGTGGAAATTCTGGAGTCGAGAAATGTGATGAACATACAGGGTCTCTTAATAGGAGAATTGATCAAGCAGGAGGAAGAATTAGTCAATTTAAAGACAATCTCTATGAACATACACAATCAAAGGAGACAAAAAAAAAAAAAAAAGAACAAGAAACAATGAAGTACACCTACAGGATTTAAAAACGTAGCCTTAAAAGGGCAAATGTAGTAGTTATTGACCTTAAAGTGGAGGTAGAGAAAGAAACGGTGGTAGAAAGATTAGTCAAAGGAATAATAACATAAAACTTCCCAAAACTAGAGAAAAATATCAATATTGAAGTAAGAGAAGATTATAGAACACCAAGCAGATTTAACCCAAAGAAGACTATGTCAAGGCATTTAATAATCAAACTCCCAAAAATCAAAGATAAAGAAAGGATCCTAAAAGCAACAAAAGGAAACAAAACAAAACAAAACAAATAATATAGAATGGAGCTCCAGTACTTCTGGCAGGAAACTTTTCAGTGGAAACTTTACAGACCAGAAGAGAGTGACATGACACATTTAAAGTGCTGAAGGAAAAAATAATCCATTTACCTTACAATAGAATATCTGGCAAAAAAAATTCTTCAAACATGAAGGAGAAATGAAGACTTTCACAGACAAACAAAAGCTGAGGGATTTCATAAACACCAGGCCTGTCCTACAAAACAATGCTAAAGGGAGTTCTTCAGTCTGAAAGACAAGATGGAGCAATAAGAAATTATTTAAAGGTATAAAAGTCATGGGTAATAGTAAGTGCAGATAAAAATACAGAAAATTATAATACAGTAATTGTGGTGTTTAAATCACTCATATCTTGAGTAGGAAGATGAAAGATAAACCAATCAAAAACATTAACTATTAATACAACAACTTTTTAAGACAGCACAGTAAGACATAAAAAGAAACAACAAAATGCTAAAATGCGGGGAGATGAGTTTAAAATATGGAGTTTTTATTTGCTTTCATTTTGCTTGTTTGTTTATTTATGCAATCAGTGTTGACTTGTCATCAGTTTGAATAATGGGTTATAAAATAGTATTTGCAAGCCTCATGGTGACCTCAAATAAAGAAAAAAACATACAACGGATACAAAAAATAATATAAATAAATTAAAACATAACACCTGAAAAAAAATTACCTTTACTAAAAGAAAGACAGGAAGGAAGAAAATAAGGGAGAGAAAGAAGACCAGAAAACAACCAGAAAGCAAAGAAGAAAATAAAAGGAGTAAGTCCTTACTTATCCAAAGTAACATTGAATTTAAATGGATTGAATCCTCCAATCAAAAGACATAGAGTGGGTGGCAAAATGAACCACAACAACGAAAAAAGAACCATTTATCTGTTGCCTCAAGAAACACACTTCACCTGTAAGGACACACAGACTGAAAATAATGGGATGGAAAAAAAGATATTCTATGCAATTAGAAACCAAAAAGGAGCAGGAATAGCTATGCTTATAATGAACAATATAGATTTCAAGATAAAAACTATCAAGGCTATTATATAATGATAAAGGGATCAATACAACAAGATGATATAACAATTGTAAATGTATGTGCAACCAACACTTGGAACACCTAGGCATACAAAGCAAATATCATTAGAGCTAAAGAGAGAGAAAGACCCAAATACAATAATATCTGGAGACTTCAACATCCCGCTTTCAGTATCGGACAGATCATCTGGACAGAAAATCATCAGACTTAACGTGCACTGTAGGCCAAATGGACTTAGTAGATATTTACAGAATATTTCATCAAATGGCTACAGAATAAACATTCTTCTCCTCATCACATGGCTAATTTTCAATGATAGGTGATATGTTCAACCATAAAGCAAGTCTTAAAATATTCAAAAATATTGAAATAACATCAAGTATTTTCTTTGACCACAATGGAATAAAACTAGAAATTAACAACAAGAAAAATTTTGGAAACTATAAAACACAAGAAAATTAAATGATATAAACCTAAATGACCAGTGGGTCAATGAACAGATTAAGAATAACATTTTTTTAAATGTTGAAAAAATATTATAATGAAAACACCATGTACCAAAATACATGGGATACCACAAAAGCAGTAGAAAGAGGGAAGTTTATAAGTGCCCACATCAAAAAAAAAAAAAAAAAAAGAAAAAAGAAAAAACCTAATAGCCAACCTAACGTTCATCTGAAAGAACCAGAAAAGCAAGAGCAAACGAAATGCCAAGCTAGTTGAAGAAAAGAAATAATAAAGAACAAAGTGGACATAAATAACATTGAAACAAAGAAAAATACAAAAGGTCGACTAATTGAAAACTCTTTTTTTAAGAAGAAAATAAATGAGAGAGAGAGAGAGAGAGAAGACCCAAATAAATAACATAAGAGATGAAAACAGAGACATTAGTGCTGTTAGTGCAAAATTTCAAGTGATCATTAGAGGCTACACTATATGCCAATAAATTGGCATACCGTTGCTCATATTAGTCTCTAAAGAGGAAATGGATAAATTCCTCGACACATACAAGTGAACTGTGAAGAAATTCAAACCTGAACAAACCAATGACAAGTAATGAGATCAAATCCATAATAAAATGACTCTAGCAAATAAAAGTCAAGGACCCAGTGGTTTCACTGCTGAATTTTATCAAATATTTAAATAACATATGCCAATCCTACACAAACTATTCCAAAAAACAGAGGCAGAAGGAATACTTTCAAACCCATTCTATGAGGCCAGTATTACCCTGATATCAAAACTAGACAAAGACACATAAAACAAAAAACTACAGGCCAATATCTCTGTTGAACATTTATGCAAAAATCCTTAACAAAATACTAGCAAAGAAAATTCAAAAATATATTAAAAGATTCTTCATCATGACCAAGTTGGAATTATCCCAAGGATGCAAGGATGGTTCAACATAGGCGTATCAATCAGTGTGATATACTATATCAACAGAATAAAGGACAGAAAACAATATGATCATTTTAATTGATGTTGAAAAATTATTTGATAAAATTCAACACCCTGTCATGATAAAAACTCTAGAACTTAAAGTATAATAAGAATATATATTTAAAAAAACTGTAAAAAAACCTGGGTAAAGAATGAACATACATCAGCATAATAAAAGCCATACCTGACAGACCCAAAGCTAGTATCATACTGAATGAGGAAAAACTGAAAGGCTTTCTTCTAAGATTTGAAACATGACAACGATGTCCACTTTTATCACTGTTATTCAACATAGCATTGAAAGTTCTAGACAGAGCAATCACATAAAAGAAAGAGATAAAGGGCATCCCAATTGAAAAGGAAAAATCAAAGTATCCTTGTTTTCAGATTACATGATTTTATACTTGGAAAAACCTAAATAATCCACGAAAAAACTATTAGAACTGATAAGCAAATTCAGTAAGGTTGAAGGATACAAAATTAACATATAAAGTCAGTAGCATTTCTACATGCCAACAGAAAATAATCTGAGAAGGAAATCAAGAAAGTAATAGCATTTATAATATCTGAAAATACAATTAAATACCTAGAGATTAACTTAATCAAACAACTTAAAGATTCCTACAGTGAAAACTGAAACATTGGTGAGAGAAGTTAAAGTGAACACACACACAAAAAAATGGAGAGGTATTCTATGTTCATGGATTGAAAGAATCAATATTGTTAAAAATGTCCATACCACCCAAGCAATCTACAGATTCACTTTAATCCCTATCAGAATACCAATGACATTCTTCAATAAAGTAGAAATAACATTGTAAAATTTATGTGGAAGCATAAAAGACCCAGAATAACCAAAGTTATACTGGGCAAAAGCAACAGAACTGGAGAAATCACATTATCTTACTTCAAATTACACTACGGAGCTATAGTAACCAATACAGCATGGTACTGGCATAAAAACAGACACATAGAGCAATGCAACAGGAAACAATACCCAGAAACAAATCCATACATCTACAGTGAACTCATTTTAGACAATGGTGTCAGGAATATACAATGGGAAAACGACGATGTCTTCAATAAATGCCCCTGGAAAAAAATTGATATATATATGCAGAAGAATGAAACTAAATTCCTGTTTCTCACCATATCCAAAAGTCTAATTAAAATAGTTTAAAGACTTAATCTAAGATCTCAAACTATGAATGTGAAATAAAACATTGAGTAAATTCTTCATTACATTGGAGTGGGCAAGGACTTCTTGAGTAATATCCCACATGCGCAGGCAGCCAAAGCAAAAATGGACAAATTGAATCACATCAAGTTAAAAAAGCTTCTACACAGCAAAGGATACAGTCAACGAAGTGAAGAGACAACCCACAGAATGGGAGTATTTCCAAACTACCCATATGACAAGAGATTAATAACCAGAAGAGACAACCCACAGAATGGGAGTATTTCCAAACTACCCATATGACAAGAGATTAATAACCAGAATATATGAAGAACTCAAACAACTCTATTAGAAAAAAATCTAATAATCTGATTTTTAAACTGGGCAAAATATCTGAATAGACACTTCTCAAATGACATACAAATGACAAACAGGTATATGAAAAGGTGCTTATCATCGTTTATCATCAGAGAAACGCCAATCAAAACTACCATGAGATAGCATCTCACTCCAGTTAAAATGGCTTTTATCCAAGAAAACAGACAGTAACAAATGCTGGTAACACTCTTCACAATAGCTAAAATTTAGAAGTGACCTAAGTTTCCATCAACAGATGAATGGATAAAGAAAATGTGATAAATATACGAAATGGAGTACTACTCACCATAAAAAAGAATGAAATCCTGTCATTTGCAACAACATGGATGGAATGGAAGTCATTATGTTAGGTAAAATAAAGCAGACACAGAAACACAAACTATGCATGTTCTCATTTATTTGAGGGACCTAAAAAGAAAACAATTGAACTCAGACAACGAGAGGAATATGGTGGTTTACAATGGCTGGGAAGTGTAGTATGGGGTCAGGGGATGTGGACATGGGTAAGGGGTACTAAAAAAAACGAAAGAATGAATAAGATCTACTATTTGATAGCACAATAAAGTGAACATAGTCAATAATACTATCATATACTTTTAAGTAACTAAGAGTACAATAAGATTGTTAGTAATATAAAGAATAATTGCTTGAGGTATTGGGTACCCTGTTTACCCTAATATGATTATTACACATTGTATGCCTGTATCAAAATATCCCATGTACCCTATAAAAATATATACCTACTATGTACCAACAAAAATTAAAAGTAAAATTAAAAATATATATAATAGAAATTCTAGAACAACATATAAAAATCTATGTGCATTATAAAGCTGATATATCAAATTACTAAAGTAGAGATAGTCTTCTTAATAAATGATATTGGGATAAGTGCATAAATGTCTGGAAAAAGATGCAATATGATTCATCCCACATGTCACAAAAAAATGAAGGAGTAAACTCCAAATGTGTTTATCAGAGATCTTAAAAGAAAAATAAGTTTATAGAAATACTAAAAATAATTATTGGCTAATTCTTCTACAATCTGGGAAAAGACCTTCTAACTATGATGGTAAATTCAGATGTAATAAAATAAACTATTGATATATTTGATTATATAAATATAAAAGAAAACTTTTGCAAAACAAAAACAGCACAAGTGATTTCAAAGCAAATGACAAACTACGAGAAAATATTTGTGACTTTTTGCACAGGTAAGGGCTAATATCCATAATATTAAAAGAATTTTTAAACATCAAAGGGTAAAAAGAATAAATATGTGGCAATATCAACAAAAGTTACAAACAATTCTAACAAATAATATAAGACTGACTCAAACATATAAAAAGACTTTCAACTTTATTAATAAGATAAATGCAAATTAACACTGCCTAGAGTACTATTTCCTACTCATTAGATTGGCAAAAGTGAAAATCTCGACAATCCACTGTTTAGTGAAGTCGAAGGAAAAGAAATAATCTCATTTAAAGTTTGTGGAAATGCAAAATAGTATAACTCCTGTGGAAGGCAATTTAATATTACTTAACATATCTGCATAGGTAATGTATTAGTCTGCTGGGACACCATAACAAAATATCGCAGAGTGGATAGCTTAATCAACAAAAAATTCTTCTATTACTGTTCTGTACAAGTCCAAGATGCAGGTGTCAGCGATTTAGTTTTTCTGAGTCCTCTCTTTTTTGGCTAGAAGGTGGGCATCTTCTCACTGTGTCCCAAGTGGTCATTTCTCTCTGTGTGTATACTTTTTGTGTCACTCTGTGCTCTACTCTAAGGGCCCCATGTTAACTTTATCACCTCTTCAAAAGCCCTAATATAGTCATATTCTGAGGTACTTGGGGTTGTGCTCCAGCATATAAACTTTGGGGAGTCACAATTTAGCCCATAAGAGGTAGACAGCTACTTTTCATCCCAACTATGCCACTTCCAATAATTTACCCTGAAAAACATCTTTAATAATGAAAATTAGATATGGACAAGATAGTCACTGAAGCATCATTTACAAGTAATCACAAAATATGTGAAACTATCTAAATGTCCAGGTATAGAAGATCACTAGAATCTATTGTAGTGTATTAAGTGTGGAGTTCAGCCTGGCTATGAAAAAGAAGAAAGAAGATCTCCGTGAATGATTTGGAGTGAGTTTTAGGAGATATTGTTAAGTCCAAAACGCAAAGGACATGCACAGTGTACTAAATATTATGTCAGAAAATGGGGGAAATATACAGTTATGTATGAAGATAAACATCCACACATATACACACACACTTACATAAATATACACACACGTGCATACACCCATCCATACATACCTTTATGACCATTACAAAAGGAAACAGAGGAAGGAAAAACCAGAAAACAATGAAGTCGAATACCTACAAAGGTTGAAAATAAGGGTGAACGATATATGAGAAAGAGTAACAATTTTTTGGGGTTAAACTTTTCCAGTGTTTTGACTTTTAAATTATGTCATATGTATTTTTAAAGGAAAATTAAATCAACTAGAATGAGAAGGGAAAAAATAAGCTGGAACAAAGCACTGTAATTATATTTCAAAAAAATAGCTACATTGAAAAAAGTAAGAGACAGAACGAAAAAAAAGAAAAAGGAAAGAAGAAAAAGTACTTTATGAATAAAATATTTAACTATATGCCTTCAGTCTTAGGTAATCAGGAGATGACAAATCTCTAATTTGTGTGTGTGTGTGTGTGTGTGTGTGTGTGTGTGTGTGTGTGTGTGTATATATTTGTATTCATATGAATGAAACAGCTCTGAAAACATTTCAGATGTCTTATCAAATTGATCTAACAAGTAAATGTGTTGATTTTGTCTAAAGTTGGGTTTTCACTGAGAAAGAAGAGATATATACACATGAAATAGAGAAAGGCAACAAGAACTCCATGGGGATAGACTGAAATTGGTGGGATAGGCGTGAACTCATGATTCTAAAATATTCATATATATGTGTACATGCATTTATAGTTATTTATGAGTCTCTATGCACATATGTATGTATGTTTATGTACATATATATAAAAGTATATGCACACATTTTCTTCCACTATCTGGTAAAAAGCCTAGATGCTAAGACACTCCAGTAACAATGGGAACATATGCTCAGGTCTTATTTTCTAATCTCTTTTTATTTTTTCTTTTTTTGAGAGGAAGTCTTACTCTTGTTACCCAGACTAGTGTGCAATGGTGCAATCTCGGCTCACTGAAACCTCTGCTCCCGTGTTCAAGCAATTCTCCTGCTTAAGCGTCTTGAGTGGCTGGGACTACAGGCATGTGGCACCACACCAGCCTAATTTCTATATTTTTAGTAGCGACGGGGTTTCACCATGTTGGCCAGGATGGCCTTGAAGTCCTGACCTCAGGCGATCGCCCGCCTCGGCCTCCCAAAGTGCTGGGATTACAGGTATGAGCCACTGTGCCCAGCCTTAGTATCATTTTTTAAAAAGAAACCAGGGCTCCACAAAGAATGGTAGATTCCAGTCAGAGTAGAGTAGAGACAAAATAAACTTGAAATATGTCCAAAAGTAAGAAAATACTAAAAGAAATGATATTACCTGTCATAAGGATAATAGCTAGTCCTAAAGTACAGATATGGGACAATTTGAGCATGAAAATAAAGACAGCAATCAATTGTAAACATTTGAGTAAAAAAGAATTCTTAAATCTTCAGCAATCCTAAATACATACATGCATAAATGAGACAGGAATACTATTTCTTACCTTGAAATGCTGAGTACTTCTTGATAAATGCAGATTAAGTGATGTCGTTTAAATATTAGGTTGGTACAAACGTAATTGCAGGTTTTGATATTAATAATCCTTTTTGCAAATTAAAGACTGGTGAAAGAGAGAAGTATAGTCACCAACGGTTGAAAACTTGAGGAGGGAAGTTCTGAGCAAAAAAAAAAAGAGAGAGAGGGAGATATTTGCATGAACTTAAAGTGTGTTTCCACAGACTACAAGGAAAAGAACAGTAACTACAAAAGAAAAACAAGCAACTGAAATTAATATCACTGATGAGCAACAGACAGACATCACATGCCTCATGAAGTGATGTTCTGAAAATCACACAACATATCTTTTATAGTATTCTGGCTGAAAATATATAAACTTGTTTAAATCATGAGATTGTATCAAACAAAATCAAATTGAAGATTTGTTTTTATTATTAAATAAGGGGGGGGTGGATTGGGAGAACTATAATTGAAAATGTCATTGTCGATAAAATGGCCTTGGAAATACTTCAGGTTAAAATACACTAGAGATACATGACAACTTAATGTCATATGTAATCTAGACTGGACATTGCACTGGAGGAGAGAAAAAGCTATTAATGGACAAGCTAACAAAATTAGAATGTAATGGCAGATTACAGTACTATACTGAGAGTAAACATACTGAAGTTGATAACTATTCTGTAATTATGCAGCTGAATGTGTTTATTCTTAGGAAATACATATGAAAATATTTAGAGAAACATGTTACCTGTGACTCATTCTCAAAGGTTCATTTTGGATAAAGAGAAATAAGAGACACATACTAGGATAGAAAAGAAGAGTGAGAGAGCATAAATGTTAACTTAGCAACTGGTCCAAATGTTAACATTGGGTAAATCTGAGTTAAGAGGACACAGGGGCTCTTTGCATTATTTATTTTTGCTATTTTTTTGTATATTAAACATTATTTTCAAATAACCTTTTAAAATATGCTTTAGGTCAGGCGTGGTGGCTCACGTCTGTAATCCCGGCACTTTGGGAGGCCGAGGCAGGCGGATCACTTGAGGCCAGAAGTTTGAGACCAGCCTGGCCAACATGGTGAAAACCCATCTCTACTAAAAGTACAAAATTAACCAAGCATGGTGGCAGGTGCCTGAAATCCCAGCTATTAAGGAGGCTGAGGCAAGAGAATCACTTGCACCTGGGAGGCAGAGGTTGCAGTGAGCTGAGATTGCACCGTTGAACTTCAGCCTGGGAGACAGAGTGAGATTCGGTCTAAAAAAAAAAATAAAAAAAAAAAGAGCAAAAAAGCTTTCTTAGACACATAGGATTATGAGGAAATACGCTCTTCTCTGTGATCCTAAAAGAGAAAATAGATCCAGAGCCACATTTTAATTCATTTATACTATTCAAGAATTTTAAAAATAAGGATTTTGGATCCCTCCTGACCTTATATTCAATCAATTTCCTACTTGATTCTCTATGTTGTTAATTAATTCAGATACCTTATCTGAATTTTGCTGTGTTTTAATTACACCTCAAGTCTTTCTAAGAGAAAATAAAACCAGGATTCTCTTTTTCTCTCATTCATTCAATAATTCTGTATATGTGACGATTGTGTGCCTCTAATGATGTTATATTAAGAATTTACTTTCTGTTCAATTATATCTTTAAAAAGCTGAAATTCCTTTTTTAGATTTTTTACAAATGGTAAAGGATGTCACTTGTCTAACATAGGATGTGTCATAGACTCTATTATTTTATTTTATTTTATTTTATTTTGAGACAGAGTTTTTTTTTTATTTTTTATTATGCCTTAAGTTTTAGGGTACATGTGCACAACGTGCAGGTTAGTTACATATGTATACATGTGCCATGTTGGTGGGCTGCACCCAGCAACTTGTCATTTAACATTAGGTATATCTCCAAATGCTATCCCTCCCACCTCCCTCACCCCCCACAACAAGGAGAACACATGGACACAGGAAGGGGAACATCACACACTGGGGCCTGTTGAGACAGAGTTTCACTCTTGTAACCCAGGCTGGAGTGCAGTGGCACGATCTCAGCTCACTGACACCTCCGCCTAATGGGCTCAAGTGATTCTCCTGCCTCAGCCTCCCAAGTAGCTGGGATTACAGGCGCCTGCCACCACACCGGGCTATTTTCATGTATTTTTAGTAGAGACGAGTTTTCACCATGTTGTCCAGGCTGGTCTCGAACTCATGGCCTCATGTGATCTGTCCACCTTGGCCTCCCAAAGTGCTGGGATTGCAAGTGTTAGCCACCGCGCCCGGCCCATAGACTCTATTATTTTTGTATATTTTCTATTGTACAATTTTGTCATTACAATTGTCTGATTTTATAAAATTGAAATTTAAGTTTTATGAGAATTTGCGAAAATATGGGATTATAAGAACAAACAGAATTTCAATTAAACAGAATATTGTGAAAACCAGTGTCTTAATTTTTCATCAAATAAATGACATTAGTATTGCTAATATATTGAATTTTACTTTATGCATTCAAAATTATAAATTATGTTTATTTTTATTTTGAAAGATGATCTCTAGATCAGTTTTATAAAAATTTGAATTACACTGATCTGAATTTTTTGTATGCTCTTGAGATAATTCTTTAGTAGAAGTGATCACTAAATTGGCCTTGAAATAATTAATGGAGTTTAATTTTCCTTAGCACTTTATTCTAGTTATGAAAGTCTGATTAAGTGTTTAAGAATAAAATAAATCAAGTGGATAGTTGAGTCTTTTATAATTCCTATGAATTGTCCACCTGGGGACCGTCAGCTCTATAATAAATAGTTTCTCCCAATTTTTAAAACATAAAATTATTACCATCCAGGAAATGCCAATGCAATAAAAATAAAATTTAAATTATTTTAACGTTTTAAATGTCCTTTCAATTAAAACTCTAGAATTAATAGTTGGCAAAATCATAGGCATTGAAAATTGCAGTATATAACAGTAGCAATTAAAGTAGTATTTAATGCACTAGTGACTGAGGTTTTACACAAAAGCCTTGTGAAGGTATATTGCTTTTATACACACACACACACACACACACAAAATAAACTTGTGAAAATATTTTCATCTTTGTTATGGACTGAATGATTGTGTTTTCTTCAAATTCATATGTTGAACCCCTAACCCCCAGTGTGATGGTGTTTGGAGATGGGGGCTTTAGGAGGTGGTTAGAGTTAGATGAGGTCATGGGGGTGGGACCCGCATAATGGGACTGGTGGTTTACTAAGTGGAAGAGATCTCTCTTTCTCTTTCTCTCTCTCTCCCCTGCCCCCTCTACCCCAAGACCTTCCCTTGCTCAGGGCACCTAGTGAGAAAAGGAAATGTGAGGACATAGCAAGAAGTTGGACATCTGCAAGCCAGGAAGAGCCTTTACCAGGCGCTGAATCCGGTGGCACATTGACTAGACTTCCAGCCTCCAAAATTGTGAGAAATAAATCTCTGCTGTTTAAGTCACCCAGTCTATGGTATTTTGTGATGGCAGCCCTAGCTAAGACAATCTTACAAAAAAAGTCGTGAAAATATTTTGCCTTAAGTTAAAATAGCAATTTAATGTAATATTTTGATCCTCTTTATTAAATGTGATCCATAAACAATTTCTTAAAAAGATATTTTAGTGAGAATGTAGCTATATATGTAATACATATATTACATATATACAGCTAAGTATATATACTGCAATAAATGCTAACCAAGGAAATTGATTCACATGGTGATTAATTCTAAGAGGAATATGAGAGGTGATAGTTAACTAGAGAATGGTTCTAAGAAGAGGACGATTTTTTGTTTTGTATTGTTTTGTTTTGTTTTGTTTGTTTTTTGTGACAAGTTCTCACTGTGTCACCTAGGCTGGAGTGAACAAGGCTTACTGCAGCCTCGACCTCAAGTTCAAGAGATTCTCCAACCTCAGCCTCCTGAATAACTGGAGCCACAGGCACGGATCACCATGCCTGGCTAAATTTGTTTTTTTTTAAATTTTTGATAGACACTGGATTTCATCATTAAATTGCACCATGGTTTCACCATGTTGCAGTGCTGATCTCCATTTGCTGGTATCAAGGAATCCTCCTCCCTCAGCCTCCCAAAATGTTGGGATTACAGGCATGAGCCACTGAGCCCAGCCAACAGTTATCTTGAAGGTTGCTCAGGAAAGGACTCTATTAATCAACAGTCATATTTAAACACAAACTTCACTGATGAAAAGTAGGAAGCCATATGACCACCTGGGGAAAAGGTTTTACAGTACACGGGAGAACACCAAGTGCAAAAGCCCTGAAGAGTTTCTACTACCTATATTTCCAGAGATTTTCAAGTATTTTAATACTGTATTGGCGTTTACTGTTTTATTGAGAAATGCAAATAACACTTCTTAAGCAATGCTAGGCTTAAATTCAATTACCTCACCTAGACCTCACATCTGTGTGAGGTAATGACATTTTTATTCTCATTAAAGATGAGTCTTTAGCTACTGTGCCAGTATCACAGAGATAGCAAGCACTAGACCAGCAACAGGATCCCAGCTGTGCCCTGCCCCAAGGCTCACCTCACGGCCTCCTCTCTCTGTTGCACACTGCCCTCCACACATTACCTACTGAGAAATTTTATAGACAACTTTTACATTTTAGGTAAATAAACGTGTTCATTTCATTCTTTGAATTTTAGTAAGTGCTTTGACATAATTTAAGATATTCTAGAGCATTGAGAAAATATAAAGGTCTTCCTAACAATCACAATCTTATCAGGCATATGCGTTACATGTTATGCATTAAGTTAAAATAGTTCAATAAATGGTTTTGATGAAGGTGGCTCTAAACATTACATTGGTATTTTAGACCTGAAATTATTTTCAAAATAACATGACTTTTGTGTTTTGATGAAAATATGATAAATGTCCAATTGAAGAATTCTTCTTCCTTCAGTTAAATACATTTAAAAAAAATTACATACATGATCTTTGATTCTCACAAAAATCCTTTGAGATCGACAGGGTAAACATTCAAGCCAAGTTTATGAACTGACAGTGGCCTTTCATGCTTCCTTTTAACCACCCAAGAATGTAAGAATGTAAATGCAGTTGCAGAAGAATGACTGTAAGAATCCTACACACTTGTAACATTCCAGATTTAGCTTTTGTATAAACCCTTATCTATTTCAGTTATAAAGAAAACTTCTTTCTTCTTTAAGGTTCAGAAGAGAAGTGGACTACAGGGTAGATCCTTTCCAACTTCTCAGATTTAAAAAAGAAGATAAGGTAGATAATTTGTTTTCATCCTCTTTATAAAGAAGCAGCATCTGAGCATCAAATACATGCAGTATTTTCCCTGGTGAAGCTTATCTCTATTTAACTTATTCAAGTTCTGCATTTTCTACTTGATACTCTGAGAGGCGTCTCTGTGAGTTTCTAAGCTTTCAGTATATTTTAAAGGAGCTCATGTTCCAATGAATATATTAATTCTATCTAGATATTTAATGTATAAAGTTGGCCTAAAGGTTCTTATCTGTTAAATGTTGGTTAGAAAAAAATATAACGCATTTGTGATAAATAAATCTATTTTAAACTACAAAGTACTTAATTTTCTAAGTGTGCATTGATTTTTATGACACATCCTTTTTTGTAATCAGTTTATTTCATCTTTAAAAATTTTGCCAGACATTTGAAGGTATGAAAAGAAAGTGTGTTTTATTGACTACAATTTAATCATGCTTATCCTATGAACATAAGATTTAGAAAACATTTTTATCAATACCAAGTAAGACACTTCACCAAGTAAAAAACCTCCCCAAGGCTTGATATATTAAAAAAAAAAGTTTCTTCTAATGAATGTACGGGTTAGCAGGGCTCAGTTAGGACAGGCCTGACCCGGGGGACATATGGGCTATGCAGACTTGTGTCTTCTACTGTATCTTCTAGATTAATGGGCAGCTGGGGCAGCTCTGCTTCACATGCCTGTCTTAATCCTTAGATCATCAGGCTGCACAGGCTGTGTTTTTTTCATGGAAAGCTGAAACACCTAAGAGTTGATGCCTCCTCTCACTTTGCCCTTATGCCATCGCCGAAGCAAGCCATATGACCAAGCCTTACGTCAGAGCGGCGGTGAAAACACATCCATTATGAGGCCATAGCAAAGACACAGATGTAAGGACAGGTGAGCAGTCAGGGCCAGTCATTCAATCTACAAGAAAAATGTTTGATTACGCATATATATATTCCTAACAAAAACATTAAAACAGAATAATAAAGTTTAATTCATCAGGAAATGTAAGTTCAACAGATATAATTAGACTCTATTAACCATTTGTGCTACAGAATATTTATGATTTGATATTTCTGAAATAGATAAAAATCTAATATAATGGTATTTTGTTTATTATTAGGTTGGTACAAAAGTAATTGCGGTTTTTCTGTTGGAATTTGCCATTTGATATTGGAATACGTTCTTAAATAAATGTGATTATGTTATACATCATTTTAATGTGCATTTCTTGCTTCATGGTTTTTTTGCTAATGACTTATTACTGTTACTTGCTGTTTACTTCATGTTTATTTTAGACTAAGGAAATAATGTTAGACAAAAAGCAAATTTGAGTGATTTTCTTATTCGAGTTTAAAATGGGTTGTAAAGCAGCAGAGACACCTCACAACATCAACATCACATTTGGCCCAAGAACTGCTAAGGAACCTACAGTGAAGAGGTGCATCAGGAAGTTTTGCAAAGGAGACAAGAGCCTTGAAGATGAGGAACGTAGTGGCTGGCAATTGGAAGTTGACAAGGACCAACTGACGCTGATCCTCTTACAACTACACGAAGTTGCCTAAGAAATAAATGTAGGCCATTCTACGGTCATTTGGCATTTGAAGCAAATTGGAAAGGTAAAAAAGCTTGATAAATGGATGCCTCGTGAGCTGAGTAAAAAAAAAAAAAAAAAAAAAAAAAAAAAGAAAAGAAAAATTGTCATTTTGTAGTGTTATCTTCTCTTATTCTATGCAAAAATGAACTATTGCTCGATCGAATTGTGACGCATGACAAAAAGTGGACTTTATATGACAACCAGCAATGACCAGGTTAATAGTTGGACTGAGAAGAAGCTGCAAAGCACCTCCCAAAGACAAACTTGCACTAAAAAAAAAGGTCATGGTCACTGTTTGGTGGTCTGTTGCCGATCTGGTCCACTACAGCTTTCTGAATCCTGGTGAAACCATCTGAGAAGTACACTCAGCAAATTGATGATTTGCACCACAAACTGCAAGGCCGGGTCAACGGAAAGGGCCTAAGTCTTCTCCACAACAACGCCTGACTGCACGTTGCACAACCAGTGCTTCAAAAGTTGAATGAATTGAGCTAAGAAGTTTCGCCTTATCTGCCATATTCACCTGACTGTTCGCCAACCAACTACCACTTTTTCAAACATCTCAACTTTTTGCATGGAAAACACTTCCACAACCAGCAAGATGCAGAAAATGCTTTCCAAAGGTTCGTTGAAACCCAAAGCATGAATTTTACGCTACAGGATTAAACAAATTTATTTCTCACTGGCAAAAAATATGTTGATTATAATGTTTCCTATTTTGATTAATAAAGATTTGCCTCAGCCTAGTGATAATGATGTAAAATTCAGGAACCAAATCTGCAATTACTTTTGCACCAACCTAAATATTTCTCGACAAATAAATACTAAATAAAAATTACATGCCATACACTCTTCCTGTTTTTAAGATTAACAGCTTTTTAAAACACAAACTATATACTAAGTACTGGGTAAACATTTTTTTCCGAAACTAAATTGATATACTTTTTCTGTGTCCCCACCCAAATCTCATCTTGAATCCCACATGTGGTGAGAGGGACCTGGTGAGAGGTAATTGAATCATGGACGCAAGTCTTTCCTGTGCTGTTATTGTGATAGTGAATAAGTCTCATGAGATCTGATGGTTCTGTAAAGAGGAGTTTCCTTGCACAAGCTCTCTCTTTTTTTTTTTTTTTTTGCCTGCCACCTTCCATGTAAGATGTGACTTAATCCTGCTTGCCTTCTGACATGATTATGAGGCTTCCCCAGCCATGTGGAAGTGTAAGTCCAATTAAACCTCTTTATTTTATAAATTACCAAGTCTTGGGTATGCCTTTATAAGCATCCTGAAAACAAAGGTCCAGGCTGAGGTAGTCTCGGATGGAAATGAGGAACTTGTTGGGAACTGGAGCAAAGATGGCTCTTACTATGTTTTAGCAAAGAGACTGGCAGCATTTTGCCCCTGCCCTAGAGAATTGTGGAACTTTGAACTTGGGACAGATGATTTAGGGTATCTGGAGGAAGAAATTTCTAAGCAACAAGGCATTCAAGAGGTGACTTGAGAGCTGTTAAAGGCATTCAGTTTTATAAGGGAAGAAGAGCATGAAAGTTCAGAATATTTGCAGCCTGACAATGTGGTAGAGGAAAAAAAAAAAAAAAAACATTTTCTGAGAAGAAATTGAAGCCAGCTGCAGAAATTTGCATAAGTAAGAAGGAGCCAAATGTTACTTCACATGACAATGGGGAAAATGGGCATGTCAGAAGTCTTCATGGCAGCCCCTCCCATCACAGGTCCAGAAGCCTAGGAGAAAATGGTTTTATTAACCAAGCCCAGGGTCCCTGTGCTGTGTGCATTCTAAGAACTTGGTGCTCTGTGTCCCAGCCACTCCAGCTGTGACTAAAAGTGACAATGGTACAGTTCAGGCTGTTGCTTCAGATGGTGGAAGTCCAAAGCCTTGGCAGCTTCCACGTGTTGTTGAGCCTGCAGGTGCACAGAAGTCAAGAATTGAGGTTTGGGACCATCTGCCTAGATTTCAGAAGACGTATGGAAATGCCTAGATGCCAAGGCAAAAGTTTGTTGCAGGGGTGGGGCCCTCATGGAGAATCTCTGCTAGGGCAGTGCAGAAGGGAAATGTGGAGCTGGAGCCCCCACACAGAGTCGCAACTGGGACACCACCTAGTGGCACTGTGAGAAGAGCGCCATTGCCCTCTAGACCCCAGAATTGTAGATGCACTGACAGCTTGCACCATGCACCTGGAAACGCTGCAGACACTAAAGGGCAGCGTGTGAAGGCAGTCAGGAGGGAGGCTGTACCCCGCAAAGCCACAGAAGCAGAGCTGCCTAAGACCATGGGAACCTACCTCTTGTATCAGAATGACATGGATGTGCGATGTGGAGTCGATGGGGATCATTTCGGAACTGTAAGATTCGACTGCCCTGCTGGATTTCGGACTTGCATGGGGCCTACATTCCCTTTGTTTTGGTCAATTTCTCCAGTTTGGAATGGCTCTATTTACCCAATGTCTGTACCCTCATTGTATTTCGGAAGTAACTAGCTTGGTTTTGGTTTTACAGGCTCATAGGCAAAAGAGACTTGCCTTTGTCTCAGATAAGACTTTGGACTGTGGACTTTTGAGTTAATGCTGAAATGAGTTAAGACTTTTGGGGGACTTCTGGGAAGGCATGATTGGTTTTAAAATGTTAAGGACATGGGATTTGGGAGGGGCCAGGGATGGAATGATATGGTTTCTCTGTGTCCCCACCCTAATATCATCTTGAATTCCCACATGTTGTAGGAGGGACCCAGTGGGAAGTAATTGAATCATGCGGGCAGGTTTTTCCCATGCTGTTATCATAATAGTGAATAAGTCTCATGAGATCTGATGGTTTTATAAGAAGTTTCCCTGAAAAAGCTCTCTTTTTTGGCCCTGGCACCTTCCACATAAGATGTGACTTGCTCCTCCTTGCCTTCTACCATGATTGTGAGGCCTCCCCAGCCACATGGAACTTTAAGTCTAATTAAGCCTCTTTCTTTGTAAATTGGCACGTCTTGGGTATGTCTTTATCAGCAGCATGAAAACAGACCAATATATAAATTAATCTTCACAAAAATATTATGTGTATGTTTGATTAATCCCATTTTAAGGAGGAGAAAACTGTGACAGACAGTTTAAGTCCAGGGTCAAAGATTTGATTTAAACTTATACACTCCACATTCATGGAGCATACATTCTTGTAAATATTAATTTGTGTGTAAATATGGTCTGATTTTTTAAGTACTTCTAAAATAATGCCAAATATAAACATTGATTTAACATAACAATGTGTTTAGAAAATTCAAAAATATGTATTTTCAAAAAGCAAGAACGACTACTCCTAAAAGTTCTAGAACAGTTTAATTTCCAAATCAAAAATCAGGCCAGGAGCAGTGACTCACACCTGTATTCCTAGTGCTTTGGGAGGCTGAGACAGGAGGACCACTTGAGGCCAAGAGTTCAAGATCAGCCTGAGCAACATAGTGATACTTCATCTCTACAAATAATTCCTAAACTTAGCCAAGTGTGGTGGCATGGGCTTGTAGTCCTATCTACTTTAGAAGCTAAGGCGGGAGGACCACTTGAGCCCAGGAGTTTGAGGCTGTGGTGAACTATAATGGGGACACTGCACTCCAGCCTACATGAGAGTGAGACTCTGTGAAAAAAAAAATAAGAAGAAGAATTAATTTGGTCTTCCCTTAGAAATTCATGTAATATATTTTTTATTGAGTTCAGCCTCTATTAAAATAAAACAGATATAGCATAGAAACTTTATAGTACATAGTTAATATGTGTAGGGTAACTTGACTCATTCTAATTGCATAAGTTCACAGCAATATTAATGCATATTACTGCCAATAATATATTGGTTTAATGTTGACAAAAGCACACTTTATATTCTATATCTAGACAAATTTGCTAATGAATTCAACAATGTAATTCTATAATTTATCATAAGGAAAGAAAAAAATAAACATAAGCCATAAAGTACTCTGTTGCATTTTGACACCCTTAGGGAACACAGCCATTCTAAAATCATATTCAGAATTTTTGCAGAAGTAAAGAAAAAGTAGGGAAATATTGCTTTCAAATGTTCTGTGTATGTATTCACACAGGAGCATTTTAATTCAAATCATAGCTGAACCAGTGGTGTGGGTAGGCTAATGGACATGTCTAAACTATCATCACATTAACTTGAACAATTTCCTGTGACAAGCATTTTTAACACTCAATAGTATATGGAGCTAATTTCAGTTCGACATTCTATTTTGAATTTAGAAGTTCCCATATTCTCAAATCTGTCACAAAATTCTTAACTCTCCTAGAGTATACTCCAAAGCTGCAAGAAAAGTTCTGCTTCAAATTTATCTCTGCTAACAAATCCTATTCTTATCCCTGACATGAGTGCTTTGGCAACTTCTTCAAATGGACCTGTACCTTCTATTTACAGAATGGCATGTCAATGCCTAGATTTTCTACAGAGACTCTAGTTTGAGGTGCTAGTAGAACATGCTGATTTTTCTAGGACCGCGAAATCTTTGGGAATCCAGAGCACCAGTGAGAATTAGAAAATAAAAATATTCAGACCAGGCGGTAATTCATTGCATCCCTATGGATCCATCCCAATGGCCTCTGAGGATTGAATCTTAGATTTTCTTAATGCATATGAGCAAATCCAATCCACTGCCCCATCATTACACCATTAATTCTCAAGATGTACACCCACAAGTGACATTCTCAATTGTGTTTATTGAGTTTAATCTGTAGAAGAGAAACAGAGGCTTACCAGAAAACAGTTTAAAATGCATATCTTGATTTGCCTTTCTATATAAAGGGAATTTTTTAATAGGAATGTAAATCTCAGCTAAAAACATTTTTCTTTACAATATTATGTCTTCATTACTGATACAGTAAGTACTGTTTTTCAAAATATGACGTATCTAGGTGAATTTCCAAATATCAATGCCATGCAAAAATACTAAAAAACTGATATCTCAAATTTTTTATTTTTATTTATTTTTTAATTGACAAATATTATATGTATTCATGGTGAACAACATGATGTTTTGGTACATGGATATTGTGAAATGGCTAAATTAAGTTGCTTGACATATAAATTACCTTACATACTTATCATTTTTTCATGGTGAGAACACTTCAAATCTACCCACTTAGCAATTTTTAAAGTGTACAATGTATTGTTATTAGCTGTGGTCATCATGATGCACAGTAGATACCTTGAACTTATTACTCCTGCCCAACTGAAATTGTGTGTTCATTGACCAACATCTCCCCAATGCCCCCACCTCACTCTTGAATCTTCTTGAATATCTTCCAGTCCTAAGAGTATATGCTTTGCTTTGAATGTGTACCAGACACTTTTAATTTTTCAAAGTCTATTTCTATTATATCACTTCTGGCTGCAGCATTTCAAGCAATTTAAGCTTTGGCAGAAAGAAAACAAATACAGTTACAGCCAACTTATTAAGCCACAGATTAAAAAATAAATAAAGCTAGTACGGTGATGACATAGAGGAGAAGATATAACTGAAGTTCCTTCTTCCTGGTAGCCATTTTCCCTAACTATGTGATGATTTCTCCATGGAGAGAAATTATCAGAGTTGATAAAACAACATAATATTTTTTACACACTGTCATTTCATGTAAATATGGGCTTACAACACTTTATCAGAAGAAATGTTGGGAAAATATGTTATTTTCATTTAAGCATTTTCAAATATCCGGCTTTCCTTTCTCTGAAACCAATGTAATATCAGCAAGGCTACATTCTCATTCAGAGAGAAAGTAAAGCCTGTCCCTGGGTGTCACGAGACAATATGTCTTTCTCTATCTCTTCAGTAACCCAGAAAGACATTTCATTCAGCCCATGACCTGATGCTGGTTTAATTTTCATCTACATGGGTGGAATTAACAGATAGTTTTGCTAGGGTCCTCAATCACAAATTTCACTTACTGTCCATAGAAATAACCAACTTTTAAGAAAAAATCAAATAAGTATTATTATCATTTAAATAGTGAAAAACTGAATTCCATAGAAATAAAGCGATATGTTTGAAGTCATAGATGTAGTCATAGGTGCATCAAGGACTATGATTCCTCATGCTAAGTCAGATGGCTTTCCATACTCCAAACTATATTTTCATTAAGAAATTAAAGCTACATAAATATTTCTGGAATCGTGACACTGAAAAAGCCTATGTAGAAATAAAATATAAAGTTCATAAGAATACATACTACAAAAGAAGATACATGCCAATAACCATTACTATTTATCTAGTGTATTTCTATAAGGTGAAGAGAAAGTCTGGATTAATACTCTTTTTCATGTAATTGTAAAACCAAACTTCTAAATTTTTGGTAGGTGACAAGAATCTACCAGAAAACTCCTTTTTAAAGGGATTAGGATTTAGGTATTGATTGAAATAAATAGTTATATTTCTGAAATATAGTCTTCATAATAGCAGTTGCATAGAACTAGTATACTACTTTAGTCTACAAAATAGTAGAAACAAAATAGAAAAACAATTAACAAACCAAAAAAGAGACCATTTTCAGTATCAGAGAGAGTCATGTGATTTTTAAAATGGGGGAAAAGTGGGATGATCAATAATTAAACACAGGACTCCCATATAATACACTAAATTCTACGGAATAGTGAGGTTTTTTTTCAGAAGAAAATCAATCTGAAAATACTTCTGTATTAAAATGTAAAATGAGCAAGAACTCTTTCCACTAACAGAATTCAACAAAGTAAACAATGCTTACAGGCAGAGTGAGGTAGGAGAGATTAGTAGCATTGCTAAGGAAGAAAAAAAAAAAAAAGCCAAGGGTAGTTTTCTCTACTGGCCAATTTCACCGTTAATTTTTATCTTCTAAATTGTTCAGGGATATTGCTCTATCATTTATCCCTTTCTTCCAGAATCTCTTGAACTTCCCCCTTTTCCCACTAGATATGATTTATTTTACTTAATAAATATTTTTGCACGTTTTTGCTAACTTATGAGAGGGTGACAGAGAGAAAGAGAGAAGAGGGAAAGGCAGGGAGAGAGAAATAATGAATAAAGTGGGGGAACACACATCACTCAATTTCATGTCCCATTTGTAATACTAATTATTAAATATCTCTTCTATTTCTCATTAAGGTAAAGTCTCCTGACGTAAGCATCTATTCTCTGTGAGTCTGTTATTACCTTCAATTCACCATTGAAATGTGATTTCTTCACTCATCCATCCACTGAAATTGTTGTGGCTAGTGTCACCAGTGGCTTAGATCCTAAATCCCTAGACAAATCCTCCGACTTCTTGACTTCTCTAAAGTTTCTTTCCCCTTTGCTGCATAGTGTTTATTTGTGATCTGATTTTACTCCATTCTATGTTACCTTTTGTGTTTCTATGTGTTATTCAAATTCTGCCAATGAAAGGTACTTAGATGATTTTAGAAAGCAGAAGTAAAATGAGTTTATTTCTGTGGCAGTGACAGCAGTAGAGACATGGGCTTTTGACAGACATGTGTGTCTTAATTCATTTTTTTGCAGCTGTACCAGAAAACTAGAGATTGTGTAATATAAAAACAGTAGAAGTTCACTTGATTCACAGTTTCAGAGGCTGGGACATCCAAGATTGAGGGGCCACATCTGGTGAGGACCCTCTTGCTGCATCATAATGTGGCAGAAGCCATTCCTTGATGAGAGAGCTCATGAGAGAGAGCAAGCCTCCAGCCTTTTTATAGTCGTCATTAATCCATTCATGAGAGAGGAGGCTTCATGATGTAAATACCTTTCATGAGGTGAGTTTGGAAGCATTTTTTCCTCTTCAGGATTGTGAAAGTTTTTGAGAAGGATTGGCATTAATTCTTCTTTAAACAATTGGTAGAATTCACCAATGAAGGCATCTGGTCCTGGGCTTTTTATTGTTGGGAGGTACTTGATTTAAGATTCAATCACTTTACTCATCATTGGTTAAAATGTGCTGATTCTTCATCAGTCAGTCTTGGTAGGTTGTACATTTCAAAGAATCTATTCATTTCTTCTAAGTTTTCCAATATGTTGACATTTAGTTGTTTATAATAGTTTCTTATGATCCCTTATATTTCTGTGGCATCTCTTACAGTGGCTCCTGTTTTATTTATTTATCATTTTATTTATTGAAGTTCTCTTTTTTGTCTCATGGTTAGCCTCACCAAAGACTTTTCAATTTCATCTTTAAAAAAACAAAAACACTTTGGTTTTATTACGATTATTATTATTATTATTATTCTACTTTAAGTTCTAGGGTACCTGTGCACAACATGCAGGTTTGTTACATATGTATACATGTGCCATGTTGGTGTGCTGCACCCATTAACTCGTCATTTATGTTAGGTATATCTCCTAATGCTATCCCTCCCCGCTCCCCCCACTCCAAGGCAGGTCCCAGTGTGTGATGTTCCCCACCCTGTGTCCAAGTGTTCTCGTTGTTCAATTCCCACCTATGAGTGAGAACACGCGGTGTTTGGTTTTCTGTCTTCACGATAGTTTGCTCAGAATGATGGTTTCCAGCTTCATCCATGTCCCTGTAAAGGACATGAAATCATCCTTTCTTATGGCTGCATAGTATTCCATGGTATATATGTGCCACATTTTCTGAATCCAGTCTATCATTGATGGACATTTGGGTTGGTTCCAGGTCTTTGCTATTGTGAATAGTGCCATAATAAACATACATGTGCATGTGTCTTTATACCAGCATGATTTATAAACCTTTGGGTATATACTCAGTAATGGGATGGCTGGGTCAAATGGTATTTCTGGTTCTAGATCCTTGAGGAATCGACACGCTGTCTTCCACAATGGTTGAACTAGTTTACAGTCCCACCAACAGTGTAATAGTGTTCCTGTTTCTCCACATCCTCTCCAGCACCTGTTGTTTCCTGACTTTTTAATGATCGCCATTCTAACTGGTGTAAGATGGCATCTCATTGTGGTTTTGATTTGCATTTTTGTGATGGCCAGTGATGATGTGCATTTTTTCATGTGTCTGTTTGCTGCCCAGTCTTCAAATAAAAGAAAATATAGGGAAAATCTCTTTGACATTAGTCCCTAAGTCCAGACAATAACTTCTTGGGATCTGCTAGCAAAAGCACAAGCAACAGAATCTAAAATAAATGTAAAACTACATCAAACTAAAAATCTTACACATAGCAAAAAAATTAGCAAAACTAAAAAGTAGCATGAAATTGCAGACCTAGCAAATTGCTTAATACATGTTTTGCATTTATGAATTATTTGATGAATAAATAAATGATTTCATACTTTCTCTAAGAAAAATATAATCATGGTTCATCTGCAAGTAATGAAAATCATGGACTGGTACTTCAAATTGCTTTCATGTTACATTATCAGAAAAGCCATAATTAGAATAGTTTGTATGAAGTTACTAAAATCATGTATTTTTTTTCCTTCAAATCAAGCAAGGCCCATATTTCTGATGACCAGAAAAAAATTTGGTTTTTTTTGAAACAGAGTCTCACTCTGTCACCCAGGCTGGAGTGCACTGGCACGATCTTGGCTCTCCAACATCCTCCTCCCAGGTTCAAGTAATCCTTTCACCGCAGCCTCCCAAGTAGCTGGGATTAGAGGCATGCACCACCAGATCTGCCTAATTGTTTTATATTTTTAGTAGAGATAAGGTTTCACCATGTTGGCCAGGCTTGTCTTAAACTTCTGACCTCAAGTAATCCACCCACCTCGGCCTCCCAAAGTGCTAGAATTAAAGGCGTGAGTCACAGTGCCTGGCTGACTAGATTAATTTCTGAAAAACGTAACAACACAAATTTATCATGGTCAACTTTCCATAGAGTGCCTTCAAGAATACTCTAAATGCCTTTGTTCGAAGTGCCACATAGATCCCCGTCCACATTAACTGTGTCTTCAATGATTTTCCAGTAGTTGTTCAGGCCAATCTATATGAGGTATCCAGGAACTTCATTGACAGAATTTGCACTTAAAGTATATAAATAATGTATATTTCAATCCTTGATTATGGAGGATATTTTAACCGTAGGTTAAATATCTTACGTAGGTTAAGTATCTGTTTTCTTCCAATGCAATATTTAAAAATGCTCTTTCATTCACCTATGATTAGTAATAGGGTTGTTATAGAAAAAAGTGTTTTAATGGAGCTTTTCTACAGTGACCATTTTTTGTGCCCTCTTCCTCCACCCCCATTCCCCTTGGATCACTTTCTCAGCTCAGGACCCCTCTGCAAGCTTCTGTGTGCTTTAAGCTAAGGGCTTGCACTTATACATTTCTTTACATGAATGCCTTTGAGCACTGGAGCTGCCTACGTATGAAAACCCAAAAATGCTTAGAAAATATTGTACCCATATTTATCTCTCCAAGAGTGATTATAGACAATTAATGACAGATTTGGGGTTATAAAACCCAGGTCCTTTTCCTCTAGGTAGGACACTCTGGGGTCTAATTTATGCTTCAGAGTTTCCTGAGTGATGAGTTTGCAACTGGAATTTCATCAGAAATTACAACCTTGTTTAATGACTTATCTTCTTAGTTACAGTAATATAATATTTACATGTAAAAATAAGTTCAGCTTTGTTTATGTAAACTAAAACTGTATTAGATGTATAATCTAAGGAATTTTCTAGAAGCTTATTTTAATTCAATCTTTTTGGTAATATTTTGTTTTAGTTTTCTCATGATTTAACAATAAAGAATATATTTGTGAGTATCTCCATGTCCTATTAGGTACTGGCTAATTCTTTTTTTTTTTTTTTTTTTTTTTTTTTTTTTTTGAGACTGAGTCTCCTCTCCCTCTGTCACCCAGGCTGGAGTGCAGTGGCGCCATCCTGACTCACTGCAAGCTCTGCCTCCCGGGATCACACCATTCTCCTCCCTCAGCCTCCCGAGTAGCTGGGACTACAGGCGCCCGCCACCACGCCTGGCTAATTTTTTGTATTTTTTTGTAGAGATGGGGTTTCACCGTGTTAGCCAGGATGGTCTCGATCTCCTGACCTTGTGATCCACCTGCCTCGGCCTCCCAAAGTGCTGGTATTACAGGTGTGAGCCACCGCGCCCGGCTGGCTAATTCTTTAGAGCATGCAGAAGCTAGGATTATTATATCTTCAGATTTTTATTCTTATCTTTTTTACATTACAGCTCTAATATATAAATAAACTGTTTGCTCTAAAGTCAGTAGCCAATATGGTTGTGTTGAAGCAATAAGGTTTAATTTAAAAATATACTTCTTGTTTTGAAGTAAGTGTTCATTTTCACCCTCATTATTTTGGAGAAATATCAAAATATCTTCTTGCTATTTGCTTTTCTCTCTCCTTTAACTAGATTGGGCAGATTTATTTCTTTTTTTTTTTGACATGAAATAACCACACTAGTCAGCATATTCAAATCCTTTTAAAGTCTCATCAATTTAGGTTCGATTGCTTTAAACATCTGACAACTGTGCATGTAGTTATATGGAAACTAACAGAAACTTGAAAATCAGTAGTCAGTAGTTAAATAAAAGTTTTGCTCTAAAAAAAAAGTAATGCTAACTTTTGATGATCGTTTTGAAAATCTGGCAAATACTCAAGAGCAACCAGTGGAAGCAAAAAAGCATACAGTAGCTTCTTAGATTTTTCCCCATCTCTAATGTTAAATACAACCAAAGTATTTTAATAGTAAGCTGTTTTTCATGTAAGATTTTGATCTCACATACTAATGGTGAAATTTACTGAAGTTCTACTGAAATTGATAAACAAGATGATAGATATTTTCAAAGGCAAAACAAAATGCATGCTCTAAATTTCATTGTTTTCTCTAACCTAAAGTACTATGGACAACTTACATAACTTTTATGTCTTTAATTTTTCACAAATTTCTGTGAGAATGATACTCACTTCATAGAGATTCTACAAGTATGTCTCAATGTCGGGGGGAGGTCTCCTGATGTTGTTTAGGCTGGTCTCAAACTCCTGTACTCAAGTGATCCTCTTGTTTCACTCACCAAAAGTGTTGAGATTCTAGGCATGAGCCACTACACCCAGTCTTTTTTGAAAAAATTCTACATATAAGTAAAATCATACAGTATTTGCCTTTCTGATTCTGGCTTATTTCACTTAGCACAGTGTACTACCAGTTCTTCTATGTTGTTGCAAACAACTGAATAGTATTCCATTACATATGTACCACAATATGTAAAATGGATAAAGAAATTATGTTGTATGCATGTGCATCTATATGTATGTATGTATGCATATGTGCATAAATACACACACCCACCCCCCCCCACACACACAAATATATCCATCAATGGAAACATTGGCTGTTTCCATATCTTGGCTATTGTAAATAATGCTGCAGTGAATATGGAAGTACAAATATCTCCTCAAGATAGTAATTTTATTTCTCTTGGATATATACCCAGAAGTGGGTATATAATGTTGTTAGTTTACATTCTCAGTTTAAAATAAGTAATGAAGGCTCAAACTAAACTATGGCGAAGAAAAAGATGAGATGTGAGAGATATTTGTGAAGTAGATTTAACAGATATCTATGACAAATGGATAAGATGGTGAAGGTCAGAGGAAAGTTGAGAATTTAAGAGAATTTAAGAAGCATGCATCTATATGCACTTGTGAAAATGTTTTCATAAATATCTCATGTGAGTTTCACAGTACTTCTCTAATACAAATCTTATTATTCCTGTTTTATAGGTGAGGATAATGAGGTCTACAAAGAGAAAGTAATTTGCTGAAGATTTTATGTTTACTAATCGTCAGAACCAGTATTTGAACTTCAATTCTTTTGTTTATCTGTACTTAGCTTGGTTCTAGTTTGAACTTTCTTTCTCAATGGCTATAATCCTTGATGTTTAAATACCACAGAAATAATAATTTCAAAGCACTTTTAAGCAATAAAAATATAATTTTAAGCATGGCGCAGTGGCTCACATGTGTAATGCCAGCACTTAGGGAGGCCGAGGCAGGTGGATCACCTGAGGTCAGGAGTTCGCAACCAGCCTAGCCAACATGGTGAAACCCCATCTCTACTAAAAAGACAAAAAAAATAGCTAAGTGAGGTGGCGGGCACCTGTAATCCCAGCTACTTGGGAGGCTGAGGCAGGAGAATCACTTGAACCCAGGAGGCAGCAGTTGCAGTGAGCTGAGATCGCACCATTGCACTCCAGGTTGGGGAACAAGAGCAAAACTCAGTCTCAAAAAAAAAAATTTATATATACACATACACATATATATGCACATATATATATACATATATATATACATATATATATACATATATATACATATATATACACATATATATACATATATATACACATATATATATACACATATATATATACACATATATATACACATATATATATACATATATATAATTTTAGACTCCAAAGATGACTAAATGCTCTGCTAATAACTGCCATTTACATAGTGGGTTACAATATTCAGAACACTAGCAATAGATCGGCTTGTGAATATGTAAGGCAGATCCCATGAAAGGAACACTGCTCCTTGACCTACATCCCAGCTCTTTAATACCCACCATCATCATCTCTATCTCACCCCCTCTTCATTGGATATTTGAATAACACAGGATTGTATTGGTCTGTTCTCATATTGCTATAAAGACATACCTGAGACTGGGTAATTTAAAGAGAAAAAAGGTGTAATTGGCTCATGGTTCTGCAGGCTGTATAGGAAGCATATGGGCTTCTGCTTCTGGGAGGCCTCAGGAACTTACAATGATGGCAGAAGCCAAAGGGGAAGCAGGGACTTCACAGGGCCAGATCAAGAGGAATAGAGTGGGGGGTGGGCTACATACTTTTCAGCAACCAGATTTTATGAGAACTAATTCACCACCAGGAGAATAGCACAAAGGGGAGTGGTGTTAAACTATTCATGAGAAACTGGCTCCATGATCCAATCACCTCCTACCGTGCCCCAGCTCCAACACTGGGAATTGCAATTTGAAGTGAGATTTGGGCAGGCACACAGATCCAAATCATATCAAACGTTTACCAGTTTTCATGGAATTACTAAACCTGAGAACTGTAAAGACTTAGAAGGTATCAAATCTAATTCCCTCATTTAAAAGTAATACAAATTTGACCGGCTGATGTAGGAAATTCATTCAAATTTATAAACTAAATTCAGACCCTTGAATGTGCTATTTCCTTTCTTATAGCTAGCTTCTCTCCTTCTCTTTCATGAACCATTCCTTGTTCTGCTTTTAATAATATTATCAATAAACTCTAGGTTCTCCTGTTAAGATTTGCCTCTTCAAAGGAGACAAGCCTATTTTAATAAAAAAAAGTTTTCATTTTTGAAACAAAAAGATTTTTCTTAAAAAACATAGCATTTTTCCCCATAAAATATGAGTCTTATGTAGCACTGTACTATACTAGATGAATTAAATTATACTAATATTATGAATCAACTATCATCCAAGCCCATGAAAATTTAAATTAGTCTGTGTGCCTACCTTGTTTGCTGGGATAATTGGCCTTATTTTGGTGTTTTCTGGTTTTCACTTTTGGTTTTTGAGAGTATTTCAGTTGAAATTGAGGTGGTTTTACCAAATGACAGATTTGGAAGTTTTCTCATTTTAAACCAGATTGTATTGCTAACAGTGTAGATAAACTAATAAGAGAGCTAACATGTATGGTATCTAACATAAGTATTTCATTTTCTCCTGAAGAAAATTTTGCTAGAGAATATATATCTCTTTAAACTGATTTCTTATTTAAATCCATGAGTCTTGATTTTTTGGCTTTACTGATATTTACATTAAAATGACTTCCCAGGCTTTAGTTTTGATGTGTATTATTTGCAATTAGATATTAATAATATTCACTTTTTTTGCATTTGTTTTTTTTTCAGAACTGTTGGTATCATCAAGGAAATATCATACCCCTTACATTTAGGTAGATTATAGGAAATTAATTATTTTGGAAGCAATTATTTGCACACCTGCCACTTATTCAGCAACAGCCCCATTAAAACAATCCCACAAGTTGATGAGAAAATACCAATGCCATCATATAAGTAAGAATCTAAAATACAATTTGAAATTTGAAAAAAAGGATTTCCTGGATAAAGTACCAAATTAAACTGACTCATCATAGACTGGATGCTTTTATGCAAGGATCAAAGTGGCAGGAACCAGCAGTTAGATGAGGAAAGAAATAGTATTCAGCAAAACCAAAACAATAATGATGTAGGAAACCAAAGGGCAATAGAGTAAAAAGATCTCAAGCAGCTCAAAAAGACTTGTTTCAATCTCATTTTAGACTTTAACAGGTCTCAGTATGTGTTTGAATTTCTTTCACAAATAGCCCTCTTTTGAGTGAAACTAAGTTTTGTAAGTAGTTGTCAAATGTGACATTTTCTGCCATTTTGCAAAAGTAGAAATTGCTCACTAGGGATGGAAGATTCCTTGGTAGGTTAAAGCTCAGAAATTGGTGTTTTGAGAATTAGGCCTTAGATGCATGTCTAGTGAGAATAAGTTTGAGGATGTTTGAGAACTTTTCTACTCATGAAATAGGAAGATAAAAAAGCGTCTAGACATCATTTCCCCTATCTTAGGTGCCACACATATTTAAGCAGCTTTTCTCATTTATTTCTAGGAAGTAGGCCATCTAAATTACACGGAGTCTCTATCATTCTGCTGCAGTGAACAGGCTATTCTAATCACTTTCGATTGCTTAGTTTTGCTGAAAAGAGATTATTTCTTTTCATTTACAACACACACATTTCTGGTTTGTGTGTGCTTTTGTTACTTAACACACCTTTAAAATATTGATCTTCATTTATGAACTAGAATTTCAGATTAACAAGACCGTAAAACATACTATCAAACTCTTCTGTCAATTACTGAGTAGGTGAAAATTGTGACTAAATTTGTATAACAATGCATTATACTATATAACTATAATTAAACTTTTATAGCTATGAATGAATCATTGCAACTATATTCATTTCACAGAAGAAATAAAAAAGTAAATAAAAACATTGAAGAGTTAACTATTACATACAATAGAATATTATACAGCTATTAAAGTAATATTTAAATGTAATTTTAAGCAAAATAATTATTAGAAAAATTCATATGTTCTATGATTTCAAGGCATTGAAGAAATAAAATGTATAGAGAGAATTTGTAAGAAACCATGTCAAAATTTAATATTATTCATGACCTGAGTGGTGAGATGAGTGACTTTTATGTCATTTTATACAATATAGAACATTTCAAATTACTATGTATGTATGATACCTTGAAAATCAATCAGAAGCCATAAAAGGTTTAAAAAATAGGACAAGTTAAAAATCTAAAATATATACATTAATGTCTTGCTTTTCTTACCGTTTTCTGATTCACACTGACAACTTTAAACCCTATTTATAAGCTGATGAATCTCAACTGGGATACAGTCTTTGAACTCCAGACCTATATATACAACCACCAATCTAGCATCTTAATTTAGATAGTTAATAGGCATCTGACATGCTACAAATGCAAAACTGAGCTTCTGACTTTTGCTAAATAAAGTTCATAAAGTCTTGCCCTTCTTTGCTAATGGTTGCTGTAGCCAAAATATTGGAATGACTTTTATTTTTACACTTTACTCATATTTCTTATGCAGTCCATCAGCAAATATTTATGGCTCTGCTTTCAAAATACAATTTGAATATTTAAACTCCACATCACTCTCACTGCTATCATGAGTTATTGTCTAGCCTCCCAATGCATTTGTCCTTGTCTAGTCTGAACATTGAAGCCAGCGTGATAACATAAAGTATAATTCAGATCATATCAGTTCCTCTCAGCACCCCGCAATGTCTAACCTGAGAGTGTAAACCCAACTTCTTACTATAACCCACAAGACCCTACATTCATCGAGCCATTTAGTTTTCCCTCTTATTTAATTTCCCACCATTCTCCATGTCACTCATTTGATCTGCAATGTACTGAAGGTTTGTGTCTCCACAAAATTCATATGTTGAAATCCAAGCCACAGTGTGATGGTATTAGGAGGTAGAAACTTTGGGAGGTGATTAGGTCATGAGAGTGGATCTCTCAAGAATGGGATTAGTGCCCCTATAAAAGGGGCCCCAGAGAGCTCTCTCATTCTCTTTGTGCCACATGAGGGTACAACAAGAAATCATCAGTCTGCAACTTGGAAATAGGTTTTCACCAGACTCCAACCAGCCTCCAGAACTGTGAGGAGTAAATTTCATTTTTTACAATGTTTATAAAGAACCTAACCTATAATATTTTGTTGTAGCAGCATGGGCTTACTAAAACATCATCCAAAACACATGGCCCTCTTGTTCCAGGAATAAGCTAGACGTCTTCCTTCAGAATTTTGTCACTAACCCATTCCTCTGCCTAGAATATTTTCCCCCAGTGCGATGGTCAATATTGTCCATCAACGTGGTGAGACTCAGTTCCCAGTTACCCAATCAAACAGTAATCTAAGGTTGCTGTGAATATATTTTCTAAATGTGATTAAAGCCCATAACATGCTGACTTCAAATAAGAGAGATTATCCTCAATAATCTAAGTGGTCTGATTTAACAAGTTGAAACACTTTAAGAACAGAATGGAGGCTTCCCAGAAAAATAAATTTGGTCTTTGGATAACAAGTTTAGCTCTCATATCCAAGAGTTCTGCAATGCCCTTCCTGATGGCCTGCTCTATTTATTCCAGGTTTTCTTAGCCAGCCCTCACAGTTCATAACCCAATATCTTGCAATAAGTATCTCAATATTTTTCACCTACTGGTTATTTTTCTCCAGTTGAATACTGATTAGTTCATCAGGTGTTATCCCTTCGAGTGTTCACTCAAACCTTTTAGTAAGGTCCTGGTCACTCTGTTATATTTAAGCTTCCTGTTCCCTGCTTTGTTATGATTTATTCTTATCACGTACAACTATCCAGAATAATACATTGACTTATCTTTCCTCTGGTGCCTTTTTCTTCCAATAAAATATGCATTCTATAAGGCAGATACTTGTGTATTTGATTTGTTTTATGGCATTTCTAACACCTGCAATGGGGCCAACATGTAGTAAGTTCCTTCATAAGTATTTTCTGAATGAATAAATACTGATAATAAAATGATGGCTGAAATTATGCTATTGTTTCATGTGGATTTGTTGAATTTGCATTGCATCATTAAGCACCATCACTTTTCTTGTGTCCTAAATGATGTGTGCTTAGTGATACTATCACCAAATATATATGTTTTGTCATATGGTGTGATGCAATATCATGTGCCATTAAAGTAGGTGACAGAGGTTGGGATATTAGCCAAATCTTCCTCAAGCTGTGAGACATTGGACAACTCAATGAACCTTCTAAAGACTGTCTTTCTGTTTTGAATAGCTAACAAAGTTGTTATGGTAAGTACAAAGGAATATATGGAAAATTTCATGAAGTATAAATTATTGAAATATACTAATAATTTGGGGATGTTTATAAATATTTCATTCAGTAATTAATTTCACAGTATTTGGCATAGCATGCTAGTTTGTAATTACGTAAACAGACTGTCTTTAAAATTACAATAATACACTGAATATTATATATATAAAATAAAAAACATATCCATAATTACTTAAAATAATAAAGGTTGATAACTGTAATTATTTTAATATAATCTCTGATATTATAAATAGTTTGCATTTTAATGCTGCTCATAAACATTTTCCATTAAATATCATTTTTGTTTGGGTAAAATATTTCTTATGAATCTCAGGTAAGGAGATGAGTTTTATTCAAAAGTGCTAAATTGAAATAGTGGGGAGAGTGGCAACTCATAGTGTCTTCATCATGGACATTCTCTTTTTCTTTATTGATATCCCTTGTAGCTTCTGATATCATTGTCAAATCATGTTTGTTCTACTATCTGACATTATTTTTTATCATTTTTTTAGTAAAAATTATCTCTCTTCTCTCTCTCCCCCCACTACACACACACACACACACACACACACACACACACCCCTTCTCAAGTCACAATTTTAAACATATTATCATACTACTTGCTCTGTGTCAGAAAAAAACTTTCAGCTTAGATTCAGCTTAATGGCATAACTTATAAATACATCTCACAATTCAATAATAGTTAAGGATTATTGTGCAAACACAAATAGTTGCTATGATTAATATAAGTCTAGCTTTAAAATAAAAATTAGAAGTGATTTTGATTTTCAAATTTCAGACAGTAATATTATGTAATATATTTATATAATTCATGATGCTTTCCAAATTTATTATCAAGAAAACAAATTTTACATAGAAACTACAAAAAACATAAAATAACAAACTACATGTTTCTTAATCTATCCCTACAATAACCAGACTGCTTTTTTTCCCCCCCTAGAGAAATGCTTCCTGAAACATTTCTATTGAAGTTCCATAACACAACCCAAGTTTTGTGGTGGAACATTCAGCTCTTTATGTTGTTAACTAGTCGAAATGAATGTATTAAGAGGAGAACAGTTTCTCTCTGTTTGGAGACCTGGAGCTAACTCTTTGTTAGCATATTCCCTTCCACTCAGTAAATCTACACCAGTGGTGGAGAGGTTAGAATCTGAATTGTCAGAGCTTATGTTTTGATTAGGTGGCATTTATAATTGAGTGATATTACTTGTTCTAAAAGAAAAATTATAATGCTATGTTGTATGGCCTCCTCAAGGCCATACCGTCCCTCTCAACGTTGGCAATCTATAAAATGCAGGGAAACATGAATAGTCTGGGGCAGCACTGAGGACAGAGTAAAAGGCCATCCTTAGTCTTTTTTAATTTTTTTTTTTTTGAGATGGAGTAGGAGTCTCGCTCTGTTGCCCAGGCTGGAGTGCAATGGCCCGTTCTCTGCTCACTGCAACCTCCGCCTCCTGGGTTCAAGCAATTCTCCTGCCTCAGCTTCCCAAGTAGCTGGGATTACAGGTGCCTGCCACAACCTGGCTAATTTTTCTATTTTTAGAACAGAGGGGGTTTCACCATGCTGGCCAGGCTGTTCTTGAACTCTTGACCTCAGGCGATCCACCCGCCTAGGCCTCCCAAAGTGCTAGGAATACAGGCGTGAGCCACCGTGCCTAGCCATCATTAGTCTTGAAACCTAAAGCTGACAAGAATATTTGAGCAGGCATAATGAATTTGCAAGTTATCTTCTTTTTGCTATTATTATCTAAATTGTGTGGCAGTAGTAGGTGTCAGCATTAAGACATGATCCATGCATTCACAGTCTCATAGAAGTAACAACATTCTCTAGCACCCAAACTTCAAACTTAACCCATTTACAGTAGTTTCAAAATACTAAGTGTATCTTTTAACCTTATTATATTGGCTGATTATTTTCCCAATTTTGAAGAGAGTCCTGTTTATACATATGTGTATGTTTATAAAATATGAATTTAACAATTTTAAGTTATAGTATAGTTTATACTATAAATATCTATACACATTGTAATAGAGTTTATATTTTTATTTTAAAACACCTCACCTCATATCTCTTTAAGCACATGCTCTGGCAAAAGAGGGCAAAGTCTCTTAGAGTTATCAGTCCCTTCAAAGGCCAGGCTATAAAGATAATGGTGACATAAAAATAAGAGGTGTCATGGAAAGTTTAGTGTGTTTAAATTTACTACCAGCAATTTTAAAGCAGAAATTTAACTCCTCTTCCTGAGTTATGAGCAGAGAGCTAAAAATATACCTGTTAGATCAAGAACAAACGTTGTTTAAAGCTGACTGTAAAGGCTTCTCCTGATCCTGTAGCCTGTTGGTTAAAAACTGGGAATTGCTGCTTCCAGGGGATATGAAAGCACATTATCCAGTGTACAATGGGAAATCCATTCTTATTTACACTCCAGGAAGAAAATGTATTCTTACAATCAAAAGATTTTAAATGACACTCCCATCACCGAGTAAGCTGGCTCTGGTGATAACATATATCCAGAGTTCTTGGGTAAGATGGGTGAGATCAAAAGATAGAGAATTGCAGCATCAAGTGGCACTTACATTAAGAAATATTGTAAGCAGAAAGTGTTCTCTGAGAAATCAAGTGATAAACACACTAAAGAGAAGAAAAAAATTCAAACACACACATTAGAGACTGAGTCTATTGGGCCTCAAGTTAAAGTAAAATGGCATCTCCTGTGCTTACATAGCTATCCTTAAGAGAACAAGCTCTCTAGCCACACAACTTGGGTTTGAATTCAGGCTCTGACACTTGATGGCTGTTTCAGCTCAGCTCCCAGAAAAAAATCAGAAAGTATGCTCCGAAGGGTTTAACTGAAAACATTATAAAGAAATGCTTATTTTCAGAGATGTAGGCAAGGTTGATGAAGAAAGATGGAAAGGCACCTGAGGATGAGCAACAGTGCAAAGCAGTTATCACCGCAGTTCCAAAGGAGAAAGTAGAGGGCCCCAAGTTAGCTGCTACCTGCACCCAGTGAAGGCTGAAAATGTAGACAAGGAACTACCCAAGAGGAGTTTTGACTGTAGAACACAGGCCGTGCCAGACCCACAACCAATCAAGGAAGAAGGGTAAATGCAAAGCCATACTTCTATCTCCTACATCCACATCTATTGCCAGTGCCTCACATCAGTCAAAGAAAACTGAAAGCCAGAAGCCAGGACATCCTGTATGATGAAGTTCCTGGAGATTTGCTTCTTGGAGTAGAAAGAACAATAACAGATCCATATGGATGGTTCCTTGTTGGCTGGTGGGTAGGGAACAGGGAAGATATAAAGCTCTCTGTTTTAAAGAACATGTGTATTTCCTTCATATGGAATCATAAACTTGAATTTAAACCTTCTCATTAAGAAGTCAATAATCTTCTTGTTTTCATTGTATCTTCTCCAGGACAAAGCAGTTGCAGATTACTACCATATTATAATTTCAGGTCTGAGTTTCTCCCCTCAATTTTTTTCTGATAATTTTATCAATTGTAAACTTATAAAATGACTCTTTCTCTGAGCTTGGTTTTCATCTTGATAGGCTTTAGCTTACATTTGTAAAATTATATTTTCTTTAAATCAACCTTTGTTTATAAAATCTTGCCTCTTAAACAGTTTCCAGAAAGGATTTCAGTATTGTTTGAGATTTACTTCAGGTGAGTTTTCTAGAGGAGGGAAGAGGCATTGTTTTGTGTTAATTCTGCAGATGGAAAATTGAGTCTAGAATAAGCCAGAATAATAAGAGGTGGAGAGTGAATGATTCTGAAGAAATCCAGGGTTATCTGATATGCTCTGAAAGACAAAGTCAGATTTTAGAATTGCCTCTTCGTCTTCTGAATCAGGATTAAGAGGAGTATATATCCTCATATTTTTCCTCAATCTTTCTAGGAAAATAGATGGTCTTTCCTGGGGTCCTCAATTAGTCTCTTTTAGTTTATGCCAGTTAGCGGGTCTTTTCCCTGTGGCCTCTATTCTCTTTAACAATAGCGGTTGATAGTGCCTGAGTCTTGCCTTCCCCATCCCTATGTTAGAGTCCCAAAGGAAGTCAAGGTCTGTCACAGCCTCATTCCCTGCACTCTTAGCAGGATTGTTTCCCTTGTACCTATGGGCTTGGTTTGCTTCTTCCCTATTCCTTCTCATAACAGAGATTTCTTTCTGTTCTAGGGAGGAGAATGTTCAAATATTCAAATGGAAATGAATGTCTTCCCCATGGGGGTCTTGGGTCTGAATGAGGTTTTGAAACTCCTCAGGTTCTCTTTCTGTTCTTTAGAATGAGGTTTCCAGTTATAAAGATCTGAAGTTGCAGAGGGAACATGTACAGTAACCATTCCTCTTTCCCCATTGGGAACCTACTGGTGGAGCATCATAGAGGAAGGCTGGTAAGATATTGTGCCCTAGGTATTGTCCATACTGATTTCCTCTGAGGAGTCTGAGAGTGATTGGCAAGGAGAGAGTGTGTTGATGGCAGAGGCTATTGGAGATAAGGGAGTTGTATGTAAAAGGTTATAGAATTTAAAAATTGGTGAAATCCTCTTATAATTTTGTTAAGAGCAAATCAATATCTGATGTAAACCTTGTTCTAACATAGAGGAACAAAATTTAGAAAGACTATTATAAATAATTTTCTTTCAAGTATGGCCAACCTGATTACGTACAAAATTTCTTTTTTTCTTTTTTTTTTTTTTTTGAAATAGGATCTCACTCTGTCACCCAGGCTGCAATGTAGTGGCATGATCTCGATTCACTGCAACTTCCACCTCCCAGGTTCAAGCAATTCTTCTGCCGCAGCCTCCTGAGCAGCTGGGTCTACAGGAGCATGCCACCACACCCAACTAATTTTTGTATTTTTTGGTAGCGATGGGGTTTCACAGTGCTGGCAAGGCTGGTCTCACACTCCTGGCCTCAAGAGATCCACCCACCTCAGACCCCCAAAGTGCTGGGATTATAGGCATAAGCCACCATGCCTGGCTCAAAATTTATCTTGAAACTTATCACAATTTACACAGACTATTTACAACATATTTGAACTTTTTAACTGGTCTTATACTACCTATTTTCTTAATACTAGTCATTTGGGTTCAGAACAACAGTTTATCATATGAGATCCTTTCTCATGCAAAATTAGTCTCTTTTCTTCATAACTTTTCTTGCCCAAAGTATATCTTTATATCCATAACTTTGTCTCTCTCTCTCTCTCTCCTACTTAGTGTTTATTCTACATTGTTTTATAAATAACTTTAAAATAACCTGCAAACTACATATAATTTTTTAATTAAAACATAACTTACTGAATTATATATTCACTAGAACTATTATTCTTAGTAACCTTAAATTTTAGTGAAAACCTCAGAAGTAAAAATTCTTGAACCATTTATTGCATATTAGCATTTTATAGATGAAATCCTTCTATAGTTTTTAGAAACATGGTTTTCCATACCACATTTGCTTTTTAGTTGGAAATCTAACTAGGATCTATTAATTAATTCAAAATAATTTTAAGATTTTAAATTACACAGAAAATTACCTACAAGAATTTTTCCCATTTATCTTTATACAATTCTTCTATTTTTAACAGTTTATCTACATGACTTCTGAAAACTGAAATATTACACAAAGCTAGTCATCATTTCAAGTTATTTTTCTATTTACTATTCCTTATAGCCTGTGAACCTCAAGTGTTAACCTAAGTAAGACCTTAAAGTTAAATAGTTAGGTATCTTTACCACTAACCCAGAAGACTAAGTTGTTTTTTATTGAACCAGCAATATTACTAGTCTTATTTGTCAAAAAAAAAAAAAAAGCCTAAAGATTATTTTGTTTTTGGCTTGGTTTAGAATCTTATAATCTTCATGCCAAATCCTCACACCTTAAAATATCCAGCAAAGGCAAATATAAAATAATCAGTAAGCCCAGAAAAAAGTATGCTAACAATTATGAAGACATTTTTAGTTTTATTTTACCAAAAACTGTAAAGCTATTTTATTTACCAAAGGTTACTAAATTCACATGAATTTGAAAAGCATTTGAGCTTAACTTATGAGTGTTCATTTACTTATACTCCAATTTGGTAGCATGCTAGACACAACATAGCATGATGCATATACATGCACATAAATACATCTAAACATGTATACACACACAAACTATAATCCAGTAACTTTGATCTTTGATTTTAGACATGATATAGCAATAAAACTCACCATTTTATAAAATATATGTAGATCTAAATTATTTTTCTGACAAAACTGGAACCTATTCGCATGGTTAAACTTTGTTTGCCCCAACAGGTAATCCAAGGAAGGCTTTTCACCAAAGTTTGGGTACAGCAGTCAGTATGGTAGTTCAATTTTTAAAAGTGTTTCTTTACTTTTTCTTCAGTTTCAAACAGGTTTCCAATGTTTACATTTCAGGTAAACCATAAATAATAATTCTAATCAGTCTT
The DNA here is from genome assembly GCF_000001405.40 of Homo sapiens. Lineage (NCBI taxonomy): Eukaryota > Metazoa > Chordata > Mammalia > Primates > Hominidae > Homo > Homo sapiens. The sequence goes on along the minus strand of NC_000001.11, from coordinate 190,593,233 downwards.
ACCTCAGCACCAGCAGCTTAGTAACAACAGATTCAAACCAGGCAGAGAAGAAAAGAGAGGAAAATAGAGAGCTTTAGACAACTCTACTTAATTCTATAGTAGCAAATTAACCATTTGAACTGTGCATTGTCCTTACTGTGCATAAAACCAATACTGATTGTCACACCCAGATGTCCCAATGCCTTCCTGAAAGCCAGCCAGGAGTCCCTGGAACCCTGTCTCTGACAGTCTCCTCTACATGCCTTAACTTCATGATGGAGATTTCATCCAATCCCCCAAAACAAAAGCGGTTCCTTAATCCCCACAGCCTCTGGATTATCATCTTCTTGGAAGAGCAGCCAAGGCCATTTTGATCTTTGGCAGGGAGCAGAGGTAGAAGCAGGAGGGGTTATTTTTGAGAAGAGAGAAACTCAAGCTCCTCTGGTGCAAGAAAATTGGCACAGAGGAGTTTTTTACTGGCATAAGAAGGCAAACACTATGAGGAGTAAACAGGGAAGGACACATGCACACATTTATCAGTAGGGAGTCTCCTGATCCTGCAGTCCAGACTGTAAGTCATTTGGTTCCTTTCTCCCTCTTTCAAAGACTTCCAATGGATGCTCTACTCAGGACAGAACTGCTGGTCCCCTCTCTCACACTTTCAAGCACTCTTGTAGGTAGGTGTCCTTTACTGAGGAAGAGACTGTGATCCTTCCAAGCATCCTCATCACAATCGTCATTTTTGGCAAGCGTCCCCACCATCCGTAGCACAAGGGGTCCTTTCCAGCACAATCCTTTGCCTGCGTACTTATGCTCTGACAAGAACAAGAGATTACCTTTCACAAAGTTGATCGCTGACACTGAGAATAAAAAGGAATGTGCGTCCTTTGCTTGCTAATGCTGTCAAATGCCAGCTGCCAAGTCTCCACAGAGGTAAGGAGGCTTTCCACACAAGGAGGTGGACTATGTAGTGCAGAGTCCCATCTAGGGTGCCAGTTATGTTACTGACTGAGTCGTTTTTCTCCCCAAAGATGGGATTCTTTTCAGTCCAGTATCATGAAGCCAACACAGAAAACTGAAAATGAGGGGCAAGAACTGCGGCTTTATTCAATGACCAGAGGATGGAGCAGTAGAAGTGTGGTTCGCAAACCAACTTTTTGTTCTGTGAGAGGTGAGGCGGTTCAAATATAAGATTTTTACTTGTAGTGATATGGGAGTTTAAAAGAAATTATTTAGGCAGATAGTCAGGGTAAGGAAGTCCTCAGTAAGGTTTTCCTTTCAATGAAAAACAGCCCCCAAATCATTTTCTTTTCTAACAAAGAGCAGCCTATATCGAACTGCAGACATATAAAGGCAAGCTAGAAGCTTGCACGGGTGAATGATCGCAGCTGAGTCAATAGGAAAAGGCTACCTGGGGCAAGGCATGTTCAACATGGCGGCTCCATTTTCTCTTTTCCTTGCCAACCACGTGTACAGTAAGGAGCACAGGACATGGTTACCGTCCAAGTAGAAAACCCATTTGCATAATAATAAGATTAGGGTGGGATGACCAACTTCTTTGCATGCTATATAAACATCACACCTGGTCCAACCAATGTTTGGGTGCTATGTAAATTAGATGCTGCTTCCTCAAGCCAGTCTATGAAACCTGATGCATTCCCCCGGAACCCAGAAGTCCCACTTGGGCACCCCTCTCCCTCAAAAGAGAGAGAGCTATTCTCCTTTCTCTTTCTTTTGCCTATCAAACATCTGTTCCTAAACCCACTTCTTGTGTGTCCATGTACTCGGTTTCCTTGACATGAGACGACGAACCTTGGGTATTTACCCCAGACAAAGATGCAGCTTCAGCAGGACCTGGGAGGAGGGAGCAGTGTCTTTTGAGCAACAGGAGGAACTTGTAGAGCCTTTTTGAATGTGCATGGGAAAACCCAAATTTCAACATTCCAAGAAACTGTGTTGGTGGATGTGAGGCAGCTCTGTCTCCCTATGAGACCCCTCTAGGCCACCGTGTGCCATTTAGTGCCAACTCAGGCACTTGGTAAGGGCACTTAGGCTCTACCTGGCCCTGAGCCCAATGGCCCAAGTGACTCTGGCTTCTGGTTCGAGGAAATTTGCAAAACCCACTGGAAGCATGCAGAACCCAGGGCCTGCCCAAGCTGGGCAGTCCTGGCAACCTGGTCATGCCCTTATCCATCTCCATGAAGATGCAAGCTTGGAGAGGGAGATTTCTGGGGCTGGGGTGGGGTGGGGTCTGGCTCCAAGCCCATTTATGATTCCATAAAAGAGGAAGGAAGTTTAGAGCCCATCACCAACCTAGATGTGGTAGCTTCAGAAGAATTAGGAGTCAGCAGTAGAGTCTTCAGGAAGAGATTATCTGGGGAAGCCAAAGATGAAGGGGACTGAGAGTAGAAGTCCTCAAATAAAGAGGCTTCTGGAAAATGTCCCAGGTGCAGAGACTTGTATTTGGCCGGTGTGTGGGACCAGAGGTAAAAGTACAGCTCAGAAATTACATCTGCAAACACTTGATCTGTCTTGAAGCCCACTGGAGCCTGTCACCAGCTGGTTTTGCCCTCACAAAGGATTCCTTGGCCTCAGGTGGTCATTCCTGAGAACTCAAACTCTTATTCCCTCCTCAGGGCTATAGACATCCTGAGGGTGAGGGGGCTGTGTGCACCACTTACTGCCTGCCTTAGGTTCCCTCACCCTGGGGAAATAGGAATGGCTGCTGAGAATCCAAAGCATATAGCATCCAGGAGTTGGTTTTTGTCCTCCTCCAAAGGGTACTGTTCCACTTCTCTTTACCCTTCCATTTTATTTATTGTAAGAACAGAATTTCCACATTAGTCATTGCCTGTTAAAAAAAACATAGTTTTTTTTTTTTTTCTAATGAAAGGGTTGTGCATTAAAAACAAGGGAAATATTCATGTCCTTTCTGGGAATGGGCAGCAAACTTCTCAGAACCAGAGTACTGCCTTCCTTTTGCCCATTTATGGTTTCCTCCAGTCCTTATCATGGTGATTATCAATTGTGATGATATTAAAGGAAGTGTCATTTAGCATGAAATTTAGGACATAATGAAATCTGAGGTCAATTTGACGCCATTCGGTCAACCATCTTGGTTCTAACCAGTTTTTACCTGGTTCTCCTGAGGAGGAAGTTCTGTCTGCATGCCTTCCTGTTTTTTAAAGATAAGCAAAGTTAGAGCCCAGTAGAAATTCAACTATGTCACATAGGCATTAAACTGGGCTTGCATTTCCACATGGTCTTATTCCAGGACCAAAAAGGCTGGAGAATACTGAAAGATCAATGTTGTACCCAGTGCTTTGTTTCTTTATTTTATCCCAAGAATAATATTTAAAACACTCTTTGATGTACTCAAAACCATAATAGAAGACAATTTGTCTAGGGGACAAAGGATCAACAGAAGGATGATATATTTCTTCCTCAAGCTCAGTAAGCTGCCATTTTGGTAGATTAGTTGACCCATGCAATACATTAAATAATCAAAACACTAAAGTATTAAAACACACTATTGTCATATAAGAGATATTTGATGATTTCAGCAGACTAACCAAGCATTATGAGTTCCACTCTGCTTAAATTTTATTTGTTTGTATATGCATGTTTTTCAGTCTCTTTCGGAGCAACTAAAGTCTTAGTTTAATTACAGTAAAGAAAAGTTGAAAAATTTTACACTGCGTTTCCCAATACAAAAAAAAAATACGATGCTAGATAGATATATAAGCAGAGAGATAGATAATGATATGATTTGGATCTCTCACCCAAGTCTCATGTTGAAATGTAATCCCCAGTGTTGGAGGTGGGGCCTGATGGGAGGTGACTGGATCATGGATTTCTCATGAATGTTTAGCACTGTTCCTCTTGGTATTATTATGAAAATGAGTTCTCCTGAGATCTGGTCATTTCAATGTGTGTAACACCTCCCCATGTCCCTTCCTTGCTCCTGCTTTTGCCATGTGATGTGCCTGCCCACCTCCGCTTTGCTTTTTGCCATGACGGTAAGTTTCCTGAAGCCTACCCAGAAGCCAAGTAGACATTGATACGGTGTTTTCTGTAAAGCTTTCTGAACTGTGAACCAATTAAACATCTTTTTTTTAATAAAGTACCCAGTCTCAGGTATTCCTTTATAGCGATGTGAGAATAGCCTAATACAGATACATGTGTACATAAATACATACATACAACAGTATACATATAGGCATAGGAGTGTTGTAGATGCACGTGCGGACATACATATGGATGCATACATACATAGAAGTTGTGAGTAGTTTCTGGATTAACTTAAATAATGTCAGCCAATTTCAATTTTAACTCTTCCATTAATATAGTTCAATTGAAGAAAGCATTTTTTTAAGATACTTACAAATGGAAACAAAACCCATTCCCTTATTTCAAGGCAAAAGAGTCTCAAAATCTATGAAAACTTCATCAGCATGAGTGTAGCTAAGGAGAAATTAATCATGACTCCTTTTGTACTTATAATTTATTCTTTCCAGGTGTCCATTTTTCCGCCTATTATTACTGGAGATGTGCAGTGGGACTTTATGTTGGGTCTCAAAACATCAACTAAACAAGCAAAATTACATGGTGACCCCCATATATTGCATTGTCATCAGTATTCTTAAGAGTGTCTCCCTCAGCTCCTGTTCCTTATATACACAAACACATGCAAGCTTCATTCTCTCCAGCATTATTCCCCTAAGCCATTTCATCTGAAGCAGATGGAATTGCTTATTTTTCATTAGCTAAACTATTTTCTTACCTAGGAAGGAAGATTGGCAATACCAGAAAATACAGTATTTCTATAAAAGATCATTCTGTCCGGTACAAACTCGTAACTTTTTCATTGTAATTTTACACGATTACATATTTACTTTCTAAACAGTAAAAGCTGGCATGGTATATAGTTTCTTTTCAATGCAGGTCGAGAAGAGATGAAGCAATTTTCTGTAAAGGAAATTTCTAAAACACAGACTAATAAACTAGTTTTTACCTTTCTTAAGCTGAACCCAGGTTATATAATCACAAAAGAACTTTAGCATGTCATTTACAAAACAGAATTAATCAATGTGAATACTTTGGCAAAGAAGGGCTTGGGAGAGCAATCTGCTAAGCAAAGACCAGAATGTTCTACTCAAACTTAATGAAATGTCCATAAAATAAAATAAATTGCTGTGAATGATTTCAGGTCAAATATACAAATGTTCCAATAGATGCAAGAATATTTAGGAAGTCTTTCGAGTACAAAACCTTGAAATTTATATCTTGGTTTCATTTAAGTACTGACTTTACAGAAAAAAAAGAATGAATATAATAAATATAATAAAAGAGCTTACTGGTATTTTATATACAAAGCAAAACGTTTTCTATGCCCAAATCACTCAACTTAAATTAGATGTTTATTTGGTGTACTTATTTGGTAGATTGTTGCCGTTCCATCTGTTTTAAAATCTTTGTAATACCTACTAAAATAACTAAAAGTAGAGTATTAGATAGCTAAAGTGAAATTTATTGGCATAGTAACTAAATAATCCTAGGAATGAAGGAGGTAAGCAAAGCTTAGATGTGTGTATGAAGAATCTGTAAATTTTAATATTATCATAAAGCTAAATCAAATTTGCATTTTCCTTATAGATTCATATCCAGAATTAAACCTGATTATGCATTAGGCTCTTAAAAGAGTAACTGGTTCATGGCAAGCATTCAAAAAACGTGAGCTATTATTGATGTCATTTTTACTCCAGGTTTGAAATAAATTTATCCTTAAATTTTCTCACATTCAATCTATATTTGAAAGTAAACTACTTTTTGAAATAAATCATTTTGTGTATTTAAAATGATTACAATTTATTCACTTAAGCCAAAATACATATTTCATAGGTCATTCGTTTATTTATACATTCTTCCTCTTGCTATTTTATTATTTTATTCAAATTTTTATTTATTGCTTACTTTTGTTAAAAGCACTTTTTCTTAGGCTATGAAGTTACAAAGATAAATATGACTTTGTAGTTTTATATCAAATAATTTATAGTTAGAATGTGCAACTACAGAAAGAGCAACATAAAGATATTAGCAATGCTTTACTTGATCAAATTTTCCTCATGGTAATAAACAATATATTTTTTTGTAATAGGAAATACTTTATTTTCAAATTCCTTATTCTTTCTTGTCATGCAGCACAAATCCATAACAATGAAACAGAAACAAAGAAAAAAAGTATTTCTCATTAAATGCCATCATATGTTAGATGTTATATGTGATCATATTGTTTTCATTCATATAAATAATCACTAAGGGTTTGTTTCTTTTCTTTCAATGCCTTATGAAACCGATTTTAAAATAAAGGATTCTTTCCAATTAATTAACACTAACTTAGATCAGCTGGCCAAGAGAATGAATAAAATAGAAATAAGAACATAATTGGAAACCATTGTATATTGAATTATTATCTCCCAATTACTGTACAGTTCCTAATAATAGTTAGCTTTCAATTATCTAGTTATTGTCATCATTTACCCCCACATTATGTATTGGAGCACTCTCTTAATTATGAAAGACATGATGTCAGTAGTCTTTTTTAATAACTGATAATTTAACTTCATGCATTAATCATTCCATATACAATTATGCCACAGGATCAATATAATTTAATGAACTCTCTCCAGTCAGTGAAATAATTATAAATTATTCATGTCTGAAAATGAATTGTATTAAGTTAATCAAACTGATAATTTTCTAAAATAAATTATTACACAAAAATAATATACTCTTTAAAAAATGAGTGATCTCTACAATAACAGCTGACACTTGTATGTACATAGGGCATGGGAACAAGAAGAAAATTTTCAACTATATTGTTTTAAATGCTTTAGTTCAAATGTATCACAAATATATGTATTAGTATTAATATTATTTTTAATTAAATGTATTAATGAGTATTTCTATGTCAGTTTACTAGTTTTTAAAGTGAGCTTTTAGAAGGCAAAACTTTCATTTACATATTTGTATCCTATATGCGTACAGAAAAGCACCTGGAATATACTAAAGTTTGCTGAAATTATAGATTTCCGTTCAAAGTTAAATTAACTTAAATAATGCTGTTATTGTCTATCTTCAGATATTATATGTAAGTTTTCATAAGAACATTTCTGAAGATAATACCGAAGAGAGAGGCACAAATTTTTATAGTGGTTATGTCTTTTAATTGCTCCCACATAGCTGAATTTGATGTGTTTATTATTATTATTATTATTCATCTTTTTATACAAAGAGCTATCACAAACCACATGTAAAGTAATTTCTGAATGGAAAGTCTTCTCCTTTTTACTCTCTTTTGTTTTTCAACTATAATTACCTTAATAAAACACACATAAATATGAAAATGTTAGATGGCTAGAAGACAAATCTCAGTGTTAGAATTAAAAGTTGAGCATTTCAGAATCAAATTCGAAAGAAATCACAAATAGGATTAATACAAACAAATATTATGTGAAGTTTAATCATATTTTATTAAGGAAAACTTATGAATAAGATTTTTATTTAGAAGCAGAAATCAATCTAAGATAAGACATTCTAGTGCTGTATTCATATTTTTTTCTTTAATACAATAGGAAGGATGATTATATTCCCAGGTTTTTTGCATTTTGTAATTATTATTCAAAACTTGCAATTAAAGTATATGGTAAATATGTATGGATGAATTAAACAATTCACAACCTAATAGCCATAATAATAATAATGACATTAAAAAGACAATACTCTGGTTTCTTTTCCGATTGTGTTAAAAAGACAAAAATACATAACAGATGCTGGCAAGGATGAGGAGAAAAGAATACTATTATATACTGTTGATGAGAATGCTAATTAGTATAGCCATTCTAGAAAACACTATGGTATTTCTCAAAAAACTAAAAATACAACTACCTTATGACCCAGCAATCCCACTACTAGATATTTACCCAAAGGAAAAAACAATAAGTATATCAAAGGGATACCTGCACTCACATGTTTATTGCAGCACTGTTCACAATAGCAAAGACATAGAATCAGCCTAAGTATACGTCAACAGATGAATGAAGAAAATGTGTTACATATACACAATAGAATAATATTCAGCCATAAAATGAATGAAATTATGTTATTTGCAGCAACATGGATAGAACTGAATGTCATAATGTTAAGTGAAATAAACCAGGCACAGAATGACAAATACCGCATGTTCTCACTCATATGAAGGAGCTAAAAAAGTTGATCTCGTGAAGTTAAAGAAGGATAGATACTTAAGGCTGGGAAGTCTGTGTGAGTAGGAGTGAGGGATAAAGAGAGACTGTTAATTGTTACAAATGTACAGTTAGATAGAAGATATACGCTGTACTGTCTGAAAGCAGAGTAGGGTGACTATAGTTAACAACAATGTACTATACGTTTTAAAATTGCTAGAAGAGAGGACTTGAATTGTTTCTAACACATGGAAAATAATATTCGAGGTGATTATTTTCCCAAATACCCTGACTTGATCATTACACACTCTAGACATGTAACAAAATATCACACATACCCCTTGAATATGTGAATTGTACTCCCAGCACTTTGGGAGGCCGAGGCGGGCGGATCACGAGGTCAGGAGATCGAGACCATCCTGGCTAACAAGGTGAAACCCCGTCTCTACTAAAAATACAAAAAATTAGCCGGGCGTGGTAGCGGGCGCCTGTAGTCCCAGCTACTCGGGAGGCTGAGGCAGGAGAATGGAGTGAACCCGGGAGGCGGAGCTTCCAGTGAGCAGAGATCGCGCCACTGCACTCAAGCCTGGGCGACAAAGCGAGACTCCGTCTGAAAAAAAAAAAAAAAAATTTATTAAAGAAACTCAAAATTTTTTTTTAAATAATAAAGTGTTTTGAAGACATAAGATGATAATCTTTAGTTTTATACATTTTACCATCTCTCCTTTTTCTTTTTAAAAATTTATTAATATATTTTAATTGAAAAATTATAATTATATTTATTGGGTACAATGTATGATTTGATATATGTATACAATGTGGAATGATTAAAGCAAATTAATATATTCACTACCTCATCATTTTTTGTGGTAAGGCATAACTTTTAGTTATTTTTAAATATATAATACTTTCTTTTTAAATATAGTCACCATGTTGTGCAATAGATCTCAAAACTTATTACTTCTGTCTAACTGAAATTCTGTACCATTTGACCAAAAACTTCCCATCCCGCATTCCCCTAGACGATGGTAACCACTATTCTATTTGCTACTTCTTTATATTTAACTTTTTAAGATTCCACATACAGGTGAGATTATGTGACATTTATCTTTCGTGCCTGACTTATCTCACTTGCCATAATGTCCTCCAGGTTCATCCACATTGTGAAAAGTGATAGAATTTTCTTCATTTTTATGGCTGAATAGTATGCTATCGTGTATGATTCTGCTTTCAACTTCCTTCCCCAGTGTAAATTACTTCCCTTTCTCAACATTTCTATTGAGTATATTTTAATTTTGATTTTTGACTCTCACATTTTAAAAAGTTATAGTTCATTGTTTTCTTCATATTTTATTCATTTGTAGACTCAAGTTTATATTACATTTTTCATTTACATTAGTTTCCATATGACTCATATTAGTTTCTGAACTTTGATTACTCAGACACTTATTATATAATCTTTAAATATTCTTAGATACTTTTGTGAAACTGTAAATCTTTGATTAAATAATATACACTAATGGAATAATCTATGTCCTTATGAATTTAAAATCAGGTTGATTAACATTGAAAATAAAGTTTATTTTTATCACTGATTTATTTACTGGTTGACAAAATGCATAAATGAGTTAAGTATTAGAAATTATAAAATTCTTTGTTAATTCATCATTTATGTTATCATTCAGAGTTTTTTCTATATTATCAAAGAATATCCAAGCATGACATTTTGGTGTACACTAATAGATGATCAAGTTATTTCAGCATCACTGAAAGAACTTCACAATGGTCACTGTGGCATATAAAGCAGAATATGTTTCATTAACTACGCGTAATTAAGCTCCACCCTTATCTCAAAGGTAAGATTGGTCAATATGATTAAGCATAGTACTGAATATTAATACAATACCAGGCCCTGAGACTCATACTTTTGGCTGTCTCACCATAGGCCCTTTGCAACGCTGTCTTCTTGAGTGTCATCCAGGCAACTCTTTTCTTCCCCAAGATCTTGGCTTTCAACCTCCACTCTCTTTTCAGTAGGATCCCAAGGTTGAACAAATTACAATTACTATCATTTTATATTTCTAATAGAACAATTCTTTATCCTTCTATTTCTTACATACCAACTGTGATGGTTAATATTGAATGTCAATTTGATTGGATTGCAGGATGCAAAGTATTGTTTCTGGGTGTGTCTGTGAGGATGCTGCCAGACTGGGAAAGGCAGACCCACCCTCAATCTAGGTGGGCATCTAGTTAGCTGCCAGCACAGCTAGAATAAAAGCAGGAAGAAGAACATGGAAAAACTAGATTGGCTGAGTTTTCCAGCCTTCATCTTTCTCCTGTGCTGGATGCTTCCTACCCTGGAACAACGGACTCCAAGTTCTTCAACTTTTGGACTCTTGGACTTCTACCAGTGGTTTGCCAGGGCTCTCAGGCCTTCAGCCATAGACTGAAGGCTGTACCACCGACTTCTCTACTTTTGAGGTTTTGGGGCTGGAGCTGGTTTCCTTGCTCCTCAGCTTGCATACGGCCTATTGTGGGACTTCACAGCATGATCATGTGAATCAATACTCCTTAATAAACTCTCTTTCGTATATACCTCTATCCTATTAGTCCTGCCCTCTAGAAAGCCCTGACTAATACAGAAATTATTCCTGGACTTTTACTTTCTTATCTAACTGCCTAATGTACATTATTCTAGCAAAAGTGTAGTTATACTCCTATGATAAAAATCTGCCAATCAACGACAGTACAGATACAGATGCAATAGCAGGTTTTCTTTTCCTGTTTAGGAAAAGCATTTGTTTTCTCCTATATTGCTTTTCTCTTCTCCTAGTGAAATTTTTACAGGCTTAGCAAAGATTATGATGTACAAATTATTTTCTGAAATGAGTGTTAGAAAAATGGTTTCCAAAACAGTATCTAGTTGTAATATCTGGCTATGTCTGTCACACTGATGATCCCTTATAGACAGTGGTTTCTACAATGGAATCAACATTAATACACATGAATTATGCTCTCTCTGGAAAGCCAAGAGTAATGTGTATAGGTCTGTTTATGAGGGTAATGTCCTCACCCTTGCATTCTGGGTAATAGTCCCTCTCATAGTGTCTTATTTCACCTCTAAAGTGTTCAGTGTGAGAAATATGAGGTCCAATTGAGTTAAGAAAAATCTTCACAAACTCTTTGGTTACTAAGAAATGAGATTCCTTTTTTAATTCACAGTAACAACTTCAAAAATTAGTTTCAGGTAAGATTAAGTGATCATGTTTACATCTTTTACATAGGCTTTTAATTCAAATGTCTTAATCCAAATTCAAATCTCAGACGGGCTGCAAATGTATATGGTTCTTTTACTCTCTGGTGAATCTTTTTTGCCTATCATAGTTATTCTGTGACTTACAGGGTATGAGTATTAGACTTTCACCAATTCTTAACCTGATTCAGATGGAGTTTTAGAGCTTGGCCAAGCTAATATTCCACAGATTTTCCAGTTCTACCTGCTCATTTTAAGATGAGAGAGTGCTCACCCCAAATTACCCTAGTCACAGGAACAAGAATTTCATTATTCAACCACCAATCCTTTTCTCAATCCTCCCAGGCATATCTGGAACTAATTAAATCCAGCTTCTCATCATGCCCAGAAAACTGGCATTTTATCATCAGTTTTGTTTTACTAAATGTTAGGACTCTGCTCACAATTACCTTCCACCTGCAAATCAACAGTGTTCCCTTTTCAATTGGTAGATCTTTCAACTACTTTTGGAACACTGTTGCAAGCCATTGTTCAAAGCAACACACACACACACACACACAAACACATACATATATATATGTATATATATGTGTATATATATACTTAAGCACACACATGGACACACAGACATACACACACATGTGCATGCACACTTAACATAGACAATATATATATATATCCATTCAAACTTCCTTTACTTTTCTATAGTTAATTATAACTTTTGATGTTATATTTGCAACAATATTTTCCCTTTCAATACAAGGTCAAGAATTTTACAAAATTGTTTCACTCATCGAACTGGTTAATGTGTACAAAAAATAGAAAGAATGAGTAAGGCCTAGTATTTGCCAGCAAAACAGGATGACTGTAGTCAAAAATGATTTAATTGTACATTTTTAAATAACTATGAGTATAATTGGATTTTTTCATAACACAAAAGATAAATGCTTGAAGTGATGGATACCCCATTTATTCTGATGTGATTATCATGCATTGCATGTCTGTATCAAAATGTCTCATGTAACCCATTAATATATCCACCTACTATGTACCCACAAAAATTAAAAATCAATGTTACTGTGAAATCAATCACAGATACTAGTCCATTTGACAATTTGAGGACAATCTCACATTATGCCATTGTGTCAGATGTGATCAGATAAAGGTCATAATTTCAGATGTTTTCCATCAACCTCTTTACTTTTCAGTTTCAAAGACTTTTTAGGCTTATCTCAGTGGTGAATCCAAAATAACATAAAGATACATCTCTCAAAACCTGTACATCACACTTTGTATGACTCTTCCTAATATTTGATAGAACATGACTTCTCTCATGGGATCCATTACTTATTCATTTGCCTAATACAGAGTATGAATGTAATTTCAGAGGCTTTGCCACACATGGAAGAACAATGTAATTTTGATAAACCAGTGTTTCCTATTATCAGAACAGGCTTTAATTTTTTTTACAATTTCAGTTCCTATAAATGCCTTGCATAAGCATTAATCTTTACAATTCTTCTTAATTCCTTACATCCCAAAGAATACAGGGGTTTGATCTTTCTGAAAGTTTTAAAATTCACATTCCAACTTTATTTCTGATATAGTTGATCATGAACAGCTTGTTTTTCCCTGAAAGCTACAGTATTAATATAAGAGTTTGGCATCATAGTTTAAATTAACAGAAACCAACTCCAGCTTGATCAAAAAAAGGAATGCTTTATAATTATACAAGTGTTTAAGCATAATACAAGGGCAAGGACATAGAGAGACCACAGTGGATACTGTGATAACAATAGAAAATGAAACTGAAAACAATAATTCCTTGTTTTGCTGCAAACTGGTAACTCTGTTTCCAAGAATACATGTTGAAAAGTAGCCTCCAACATCTTGCAAATTTACATTTCTTCCACTCAAGAAACTAGCTATTCTGAGGCTAAATGTTCACATTCCAACATACAAATTCCAAGCAGAGGACACAGATTGGCACAGTTTACATGAGAACCTGGTCTCTGGACCTGTTATGCCTCCCTTGGATCTGTATTTTGCTATCTAGGCTTCCCAGAACTACTGCTGTAGCATTACATCTAGAAATAGGGGATGGTCACCCTAAGAAATGTGCAAGGAAAAACGTATCTGGGTAAACCATCCACTAGTTAGGCACTACACCTTATAACTAAGTAGTTTCAATAATTTTATCACTTACTGTTGAGTATTTTTCACAAATCAATTCTGATTGAGTTTAGCAGATCTTTTCTCTCTCACTCCACACATCTATAGCTTGGTTGCTGTAATCAGCATGAATTCTTGGTACAGTAAAAAGTCCAGCAGTTAGGTGGCTATTTCACCAGAATTCAGAAATTAAAAGAAAACAGCCACATCTGAGCAAGTAACCTAGGCGTTCTTTCCTTTAAAAATCAAACAATATATCCAAATTATTTTGCAATCCAGGTATTTTTTCCTGACATAGGTATAATTTTTGGTGGCTTTAAAAATATTTAATAAAAAATAATTCCATTAATAAAATATATTTTTTAAAACATCTACTCCAATAGTTTATTTTAGGAAGATTAAACTGTTAAGAATAGAATTGTAAAGCCAACTTGCTCTTGATAAAAACAGTAGATGTGTAGGTTTAGGTAAAATAATAGGATATGAAGCTGAGATTTCCAAGTTAAAATCCATCAAATACTTATTAGCTATGCGGATTTGAGAAACTGACACAATTTGTCTCAGTTATTGCAGATGAAAAATTGAGATTATAATTACATCTATTCTTTATGATTGCGGTGAACATATAAATGGTTAACAGATAAGAATCTGTGAATAGCAGTTGGGATATGAAAATTATTCCGTAAATATTAGTAATTCCACTAAGCTACTGTGATGAATGACAAATACATATAACTACCACTGATGATTTACTTGAGGTCTAGTTTTATATTTGTGTCTTTCTGCCATTTCAAAATAAACCTCAAAGCTGAACATGTTTTCTTCGGCTCCCTCCCCGCAGCAAGCTGTTTTCCTCAAGGGTGCCAACATTGTGTCTGCCAGTACATTTCAAGCATCCGAGTCCTGTTTGTCTCTTTCTTTTCCCTCTTTATCAAGTCATATGAATTCTCCGATGATCACAGTGATTTTAAATAGTACATGGCACATTTCAGGAGATCAGGAAATGTTTCTTGAACGCATTGAGGAAATATTTTTTAAAAATCTTTCCTCAGTGTATCTTAATGTCAGATTCCTTAAGTAAATCTTAAATCTTGAAACTGACCCCAGATTAATTGCTGACATAAAGAGCAAGTTGTTCCTATTTTGAACATTGTGTAACATACAAAGGCATTTCTATAGTAGTTATATTTTGGTAAGGGTTAATCAAAGCACTAAGGGAAAGAAGGTAAAAGTGGTAACTTCTCTCTCCATCGCTCAGCCCGAAAACTGCCCGATTTTTCACACAAACAACAGAGGGATAGTCAAAGTACAGTGTGTTGTGGTGATTACTTTATGGACTCTAATGAATAACAGATGGACTGAGCAGCGAGGGTTCTGTAATGAGGGTATTCAGGTGACAGGCAGTCACGCAATGCCATGAGCACTCACAGGAAATGAGTGCCATGAGGGAAGATTTGTCAGAATAGACAGAAAATTTTCTTTCTATATCACTTAATTATGTGATTATAAACCCTATTTCTAATAATATTTTGTAAAATACTGAAAAAGAGGGTTTATCACTTTTATCCAAGAGATGTAATTATGGATATTTATGGATAATTATGTATTTAGTAAATATATGTAAGTAAATTTAAAGGAAACATAATAAGACTGAAAATATGTATCAATTTATCATTCTATAGAGACATTACTAAAAACTTATTTAGTTATAATGATTTAACTACCAGAAAAACTAAAACATTGATCTACAAAAATTGTGATTCTAAGGCAATCAAAAAGCATTGTAGGGGTAAGAGATAAAGACAATTAAAACTTCTCAGAGAGTCTTTCTGCAGAAGATTACTAGAAAACTTTGTCTTTATTATGAGAAACTAAAGATCAAACATTGTGTGTTCTCTCTGTCTCTCTCAGCCAGTAGATGATAGACAGATAGTCGGATAGATGGATAGATAGATAGATAGATGATTCTTAGATAAGTG
Organism: Homo sapiens; assembly: GCF_000001405.40. NCBI lineage: Eukaryota > Metazoa > Chordata > Mammalia > Primates > Hominidae > Homo > Homo sapiens. The sequence goes on along the minus strand of NC_000001.11, from coordinate 190,577,604 downwards.
ATAGAAAATATAAATGTAGATACAGATAGCAGGTAAAATTTATGTTTTAAAGGAATGGGGTCTGTTTTAAGCATTTTAATAGCACACAAATCCAGTCGGCAGGTCTATAAATGCCCTAAAGATGAAGGGATTTGCAACTGCTAGGCTACAAATGATCTCACTGAGGTTTATCAAGAAATTTAGATAAGAATTAGAAAGAAATTGCATTTCAATTTTTATATGAAAATATTAACAAGGAGAATATTTATGTTTATTGACAGTGTCTTACATGCAATTTTAGGGAAATAACTTTATAAATATACAAACTTAAACTCAAAGATTGTAGCTGATAGAAACTTAAAACACCAGAAAAAAAAACCACACAAAAATCTAAAGTGTTTTAGCTGATTCTAAGATATATGGTATTTAATACAGCAGCAGAAAAGTTATCTAAAATTTACCTATCCCATGTATTTTAAGGAAAAAAAATTGTGTCAAATGAGTCACTAGTGGATGAGAGATTTGACATGCATTGGCGGCAAAAATGAAATGTCTTTTCAAGATGCTTATCAAGTTATGATAGTGGCTTCTTAAAGAACTTGACACTTTCAATGCAATAGTCCCACTTTCTTTAAAAGTCAGGAGTGCACTCCATATGTAACTTTGTGGGACTCTTTTATATCTTTATTTCCAAAATAGGTCACTTTCTTTAAAAGAAATAAAAAACAAAAAAAATTATATTCTACTTTGTGTGCTTCATATTTTGAATCTCTTTACTACTTCAATAATGCAAGCTTTAAAATGAACCCACATATTTAAATTTCTTCTGAAATTCACTGTGCAGGAGTGAGTGTGCCCTACTAAGGCAATAAGCAATTTTGTTTCTTCGTCCTTTTATGTATTGTAGGCAATGTGGAGGAAATGTAACAATTGAGATGCATTTGTCATTCTTTAACACAGAAATCACCATGTTAGATTCTGAATCCAAAAAAAGGGTTGCCAACACTTTTACAAAGTTGAAAAGTTCAAGACATTTATACGAATGCTGGAAATAATTTAATTAAGCTGGTTCCACAATGAAGAGCAACAATGATAACTTCAATAATTTAATTTAGCTTATATCATCCCCCATTCAGCTTAATAAAGGTAAAGTGCATTCTCATAGCATTTATAATTTTGTAAACATGTAACTGAGACAAAAGCAAGTTTTTACATGGATGTGAGAAAAACAGTGAACTCACTAGAAACTTTAACAAGAGAGTGATTATTTATATAATGTGTATTTTGCCATTTCATGACAATATTATAATTCCCTTTTCTGAAACTAATATTAGGGAGTAAAAATCAATTTAATTTAATATAAATATAAAATTGCTACTTCTAACACATGTTGTAATGAGAGATGGTTGACAAGGAAATAAAAAGCTTTATTTCTATAGAAAGAACAGTTTAATAATGATTAATTTGCTTAGCAGGCAAAGATCTAATTTCAAACAGGTGAAAAGAGAAAGACAATTTGACAATAATAATATATCATAAAATAGATACAGAATCTCATTTTATGTTATTTTTGAGAAGTTTCTTTAATAACATTTATTTTTGCATGTATCAGAGTATATATGATGTGATTTTATAACAGTGGTATGTAAACAAACTATTAACTATTTCAACTCAACTTTAATTAAAATTTAATCTATAAAAGAGCTGGCTATAAGCTTCAGTAGTGAGAAATTATAACTATGTATTTGAGAATACAAGACCCTAAATTAAAATCAAACTCGTTTAGATTATAAAGAATATTAGCAAATATTTATATAGCATTCATAGTTATATGTGAATATAAACCGTCTCTGTCTCTTATTATCATAAAGGAGGATTTCTGTTTTTCTGTTTGCTAAATCTATCCCCATAATATTGAAAGATTGATTTTGATAATTCCAAAGTTGATTATCTCACAATTTTGAGATAATAAATGTTATTTTAATAGCAATGTTTCATCAAGATGGGTGTAGTATGAACATGCTGTAATTTAATTATATTTGCAAAGCATGGTTAAGTTTATCAATGACCTCACTATGAATAACTGACACATATTCAACAATACTCATAAGATAGGATATCTAGTATCTGCCAAATGCTCTTTTAAGCTCTGCTGATACTGTGGTTTAAAAATATGTAAGGATGGAGTTGATATTCTAGGGAGGCAAGGAATAGTTAAATAAATGTGTAACATATCAATGGGAAAAATGCTATAAAGAAAAATAAAGCAGAGGAAGAGAGAGAAAGTGAGAGGGAAACCATGCTCTTCTATGTAGGATAGTCAAAGAAGGGATCTCAGAAGAGGCAACACTTAAACAAAGACCTACTGAAGGCAGGGGAGGAAATTCCAGGTAGAGGTACCATCAAGTGCACAGCCTCTGCCAAAAGAACATGCTTGACATGTTCAGAGAACCACAAGGAGGACAGAGAACATGGACCAGCGAGAGCTGTCAGTCTATAGTGGTAGCAGTGGAATGGGCGATGAGAGTTGAATTATAGAAGACTATAACCTCACTGATAGAATTTAAGATAAAAAGACTAGACAGAATCACTCAATGCTGACGCTCAATTTCCCATGAGAGTTTGCAATTACGTTCACATATCAATTGACTTTAGCCATTTAATGAGAAACATTTTCAAAATTATACTATTTAAAGTTTTTTAAAAGTTGCAAATTGAAATGTTTCTAAAGCCAATCTCCACTTCCCAGTTCACTCCCAGAGCTCAGTATCGGTTCATTTAACCAGCAAAGGCTCTGTCATTAAATTTGGAAGTATATATACCAATACCATTTGGCGTTATTACTTACATGCCTAATAGACATTTTATGCTTTTCTCATTACAGGAGCACAGAAAACTCTAGGTTTACTCTACAAGTCTGCTTCTTCCTCAGGATTTTCTATCTCTGACATTGGTACAATTCTCCACCTAGTTGCTTAGGCCTCAAACCAGGAAACATCATTGACTCATAACTCTCTCATATACTCAGCATCTAATCCAACAGTATATAATTGTAATTATCTGTCTCAATTCTATTTCTCATCATATCCACTGCCAACCCTCTGCTAATTCTGGCCTATTATCAGGTTTTTCCTGGACTGCAAAAAATAGGTTCCTTTCTGATTTCCCTGCATCTACCTCTCCTCACCTGCCACCCATCAGGCTGTTCTTCAAGTTCATCTCACGCCAAAAATGGTCATGCTTCCCATTGTGTACTGAGATTTGATGGTTAAGCATGTGTTATGGCTGATTCGTGTTCACCAAAAATTCACATGTTGAAGTCCTAACACCCAGTATCTCAGAAGATGACCTTATTTCGAAATAGTGTCTTGTAGATGTAATTAGTTAAGATGAGGTTATATTAGAGTAGGGTGGGCTGGGTTCCTAGTCCAATATAACTAGTGTTCTTATGAAAAGGAGAAATTAGAACACATACAAAGAAACACACAAGGAAAATGTGAAGATGAAAGCAGAGATTGGGACGATGCTTCTGAAAGTCAAGAAATGCTAAATATGGCCAATAAGCTGGCCAAAGCCAGAAGATAAATGTGGAACGAATTGTGGAACGAATTCATCTTTACAGCCTTCAGAAGGAACCAAGGCTGAAGATTATCTTCTTGGACTTTTAGCCAAGACAACTGGAGGCAATACATTTACTCTACTTAAGCCACTCTGTTCAAGGTACTTTGTTATAGCAGCCCTAGCAAACTGCTACTAAAATTGATACACAATAATGATCTCCGTATTTACTTTAATTCCATCATGACTCTTTTTCCAGTGGCACTCCTTGGGCATATTATAAAGGGAGCAAAATAAAAAGTTGAAGAAAAGAATAAACATACCTAATAAAATATAAAACATTTCAATTCTTAATAAGCTTACTTTAGAAATTTTCAAGAGGAAACTCATAGATCATTTTCCCTCTGTCCTTTAAAGAAATGTATGTTTTGCCCTCAAAGGCATTACACAGTAGGAGCAGTCCTCTACCTCCATATTGAAGAAGTACATTTTTGAAGGGCAGGACAGAAAGTGGTTTCCTTTCAGAAAAGAAAAAAGATTTGAAATTGGTGTTTTTTCAGAGCTATAGAATGCTGTAAAATAAATATATGTTATATTTTGAATTCCCTACAGGCATATTTGCTATATTGTTCAAAGGTCATGAGAAACATTAAGACAATTATTCTTTGCAAAGACCAATGTCACGAAGCTTTATCCCTATGTTTTCTTTTCTGAGTTTTACAGTTTCATGTTTTAAGTGTAACTTTTTAATTCATTTTGAGGTTTCTTTTGTGCATGGTATAAGTAAGATAAGGATATCCAGTTTTCTCAACACAATTTTTTTGAAAGACTATTCTTTGTTCATTGTGTATTCTCAAACCCCTTTTTGAAGATAAGTTAACTACATATGCATGAATTCATTTTTGGACTTTCTATTCTGTATCGTTGGACTACATGGATAGGACACCAAAACCATAGACAACCAAAGTAAAAAAAAAAAAAACAAGCAAGTAAGATGACATAAAACTGAAAAGCTTCTGCACAGCAATGAAAACAATCAGCCTTTAATTGAAAAATGAGCCTTCAGAATGAGAGAAAATATTTGCAAACCATAAATCAGATAATGGGTTAATTTCCCATATATATAATGTATTAGTCCATTTTCTGTTGTTTAAAATAGAATTTTTGAAACTAGATAATTTAAAAAGAAATCTGTTTGTTACAGTTATGGAGCCTGCAAAGTCCATGGTCAAGTGGTTGCAGCTGGTTAAGAGTATTATCACTGGTGAGAACTCTCTGCAGAACACTGAGCAGGTGCAGAACATCGAGCAGGTGCAGAACATCACATAGCAATGGGGTGACCATGCTAACATGCTCAGGTCTCCCTTCCTCTTCTTATGGAGCCACCAGTCCCACTCATGATAACTTATTAATGTGTTAACCCATTAACCAATTAAGCTTAATCCATGAATAGATTATTCATGAAGACAGAGACCTTACGACTCAAATATATCTTAAAGTTTTCATCTCTCAATATCGCCAAATCAAGTATTGAATCTATGTGACTTCTGGAAGAGACAAGTGCTTAAATGAGTGCATATAAAACAACTCAAGAAAACCAGTGGCAAAAAACTAATAAATTAATTTAAATTGTGTTAAAACTTGAATGGACATTTCTCCAAAGAAGATATATAAATGGCCAACAGGTATAGGAAAAGGTGCTCATATTACTAAACAGCAGGAAGTGCAAATCAAAACTGCAATGAGCTATCACCTTACACCTATTAGAATGTCTATTATTTTTAAAAGACAATTGTTGGTTAAGGTGTGGAGATATTGGAACATTTGTGCACTATTGGTGGGACATTCCAATGGTGCAGCTGTAACTGGAAACAATATGGGAGTTCCTCAACAAATTAATATAAGAGCCATACATGATCCAGTCATCCCACTTTGGCGTACTTATCCAAATAATTGAATTCAGAGTCTTGAAGAGGTATTAGAATTCCCATGTTCATTGCAGCACTATTCACAATAGTCAAGTTGTGAAAACAATGTAAATATCCACCAACAGATAAATGGATAAAGAAACTGTGATATAAACATACTATGGAATATTATTCAGCCTTAAATACAAAAAGAAACCATGCGATATGTGACAATATGGTTGAACTTTGAGGACATTATGATAAGTGGAATGAGGCAGATTGGACATAAAATCTTAATTATGCAAGATGATAAATTCTGGAGATACACTGCAACATTGTCCCTACAGTTAAAATACTGTATTGTGCATTTTAAAAGAATTTAAGAGGGTGGATCTCATGTTAGATGTTCTTACCACAAAAATAAATACTTTTAAAATAAAAATTCTCTCATTTTGACTTGTTTTGTATACATTTAAAAATAAAATTTTATTTTGAAGCATAAAAGAAACATCACCACCATGGAAAGTATAGTATAGAATACAAAATACTGTAAAGTATAATAATAAACGTAATCTCACTACTCATAGATAATCATGGATAATAAAGGGGTAAACATAATAGTTAATTGTTTTATATCCATCTGGTAAATGTCCATAAGTTTTTAAACATATACCTGTGAGTTTACAGTACAAATTCTTCAACTTTTCTGGAATGTGGATAAAGTTTGTTTTAATATCAATGCATTAAGAATAACTGGGATATTGTCAACTATTATTTTCCATCTAACCTATTGAAATTGTGTAATTATTAGGGAAAAAAGCACATTTCAAGAATAAATAAAATCGATAAACTCTTATCTAGATTAACTGAAAAAAAAAGATAAGAAAAATAAGAAAGCAGAGACACTACAACATTCACCTCAGAAATAAAAAAAGTTTATACAGGAATACTATGAATAATTACATGTCAACAAATTGTATAACCTAGAGGAAATGAATAGATTTCTATAAAAATACAACCTGTCCTGATTAAATCAGGAGGAAATGGAAAGCCTGAACAGATCAGCAAATAAAGAGTGAAGAATAAAATATGTCTGAACCAGATTGACATAATTAAAATTGTCTCTATTTTCAGATGACATGATCCTAGAGAAAGATTCAAAATTTCCACCAAAAAAACCCTGTTAGAACCAATAAATGAATTTAATAAAGTGCAGGTTACAAAATCAACATATAACAGTCAGCAGTATCTTTATTCGCAAACAACAACATAGCTAAAAATGAGATCAAGGACTAAATCCCATTTATGATGCCAACAAAAGCAATAAAATACTTTAAAATAAATGTAGTAAAAGAGGTAAAATATTTGTACTAACACTACAACATGTTGATGGAAATAAACTGAAGAAGACACACCAATAATGAAAAAAAAATATTTTTTGCTCACGAATTAGAAGAATCAAAAGTGTTAAAAATTTCCATACTACTCATAGCTATATACAAGTTCAATGCAATACCTATTAAAATCTGAGTGGCATTCTTCACAGGAATAGAAAAAATTATCCTAAAATTTGCACAAAACCACAAAAGACTCCAAATAGCCAATGTAATTCTGGGAAATAAAAAGTTGAAGGCATCATACTTCCTAATTGAAAATTACGTTACAGGCCGGGAGCAGTGGCTCACACCTGTAATCCCAGCACTTTCACAAAAATTAACTAAAAATAGACAAAAAACTAAACTTAAGACCTTCAACCATAAAAGTTCTAGAAGAGATATAGGAGAAAACTCCTTGACATTGGCCTTAATGTTTGTTTATATATCACGTTGAAAGCTTAGGCTACAAAAGCAAACTATATCAAAGAAAGGGACTATATCAAACTAAAGTATCTCTGCACAGCACAGGAAACCATCAATAAAATGAAAAGGCAACCTATAAATTGGGAATGATATTTGTAAACCCTGTATCTGATAAGGGGTTAATAAGCCAAATTTATAAAGAACACATACAATTCAATAGTATACAAGGAAGTAACATAATTAAAAAATGGCCAAAAATCCTGAATAGACATTTTTAAAAAGAAGACAGAAACATGGCCAACATGTATATGAAAAGACAGAAACTCAACATCATTAAGTATCAAGGAAATGTACATTAAAACCATGGTAACAGAATGGTTTTGGTGGCTCATCCCTGGAATCCCAAAACTTTGGGAGGCCGAGGTGGGCAGATTGCTTGATCCCAGGAGTTCAAGACTAGACTGGGCAACAAAGAGAGACCCCATCTCTACAAAAATATTTTAAAATTAGCTAGGTGTGGTGGCATGCACCTGTGATCCGAGCTACTTGTGAGGCTGACATGGGAGGATCACTTATGCTTTGGAGGTCAAGGTTGCAGTGAGCTGTGATCATGACACTGAGTGGCACGGGTAACAAAACGAGAACCTCATCTCAATAAAGTATAATAATAATGACATATTGCCTCACACTTGTTAACATGGCTATTATCAAAGAGTCAAGAAATAAATGTTAGTAAAAATGTGGCGAAAAGGAAATTGTTGTACACAATTGGTTGGAATGTAGATTGATGTAAACATAGAAAACAGTATGTAATTTTCTAAAGAATCCAAAAATAAAGCTCTCATTTGATCCAGCAATCCCTCTTCTGAATATGTACCAAAGGAAATGAAATCACCTCCTCATAAAGATGACTGCATTTCTATGTTCACTGCAGCCTTATTCACATTAGTCAAGATATGGAAATTTAAAAAAACCCTAAATTTCCTTCAACGAATAAATGAATAAAGAAACCATAGTAGTCCATATATATATATATGGGAATATTATTCAGCCTTAAAAAAGAAGGTTCTGCCATTTACACAACAGAGATAAAACTGGAGGACATGATACTGAGTGAAATAAGCCAGACGCAGAAACATATTGCATGATCTCACGTATGTAGAATCTTGAACAGAAAATAATAAAATAAAATAAAATAAAACAAAACAAAAAAAATCAAATACACAGACATGGAGAAGAAAATAATGGTAACCAGGAACTGGGGGTGAGCTGGAATGGGGAGATGTAAGTCAGTTTATAAAGCAGCAGATACATAATATGAGTAAGTCTAAGGATCTAATGTAAATGAAACCTATAGTTAAAAAAAATCATTCTTTATTTGGGATTCCTGCTGAATGAGTAGATTTTAGCTGCTCAACCCAAACACAAAAAATTGGTAACTATGTGAGATGATGGATAAGTTAATTTGCTTCACTATAGTGGTCCTTTTACTATATATGTATTACATAACATCATATTGATCCCTTTAATATACACAATACGATTTATATAAAAAACACATTGAAAGACAAAAAAAATAGTAAATATCTAATCCCGAAGGTTAATATTTTAAGTCACTATTTTGACTTAAAACAGATATTTTCCCACTGTGGGTGTGATTAAATGCTTTTTCCATAGCATTAAGCAAAAAGGTGAAAATCACCTTTTTAAAAACAGAACTACAGCATTGTAAACAACCATTTCAGTTTGTATCATTGCAATATAAATGGAAAAAAGTTAACAGAATTCAGATAGAACAAAATTATTAACTTAGGAACATAGCACATTCTGGAATACAAAACAATTATGAGAACTCCCTTGTTTGAAATATGTGGGTTTATAAATTTTGACTTAACAATAACTATATATCAGTAGTTAATAAAGAGGTCGTAATTTAGAATCTTCCAACTCTCTGTAATATTACTTTTCCTCAGTTTTTTAAAAAGTTTATTCGTTTGAATTAAATGATTATTGATGACTTTTTCAAAATTTAATTTAGCAATGATTCTATTGTATATTGTTTCCACTACACACAAGCATAGTCAAATGTATTGACTATTCCTCAGAATTTAATATAATACAAAATGGTATTAAAGTCAAATTTAAAAACCCAATGAAACACTAAAGCAAATTCACACACAGATTATTTCCTTATATGTATATATTTAATATATTCAAACAGTAGTAAGTTTTCTTAGAGACAATACTCTTTTTAGTAAATGCTTACATTTTGATTTTCTATTTTGTCTTATTTATTTATTATAGACAGAAGAAAACTCTCCAAGTACACACACACACACACACACACACACACACACACACACACACCCCTTTATCTAGGAAAAAGGAGCACTTTGTATAATATTTTTTCATTTAATATTTCCTCAAGAATGAAAGAAAAAATGCTTGCAGCACTATCATTGAAAGTTTAATGGCTAGCGGGAATTACAAGTTAGTTTTTTCCCACAATTTATTTCAGAACGTATTTTTTGAATCTGTCGTCTTGATTTGTGACACTTATTGAATGACCAATTGATGATACATAGATATTAATAAAATCAAAATAGAAGACACAATTATCTTATGTGCTTTTTCAACTAATAAGCCCCAATTAAAATTACTACTACATTATTTGCATTATTTAAATAATATATTTTGAGATTTTTTAATACAAAGTTAAAGATTCATTATGTGGTGAAAATATACAGATTGAGGAAATAATAAAATTGTTTTTTGTTTAACAATTTGGCAATACTGGCTGTCATTTTTAAAATATCTGTAAAATTAAGATAAATTAAAATTATAGGAGCACCATTATTATTAGTAGTAGTTTTGTTAATATGATCTTAAATATTCCACATGATATTTCGTGTAATCTAATAAAATAAGTCACAAGAAAGCATTTTCTAAACTGAAAACCAACTTAGAAGTATGAGGTGCAGGATTCAACATAGATTGATTTGTAGAATCAAAATGATCCGTGATTATTAATTATTATGCCTTAGCAGAGGCTGATTGTATTAATATTCTTCCTTGGCATCAGCATATGTAGGATGTAAGGATATAGCTATCCCAATATTTAGGTGCTTCCATAATAGAGATGCTAGACAATTGGGTTTGGGGGGATATATTTTTTCTAGAAAATTCCCACTTTTGCCATGTTTGGAATATGCCTTATATTTATAGGTTTGGCTTAGTTTTAAAACTTTTTCACAAGCATTACCTTATTTTGTGCCCATGGAAATATTCCAAGGTAGTCGGGGGGAAAAACTATGATGTGGCAGCAAAAAGAGGGTTATAGCAAATTTCTCGCATGTACTTTCAAAGGTTGAGCTATCTGTAGAAGAAATCCACGTGGAAGATGGTTAAAGTCGCCAGAAAACTTGGAAAGTATCCAAGTTGGCAAAATTTCTCCCATTCATATTGAATATGAGGGGAAACATTTTTATGTAGTTGATTGTATGAATTTATGTCTGCAGAAAGACAATTTTAACAGAAGCTACTGGTAGGCTAGAAAAATGAAAACATGCCACATCCTAAAAATTTGATTTTTTTTTCATAATTGAAGTAAGAATAAAAGATACTGAATGAGTCCATCTGTATAATCTGATCACTAAAATACAGACTCTGTTGTATGACAGGGTAATTCAAAAGTATTTCCATAGTATTGATGAAATGTCTAATACTATCTGTAGATCTATATTTATTTGCTCTAAATACCAATTTATGAAACAAACTGCTGGCTAATTATTTTATTTCACAGGTATCTTTAAATTATCCAGTCCATCATTTTAAATAATAATTTTTTTTAAAGTGAGTTTTCCCTGAATACTTTCTCAGTTTGAAAAGTACTAACAAATTGAATTCAAGAATTTGAAATCTCAGAGATAGTCTCCATTGCATTTTCTTTTTTTTTTGAGAGATGAAGTCTTACTCTGTTGCCCATGCTGAACTGCAGTGGCATGTCAGAGCTCACTGCAGACTTCAACTCCTGGGCTCAAAGTGATCCTCCAGACTCACCCTCCAGAGTAGATGGGCCTACAGCCTACAGGCACGCTTGCATCGCCATGCCCAGCTTCCATTTAATTATTACAATTCATGTTTTGTCAAGCTGATGTCCCATCAATGGTGCCACCCTGCACTTCTTGGTAGACATATCTTTTAAAAACCGCAGAGGTAGTATCCACACTAGAGGCCTAATGTCTTTTCTTCTGCCTCATACTAGAGCTATATATTTTACTGTATCTATCTATTGTTTCACTGTGTTGGAGTTCTTTAACCTGTATTCATTGGACATAAACATGTATTGGAAGGTTGCTTGCTGCACCGGAAATATAAAAGAGGGTAATACTAGAGATTCAAAGTAATTTAAAAAAAAAACAAAAAAAACACATGCTTTCTCTGCATGTTTTGCCCCCAATCAAGAATTTCCTTTTTATAAATTGTGTTTCAAGTTTACCATAAAACTTTGTTATACTAACTCTTTTGATAATTCTCGCTTAGTCTCTGCTTCTAAATGCTTTACCATCTCTCCCCAGGTCGTTCAGATTGAGAGATTTAAATGATTTATACTTTTATAAAACCAAATGCGTAACAGAACTACAGCATTTTAATACTCACAATTCATGGTGTTCCCAAAGGTTAAAAGTGCCAATGTTACTTTGATTTGTTTTGACATCTTAACAGTAAAATAAATACTCAGTAAATACTTTCTGAGTAGGTATTTTGCATAGAATTAGGGTATAGTCTCTACTTTTTTTTTACTTTTATTTTAGGTTCGGGGTATATGTGAAGGTTTATTACCTAGGTAAACTCGTCATGAGGGTTTGTTGTATAGATTATTTCATCTCTTAGGAATTGAGCCCAGTACCCAATAATTACTTTTGAAGTTGTGGTTCCTTCATTATGGCATTTTAATAAAAAATCCAGATTATATCTATACATATTCAGAGAGATAACAGTCATTAAAAACAAACTGATCATCATTAAATAACATTCTACTGAAGATAATTTACAAGTGGACATAATTTAAAGGTGATTCTCCCAAAACAGTTGAATTCTTTCCCACTGAGTGATAATGAGCAATTAATTTGCCAAGTGATACATGGGCTGTGTATCTTTTAAAACTCACCATGAATTGATACTTAGGAATCATTATCCTTCTGATAATTATTGCAAGATTGTTAAGTTCATTTGAATTTAGGAATTGAAAACCCAGGGAGATTATTGCACTTCAGTATTATCCACAGACCTAGAAACTGTACTACAGTTGATACTTGAACAACACGGGTTTCAACTGCATGGGTCCACTTATTTATAGATTTTCTCAATAAATACATTAGAAAATTTTTTGGAGATTAAAATGAAAACTCGCAGACAAACCACATAGCCTGGAAATATTTAAAAAGATAAAAACCAGAAAAAAAAATTGGTATGTCATGAATGCATAAAATATATGTAGATGCTAGTCTATTTTATCCTTTGCTACTATAATATATACACAAATCTATTATTAAAAGTTAAAATTTATCAAAACATAGGCACAGAAACACAGACCGTACATGGTGCCATTCACAGTGGAGAGAAATGTAAACACATGTAAAAATGCAGTATTAAATCATAAATCATAACTGCATAAAATTAACTGTAGCATATATTATGCTACTGTAATAATTTCATAGCCCCTCCTGTTGCTATTGAGGTAAGTTCAAGTGTTTGGAGTAGCTACTTAAAATGCCATGTCATACTAATCCTCTAGGCATGAGCAGTTCCAGTAAATTGTGTATTGCAGTAAAAAAGGGTCTCTCCCAATTCTCGAGTCTTCTTCCGCCTGTTTAGTGCAACATTGTAAATCTCTAATAAACCCTGGGAACCCATATGAAATGCCACCAGTGATGCTAGAAGTGCTCCAAAGAAGTAGAGAAAAGTAATGACATTATAAGAAAAAGTTGAATTGCTTGATCTGTACCATAACTTGAAGTCTGCTGCTGTGATTGCCCACTGTTTCAAACAGATGATTCATCTTGTAAACACAGGATGTAAACTTACAATATCATTATCAAATATAGTATAGTACTGTAAATGTATTTTCTCTTATGATTTTCTTAATAACTCACCAGTTTTAGAGGAATGTTCTGTTTATTTCTAAATAACAAATCACTCCAAAACTTAGTGCCTTATTTCATTATAAGAACACAATATATTATACATATAACATACCAAACGTGTGTTAATCTACTTGTTTATGTTATTGGAAGGCTTCAGTCAACAGTAGTCTATTGGTAGTTAAGTTTTCAGGGACTCAAAATTTATTTCTGGACTTTTAACTGCACGGGGGATTGGTGGCCCTAACCATCACATTGTTCAAGGGTCAGTTTTACAATGTTATCTACAAAGTTATCTTAGCAGTAAAATTTTCGGAGACTCACTTTATTTTCTTTTAGGAAAAATCTTATATTTCTCTTTCATAGAAAATTGTTTATAGATACTTAAACTGAGTTTGCTTATAATAATTAGACCTTCATAAATATTGCTTGAAATAGACTTCTTTGGACAAAGTTTTTCCATTCACACTTTATTAATACTTTTCAAAATTAAAAATTAATGTAATCACTTCATATTTTAAATACTATATTAAGAAAGTCATTGACAAGTGAAGGAAGAGATTATTATTAATTCAAATGAAGACAAGTTACACAAATAAGATATTGAAACGCCAAGGAGACTGAGCATAGAGCACTTTTTCACAACAGGACCAACAGGTTTCCATATCTTAGCTACTTTCACTATGGCATCGATGATGCAGGATATTTTCTTGACCCCCTGGCAAGATTTACAACAGGGATGCCCTGTTTACTCAGCCTGCTGCACTAAACCCTTTGCGGGAGGGAGCACGTGAGCAAACCAGTGCAGGCTGGCTGCCTCAGCACTGGCAGGAGCAAACTCACTTTACTCAGGTCCACTGAGCTCCACCCCTCCCAGGATAAAGCAATGATAGAGTGCAGAAACCGGAAACTCCATTCAGGACCCGCGGCAGCATCCATCCGGGGGTGCCTGTGCCCCCAAGGCCCCAGACGACATATTACAATGCTGTCTTAGTTCCACCATCAGAGGACGGCAGTGTGTTAATCAGGTCAGTGGGCCCTTTGCCTCATCTCATGGGGTGGCAGCCCTCCACCAGCGAGGGCAAAGGGCCAATGTGACAACTTTCTTGGGTACCCACACTTTGTGGTTCCTGAATTCTTGTCTGGTGCCCAAGAAGAATGAGGTCACGCAGACAAATTGAAGGATGATGTATGTGGAGAATTATATTGAGCCATGAAATTGGCTGTCAGTGGAGAGGGGAGCTAGAAAGGGGATAGGAAGGGCAGGTGGCTCTCCTCCAAAGTCACGTTGCCTCTCTCTAATGTCCAGCCATCATCTCTGAAGTCAAGTCATCTCTCCTTGATGTCCAGCCACTTCTCTCTACCAGATAAGTTTGGGGTCTTTACAGGCACAAGATGGGGGGATGGGGCTTGCTGTAGGTAGTTTTGGGAAAGGCAACATTTGATTGATATAAAGACATTATGCAGAAAGAACTAATCGAGAGAAAGCAAACAGTAACAAAAGTTCTTACATTGGGCTGCAGATTTCAGGCTGCTTTTGGCTTGAAGGTGGGGATTCCACGAGGAACCTGCTCTTGTCTGCCTAGAATTTCTCTGCCTCCTGCCTCTATCATTAATAGTGGGACAGTTGCCATGTTTTTCCTCTCTTTATTCTCTTTGTGACACAACTAACTCATAGTTATAATTTCACAGAAAAATGACGTAAGCAGTGTTTCAAAGCACAGAATAATACCTGGAGTCTGTATTAAATTCACCTCTCACTAAAGACCTGCTTATTTCCCAAAATATAACCTTAGTCATTTGGAATATGCCATTCTACTCATTACAGCAACACACATATATGAGCAATATAAATGTGTTCATCTATATGTAACTATTGTTTATAGTTGTCATACAAATCAATTTACCCCATAATAGAAGATAAGTTTGCTTTTTCTAGTTTGTGTATATTGTGCTTATTTTTGTTCTTTTTAATAATCTTAGAATGGAAGTTTTACTACAAGTCTTGCATGAAGTATTCAATAAAATTTGCTGCATAAATTTATACTATTGAATTAGATTTTTATATACTTGATAAGATATTTCAGAGATCTTCAAATTCCAGCATCTACAAATGTACATAATATTTTATAGACTGCTTTGGGATTCCATGATTACAAGCCATAATTTATATTAGTCTTTCAACAATTATTTATTAAGTGCCATACCATTATCCTGATTCTAATCCTATGGGCATTAGAAACTCAGGTGCAACACAGACACAATCTGTTTCATCATAACACTCATATTCTGGCAGGTAAAATAGTAAAGAAGTAAACAAATAGAAAAACTCCGAATGAAAAAGTGCTACAAAAGAAATAAGCATATTTACATGATAATGAGTAATAAGGGGTAAAACAATTACTTTAGGATATTTGATTAAGGAAAGCCTCCCCAGGAAGTTGATATTTGAGTTCAGACATGTAAAATGAGAGAAGCCAGTCAGCAAAAGAATTAGGGAAAGAGAAAAAATTAAAGCGAACAAAAGGTGAAAGGACTTTAAGAGATATGTTATTTTGAGAGTTAAAAAAGAAGTTATTGGAGGCATGAATTATAACAGAAGGTACTAGAGAGTTGGTTAAGGGTCCACTCTTGCAGAGCTTTGCAAACAATGTTACAGAACTTGATTTTATGCTAAATTCAGTGGAAAACTCAAAATCAGTGACGTAGAGATTATTTGATTTACATATTTTTAAAATCATTCTGTTTCTGTGTGCAGTGTGAATGGTAGGAGGGCCAGAATAGAGGGAAGAAGGGTAGCTATAGTCCTGGGCATTTAGAAACTTCCAAGTAGCTTTTTTATTATTTAACTCTGTAAATGATGGTGCACTGAACAGCCATGTACATATGTATTTGTGCAAATAATGTGATGTTTCTTCAGGATAGATTTATATAAGTCTTAGGTCACAGGGCCTCTGTTTTTTGAAGTTAAAATATCGATCACTTCTCCTTTTGTTATTATTAATATTTGCATAAAAATCCTTTCTATTTTTGTATTGTATTTTTGCACATTTATTTGAATGTTTGGTTTCAGAAAAATTGAAACAAAACTAAGTATATCTTCAATAGAATAAAGTTTTCTATAGGCAGAACAGTAAACAAAATCATTTTCAGAGAATAAATTGTAAATTTAAAACATATTATAATCACTTGACCTTCTTTTTGATACATTTAAATACAATATCTGGCTTAGCTCATCTGTTATGTCATAGGCAAATAAATCTAAAGATATGAATTAAATATTGCCATGAACATATTCATAAGGAGGACATTCAGGCAATAGGGTCTCTTTGAAGTAAGTAATCAGATGATTCTTTTGATATATATGGAGTACAATCAAAAAAAGAAGAGTTGTCTTTAATCTTTCCTGCTGTATAAATAGCAATATAAAATTAGCACACTGGAAACTTAGACATCACTAACATAACCCTCAACTATAAACACTTGACAGAGTGTTAGAATTTTATTCTAATTACTTTTTCAATGAGCAACATTATTAGAAAAGTATTTCCATTAATATTTCATCTTGAAGATCAAAACAGAAATTGTATTCACATAACACTTTCCCATAAGTGTTTTTTATTTACATGACATCCATTATATTCTCTCCAAATAAGCAGATTTACTGCCATCAGCATGCTAGTGCTGCAAATAAATTTCAATAGAGTATATAGGAACAGGAAATAAGATCCCTGGAACTTGGCCATAGTTTGATTTGGTCTCTTGTTAGAAGTAACATTAATTTGAAAGAATAGATTGATTGCTGACTTGGGAGAAATATTGTACAGAGAAAAGTATGTGGGCAGTAATGTAGCATCAAATTTTGCTGAGTGTTCACTAAAACTAAAACTGTGTATACAAACATGTAGAATTTATTGCTTAATAATAGCAATTTTGCTCCATTCTTATACTGCTTTCAAATTATCTAAAGTCATTTGTATATGTTGTAAATGAAAAGCTTTTGAATTATTCTCTGTGTTTTACCGAGTAAATTAAACATACATGTAAGTTAAATTCCACAAGTTATCTCACTATTTTATAGGTAGTATATACAGTATTTTATAGGTAGTATGTAGTAGCCACTATACTGTATATATTTCAGAAAATAAAATATTCTCAGAAAAGAATCTGACACCTTAGGAGGCTTTGTATAAATTTAATTAATTGATTTATTTTTAATTTTAGAGAGGGTCTCTCTGTCACCCAGGCTGGAGTGCAGTGGTGCGATCTCAGCTCACTGCAACCTCCGCCTCCCAGGTTCAAGCGATTCAGTTGCTTGCCTCAGCCACCGGAGTAGTTGAAATTACAGGTGTGTGCCACACCACGCCCAGCTAATTCTTTTTTATTTTTAGTAGAGACAGGGTTCCACCATGTTGGCCAGGCTGATCTCAAATTCCTGTGATCTGCCCCCTTGGCCTCTCAAAGTGCTGGGATTAAAGGCATGAGCCAATGTGCCTGGCCTATTCTAATTTTTTAAATTGGAACGTTTGAAAGTTTCATTTAATAACAAACAACTAATTACTACAAATATACTCTTTAATCTACTACTTTGATTAAAATATATTATTGAAGGCAAAACAATGGTCTACCAAATGTGTTCATGTCCTGATATCTGAAACTTGTGAAATAGTTAAATTCTATGGCAAGAGGAATTAAGGTAACAGATGGAATTACATTGCTAATTAGGTGACTTTAAAACAGGGAGATTACCCTGGATTATCTGGTCATTCCAATCTAACCACAGGGGTCCTTACATGTGGAAGATGGAGCAGAAGCATGATGTCAGAGTGATGCCTATGTTATCAGAAAGACTCCACCAGCCTTTGGAAAGACTCTACTTGCCATTGTTGGTTTTGGAGAAGGAGGATGGCTAGGAACTAAAGAATGCTACCAACTGGAAAAGGCAAGAGAGTGGATTCCAGAAAATAATGCAACCCTGCCAACACCTTGATTTTAGTCCAGTGAGGCCCATTTATGATTTCTGACCCCTCCAGAAACATAAAATTTAAAAAATTCCATTATTTTAAGCCTCAAGTGGGGGTTATTTTTTACAGCAGCAATAAGAAACTCATACATACATGGAAATACGTGGTGAATAATTTTAAGGGGATGACTTTGATATTTCTTTGATATTGGTAAGATATACAAACAAAATTAATAAAGCAGTACCTCATTAGATATATCCTAAAAGGGAAGTACACATTCTGTGGGTGAGAAGCAATGAATAGTCTTAATATGTCATGAATCCAACCATAAATTAACACCAATTTTTATACAGCCTGTCTTAGTCCATTTTTGTCATAAAGGAATACTTAAGGTTGGATAACTTATGAAGAAAATAATTTTATTTGGTTTATGGTTCACCAGACTGTTCAGGAAGCATGGCATGGGCATCTGCTTAGCTTCTGGTGAGGGGCTCAAGCTGCTTTCACTCATGGCAAATACCTAAGGGGGCCAGCATGCAGAGATCACATGGCTAGTGAGGAAGTAAGAGAGAGAGGGAAGGAGGTAGGTGCCAGGCCATTTTTAACACCTAGCTGTCTCCTGAGAACTGTAATAATAGAGGGAGAACTCACTCATTGCCACAAGGACAGCACCAAGCCATTCATGAGGAGTCTGTCTCCATGACCTAAACACCTCTCAATAGGCTCTAAGTCCAAAAGTGGGGATCAAATTTCAACTTGCGATTTGCAGGACAAATATCCAAACTACAGCACAGACATACTAAAAATGGTAAGTAATGTTAATACCATAGCATCTTACTAATAAATTCTTCTCCAAATCCAGAGAACTAACTTCTTAGATCACATGTGTATTAATTTAAAAATCATAATTTTGGAACAAAAGCATGTTAGCCCTTTAAAAATTAAGACTCACAAAACCTACATTTATTCAACATATTTTATAGGGAAAATGCAGTCAGTTTTTAGTATGTTTGGTAAGTAGGTTTTCCCATAAATTGATACTTTTCCTTTTCTGAGAAGATTCTTTTTGTTTCAAACTTAATCCCGTTTTTGAGTTGCATATCTGA
Organism: Homo sapiens; assembly: GCF_000001405.40. Taxonomy (NCBI): domain Eukaryota; kingdom Metazoa; phylum Chordata; class Mammalia; order Primates; family Hominidae; genus Homo; species Homo sapiens. The sequence continues at coordinate 190,558,148 of NC_000001.11, read as the reverse complement.
CCTTTTGTATCATACATAGGAAGTGATCTTAAAGAAGTCTATATATTTATATTATAATGAGATAAGAGTGAAAATGTATCTTTTATTATTTTAATTTAGCAGTTTAGATTTTGGAAAAATTTTACAAAAAAAAGTTTTAGCACAAAATCTTTTTATTCACAGAAGTAGACTCGATTTATCACTAACTCAATTATGTCTGCATTAATAAAAAGTTGGACTCTTTTATTGGACAGTTTTTTTCAAACATATGCAAGAAATATAAACAGATTGGACTGATGACCTACAAAATTTTAGAACTGGTCCAAATATAGATTAATCATACAAAATTCTAAGATTAATAACAAAGATTTAACACGGAAGGTGTTTCACAAGTTCCTTTAAATCCTAAGCAAAGCAGTTAGTTACTGGTCTGCATTCTACACAAGGTTACCCTATGGTCATCCAAAGGACAAAATATAAATGGGATTGGAATATATTCAATTTTGGCAGGAATGCCATCTGGAGCATAAAGCAACAAATGAAATGCAGTTAAATAAACAAATTAAAAAGATTGAGCCCATGGAATAAAAATTTTTTAAATTGTGGAAAATTGGGTGGATACCAATATGATTATATCTAAATTTATTCTAAATGCACATGATATTAGTAGTCTGGGACTAATAAATACTACTATTAATTTATTCATTTAATGTTAAAATGGACAAAAATGTACAGTCTTTATGAACTTAATTTCACTTACGTACAAAATAATACTTTTTAAAATATCTTCAGCATTTCTAATTCAACAAGTTATGGAGGAATAAAGTAAGAATATGACAGGAGAAAATTAAAAAATCATGCTTGATATTCTCTTTAACAGATCTTTCTTTTGGCAATTATCCTGTACTCTAATTGTTTTGGGCAGTGTGTAACATTTATGAAGAAAGAAATAAAGGCACTTTCTACTGATGAAAGCATACAATTGTCTGACAACCATTTATAAGAAGATCATAAGTTTTAGAAATAAAGAGAAAAATTGTTTGATAGGTTTGAAATAAATAATACAAATACAGATGCACTCTGTGGCCGGTTTAAAGATTTACACCTTCATGGAGAAAAAAAGTGTACTACAGCATGCTAAAATCTTGGAGAGTCTCCATGTCTAGCAATAACTCTGCTTTTGTTAAGCATGGGGAAATTCACCAGCATTTCACTTGTCTACATTACTGAAACCAAAAAAAAGAAGCAAAGAAGTCATACCTGTGTAGTTTGGAGGAACATAACAACAATAAAAACCACACCATTCTGAAACCAGGAAAGCAAATCAAATACAATGATCATTTTTCTGTTTACCATCATGGGTCTTCTTACTCTGTTTTTGTTTTAGTTCTCATGGAAAGGGTATTTTATACACTCAAGAACTTCCCTAGAATCTCTTTGATAACAAATAAAATGAACTAAAATAAAAGCTCTAAAAATATATGACTGATTTGGATGTGCTCAGAGAAATCACATCAGGCATTTTCAGACAGATGTGAATAGCTATACCATGTATTCCTCAACGTCATCATTATTTATTTAATCTATTTATATAAAGCTATCTGTTTTTTCTTTTGTTATTATACTTTAAGCTCTGGTGTACATGTGCAGAACCTGCAGTTTTGTTACATAGGTATACACGTAACATGGTGGTTTGCTGCACCCATCAACCCCTCACCTACCTCAGGTATTTCTCCTAATGTTATCCCTCCCTTAGACCCCCACCCCCAGAAAGGCCCCAGTGTGTGATGATCCCCTCCCTATGTCCATGTGTTCTCATTGTTCAACTCTCACTTACGAGTGAGAACATGTGGTGTTCGGTTTTCTGTTCTTGTGATAGTTTGCTGAGAATGATGGTTTCCAGCTTCATCCATGTCCCTGCAAAAGACACAAACTCATCTTTTTATGGCTGCATAGTATTCCATGGAGTATATGTGCCACATTTTCTTTATCCAGTCTATTATTGATGGACATTTGGGTCGGTTCCAAGTCTTTGCTATTGGGAATAGTGCCGCAATAAACATACGTGTGTCTGGGTCTTTATAGTAGTATGATTTATAAACCTTTGGGTATATACTCAGTAATGGGATTGCTGGATCAAATGGTATTTCTAGTTCTAGATCCTTGAGCAATCACCACACTGCCTTCCACAATGGTTGAACTAATTGACACTCCCACCAACAGTGTAAAAGCTTTCCTATTTCTCCACATCCTGTCCAGCATCTTTTGTGTCCTGACTTTTTAATGATCACCATTCTAACAGGCGTGAGATGGTATCTCATTGTGGTTCTGATTTGCATTTCTCTAATGACCAGTGATGATGGGCATTTTTTATATGTCTGTTGGTTGCATAAATATCTTCCTTTGAGAAGTGTCTGTTCATATCCTTTGCCCACTTTTTGATGTGGTGGTTTGTTTTTTTCTTGTAAATTTGTTAAAGCGCTTTGTAAATTCTGGATATTAGCCCTTTGTCAGATGGATAGATTGCAAAAATTTTCCCCCATTCTGTAGGTTGCCTGTTCACTGTGATGATAGTTTATTTTGCTGTGCAGAAGCTCTTTAGTTTAATTAGATCCCTTTTGTCAATTTTGGCTTTTGTTGCCATTGCTTTTGGTGTTTTAGACATGAAGTCTTTGCCCATGCCTACATCTGGAATGATATTGCCCAGGTTTTCTTCTAGGATTTTTATGGTCCTAGGTCTCACATTGAAGTCTTTGATCCATCTTGAGTTGATTTTTGTATAAGATGTAAGGAAGGGGTCCAGTTTCAGTTTTCTGCACATGGCTAGCCAGTTTTCCCAACACCGTTTATTAAATAGGGAATCTTTTCCTCATTGCTTGTGTCAGGTTTGTCAAAGATCAGATGGTTGTAGATGTGTGGCATTATTTCTGAGACCTCTGTTCTGCTCCATTGGTTTATATGTCTGTTTTGGTACCAGTACCATGCTGTTTTGGTTACTGTAGCCTTATAGTGTAGTTTGAAGTCAGGTAGCATGATGCCTCCAGCTTTGTTCTTCTTGCCCAGGATTGTCTTGGCTTTGTGGGCTCTTTTTTGGTTCCATAAGAAGGTTAAAGTAGTTTTTTCCAACTCTGTGAAGAAAGTCATTGGTAGCTTGATGGAGATAGCATTGAATCTATAAATTACTTTGGGAAGTATGGCCATTTTTCTCCCTCTCTTAACCCTCTCTTATTCGTCACATTCAGATATTCATTCAGTAAATCCTTAATCAGTGATGACTGAGTGTCAGATCAGCTCCCAAAAACTGGGGCTACAACAGTAAATAGAATGGCCAAATATCATTGCTTACATAAAAAAGGAGTTTACATTTTAGTGAGGATAAACAAGAAAAAAATATGAAAATATGTAGTAAGTTAGATTGTGTTAGAGGTGTAAGAAGCAAGTCAAGGAGAATAGGGAGTATTGGGGTGGGCAGAAAAGCTTCAGTTTTACCCATTGTAATCAGTGAAGGCCTCAGTTAGAAGGTACAATTTGATTATCACTACAAAACTTAACGACTTAAAGCAACAATTATTGTATTAAGTTCAATTTCTGTAAGTAAGGAATTAGGGAAGGGCTCGGCTGGGCAGTTTTGACTTCAAGTCTCTTACACAGTTGCAATCAGATGGTGGCTAGGTAGGAGCATGTCATCTCACTTCACGTCATCACAGGCTTTTCTATGTGATTTCTGCATCTGCTATTTGGAGATATTTAGAGCATGGCTGTCTCACCATGGCCCACATGGAGGGTCAAGCCTCTAGGGCAAGTATTCCAAGAGAGAAGTAGATGCCACAAAGTCTTTTATTACCTTATCTTGGAAATCATATAGAGTCTCTTTTCCCATGGACACAAACTTATCTAGGTTTAAGAGGAGTGAAGGTAGACCCATATTCTTAATGTGAGGAATCTGAAAGTCCCACTCTGAGAAAAGCATGTGTGATGTTATATGCTGTTGTTGCCATTGTGCAATATATAGTTTGCCACATCTTAGTGACATGGCCTTTCCTCTTTTAAAATACCTGGACTTGAAAAGGAATTTAAAATTTGCATCTTTATTTTCTTATACAAAAGATTATGATAATAACATTTCAACTCCATAGGGTTTTCTTGAGAACTGGCATGTATAAGCAGTTAATAGGTAATAACTATTTTTGGATATTTTACTATGTAACAGAAATTATAAATTCAACATAATTAATGTTTATATATTATATATTAAGTCATATTTATTCTCTACTTATTTGGGTCATGTATTATATATTTAATTATTTGATGGAACATACACTCAGATTAACAGTTATATAGAAATCTTACACACATATTATTTGATCATTTGTGCAACAAATATTTATTGAGCATCTAATTTGTGTCTTATACAATTGTTTCATATCTGAAAAAGTAGTAGTAGTAAAGAATGAAACAGTTCCTGTCATAATATATGATGGAATTTGCATAGTAATAAAGTAGGAATATGTAATTTACTGGGATAAATATCTACTCAAAATTGAACCAAATTTTATTCAAATTTAGAATAGCTTATCTTTCTCTTTCAAATTTCAGAAATTTTGGAATAAATGCTTTATTAAAATATCCCACAATCTATTAAACCAATATACCCCAAAAAGCCACCTCAAATTTATGTCCAGGAGAAACTACATTGGTGAATATTATTGTGTTTCATGTCTGTCTGAAGTCAGACAATCTGTTCTTCCCTTATATATATTTTTTTGTCTCTTTCAACATAACAGAGGTTTAGCTCTACGTATGCTAGAGTTTCCTTTCCTAGCTAGACTCATTTTCCCAGCCTTCTTCACAGATCGATGCAAATGTATTACTAGTTCTAGTCAATGAAATTTGAGAGGAAATAGGCCTTGAAGCAATTTGACATGTGCTCTTGTGTTTTTCCTCTTTCTACTTGCTGAGAGATGAGATGGCAAAAATCGCAGATGCTTTTATGAACCCTCAAACAGGCGCCGTATGTTAAAGAAGAGACACTGATCCGCCATGGAATACCTAAATCTAATAGTAACATCAGAAATAAACCTATATTTTTGCCACTATATTTAGGGAGTCTCTGTTAGAGCAGTAAAGCCATTCAATTAATACCAGATGAACACAAGGGAGAAAGTTTACTTTGTTGCTCCCAAATCCCCAAGGTCTAAGTCTTCAAATTGGAATAACTACAAGAGAATGAGCATTGTGAACAATAAAATATATAATGATAGTGTTAGGTTCTAACTCACAAATAAAATAAGTATTCATGAGTATACATATATAATAAGTATATATCAAAGCCTATCTGATATAAATAAATAAGGAAGGAAAACAGAAGAAATTGGGAAAAGAAGCCAGCCTTCCTTTAGGTAGAATTTTAATTTAAAAATGTAGAAGGAATGATGGAAATAGAAAATCACTATTAACTAACACCACAGCAATAATTATTGCAAGCAAGAACAATCAATGATTGCTAAAATTAGCAGGTAAAACATGATGAGAAAAATGATATTTGCATAGTTTCAAAGTATCTTCTCACAAGATACTAATTTGTATTAAGGGAAAAATAGTAATTACAGTGAAGAAACCTGGCAGGCACCACCTTAATCAAGTGATAAACTCATCAACATCGGTAATAAAGTATACTGACATCATGCACATCCAGATATAATGCACTAAGAAGGGAATAACCTAATTTTATTGACATTCTTGCCCAAACTGCACAACCTCAGTCTAATCATGTGAAATCAGACAAAACCCAAATTGAGAGACAGTTTGCCAAAAGAACTGATTAGTACCCTTCAAAATAGTCTGTCATCAAAGACACACAAAGACTGACAAGCTGTCACAGAGTGAAAAAGACTGAAGATATGTGATAACTAAATGGAAACCCGAGCCAAAAAAAAAGTTTGTTGAGTAGTTAATAGCATTATATTAATGTTACTTTCATAATTTCTGTAACTATACTATGATACGTAATGTGATAAAAATAGGAGATGAGTAAATGGTTATGAGAATGCTACTATTTATTAAATTGTGGGATGTGGGGTAAACCTAAAATTATTTCAAACTAAAAAGTGAAAAAGTAAAAGAAAGACTGTAACTGTGCATGTCAAGTATTCATTAAAACAGCCTCACCATTTCCTCGGATTGACTAAACTTCAGTAAGAATTCTTCTTAGCTTTAGGATCCTAGCCTCTCTATTCTTAGTGCATTTAATTTAGAAAACTTTTCATTGTAAATTCTTGCTCTTCTTCTTTGAGATGTAAATCTCCCAGCCTCCTGCCAGTTTTACAACAGTTTAACAACTTGAGAATGTCTTTCTCAAGGACCTGGTAGCCATGTCTTTGAAATATAATTATAAAAGGAAATAGTGCCTCTGTTTCTCAGTCTCTGTGGGAGGATAGAAGCCTAACTTCCAAAAGGGACAATTAACAAACACAGATGGCCTAATCACATTGACTAATTTTTCCCTAAAGTACTTCAGCACTCTTCATCTAGCTCACATCAGTGCTTTAAAACTCAGCTGGCTTTCTGTTCCATAACTGGGAGCTAAATGATGAGAACACACGGACACATGGAGGGGAATAACACACACTGGGGACTTTCTAAGGGTGGAGGGTGAGAGGAGGGAAAAGATCAGACAAAATAAATAATTAGATACTAGACTTAATAACCGAGTGATGAAATAATCTGTACAACAAAATCATATGAGACAAGTTTACCTGTGTAACAAACCTGCACTTGTACCCCTGAACTTAAAATTAAATAAATAAATAATACGTAACATAAACAAACAAACAAAAACTGTGCTGCCTTTTATTTCAGGGGATTTGTACTGTCCCCCATTGCAATAGTCTTGAATAAAGCCTTCCTTTCCTATTATTGTCAGTGCAATTATCCTTTGATTGTATTGAAAATTACCAATGTCTCATTTTACATAACAATTGTTTCGTAAAAATTTAAGATTTAAAGAAACAAAGTTAATTAACCTGATAAGTAAATCATACGTTGTTTTAAAATTAAAATAGGTGATGAGGCTTTTACTCTATCTAATTTGTTTTTTAGGATTATTGCTGTGGAAGAATAGGCTCCTGGGACTTCTGTATGTTTCAACATTCACAACCCATATATATTTGGATTTTGGAGTCAACCGTTTCAGATAGTCCCCTACACATTGTTGTCAGGAGGAGGAGAAAGAGTATAGACAAATTGAAATCTTGCTCAATCATCGTTATTAACTGAGGAATGTTATTTAATGTTTGTAAACCCAGTTTTATTGATACCTAAGCAGAAAGCATAATGCTTATGTTGTAAAATCATTTGAGAATTAAATTATTTAAGTAAAGTAAAAACTCCACAAGGCCAATTATGTATTAAACATTTCATTTAATGACACTACTCTTCTTTTCTTATTAAAACTATTAGAGGAAAATCAAGAAACTTAGTAAATGCCTTTCAGTAATTGCTACTGCTACTGAAATGGGTTTTTAGAAATGTTTTTATCAGCTAACTTTAGATTACATCTTAATTAATTAGACTTTTTATTAAAATAATAGGAAATACAATAAATTATCATGCAGCTAATGGAATAAATATGGTAAATGGTACTTATTTGTCAACATAAAACAAAATTGTACATTTAATGATTAACCTTTTAGAAAAAATAAAACAGTAGTGAAACAAACAATAGCTTTTCAAGATGCAAAATACTTGTTTCATGATTAGCTATTCTTAAATGAGTGCTTCTTTAATAACTTCCACCACTATGCACTATTTCAATATGAAGCTCTTTCAAAGGTGACTACAGCAGTAGTAACTTATAAACAAATTCGTGACTTGACTTTTTTGTGAGGTAACTGATGTTTCAAGGAATAACATGACTTAAAAGGAGAAAGTACATTATATAGAGCATATTGGTTCCCTTACATGTTTATGGTTGTTGGAAATAAGAAAGATGACATTAAGTGAAATTAATGTGAGCAATAATAGGAATCTACTTGTGTATAGAATTAAATTTTTTTATTTCTAAGTTATCATCATAGAAGTTTTCCTTCAATTATATTTACATAATCATTTTCTTATAGAATTTGTGTCTAATAGAATAATGGTTGCATACAAAAAAGCCATGAGAAAAGTAAATCACCTAATTTCTAAGGCTATATTTCTAAAATGAATTTTCTTTATATAATAAAGCACATAAAATCTAAAAAGTTTATCAGTCGAAGGAATATTTTGTGTGTGTGTGTGTGTGCACGCGTGTGTACTAGTAACACTCATGAGTGTGTGGTCAGATTATTTCCATTCTTGAATATTGGTAAACTTCATTACAAATCTTGCTCAAGTCTGAACGAAGTTCAAATTTTAATATTCTTAGTACAGCAGGGGCAGATAGGAATCTCAAAAATCTTTTCAGGATAACTGGAATGAAAGTAGAATACAAAGAACATAAGTTCTTTGTAAAAGAACGGAGTTCAGATTGAATCAGGGAAGAATGGTTTCTACAGCTTTCTGGTCCATTCCCCATGACATCCCAGGGGAAAAAAAGCATGTAGATAGCCCTGTAATGGTCCTTCACTTTCTAATTTTCAGCTTAGCTCTTGGTAATGAATACCAGCTCTATTCCAGAGTGTCTTTCTTTACCCCTTGATCTCTCCGTTGTTTAAATGATGAGAAAATATAATTTTATCCCATCAATTTACAATTGTAACCCACTTCTTCTCATTTTCACATGAAAGCCCTCATCTTCTTCCAGATAAATGACCCCAGAAATTATAAAGATCCATCTATATAGTTGAATGGCATAGAATTATACTAAAACAGCATTAAAATTATGCAATACTATAACAAAATTGGTATGCCTAGAGCAATGTTGGGGGAGGCAGGGATTCCTTCCCATTGTTTCTACCATTTCACTAATATAAAAACATTCTGTGCTCCTATGTTTATTATTGGTAATATATTGTATAGATTTAATGAAATATCATATTTGAGTATTATCTATGAAAATGAAATAAGATTATTTGCTAGCCACTTATTAAAGAGTTAGTATTTGCCCTGTAAAATGATAAACATTTTAATGCAATGTCAACTTACAGATCTATCAGTGGTGTCCAATAAAACTCTCTGTGATGATGGCGTGTTCTATATCTGCACTGTCCAATATGGAGCTGTTAACCACATGTGAATATTAAGCACCAGAAATTTGGATAGTGCAATTGAGAACCTTAATCTTTTATTTAAATTTAATAAAATTTAAATAGCCACTTAGGGTTAGGTGCTATAGTCTTATACACTATAGGCAAGATTATCTTATGGGGTTCAATTATAATTCTCATTCTGAAACTCTTTCACAGTTTTACATCTGTTTTTCTACCTTTAAAAAACATTCTGTTTGCTAACTGCAGAACAAAATAACTTGTCCGTAGAGGTTCAGCTAAGCAGATAATTATAAGTGAACAGTCAGACCAATTGTTTATTTTACCAATATGAGGATAGAAAATAAATTATACATTTTTATATCCGGGGCTATTTATTTAAAGAAAGGCTAAGTGACCTACTTTTGATTTGCATATTGGGATGGGTGAACTTCCACATAATTGTTTTACTAGAACTTTTTACATGATAGTTCATAACATAACTATGGAATCTGAATTTGTCAGTACTTTGAATTTATCCAGTTTTATCTTATTGAGAAGTAACTTGAAGTCTGGATGAATAGTTATAATTACTACAATCAATAGCTCAAAGGACTTACAAATAACAAGTCATAAATACTCTATTACTTTATGTGCTACTAGAAAAACTAATTTTAAAAACCCAAAGTAACAAAATCATTCTGAATAGGATGATGTGCTCTACATAGTCAATATTCTGCTTAAGATCAATTGCTGATAGAATATTAAAAATGTAGAAATTGACTTTAAATTCACATTAAAGTGAAATTTCTGCTTAGCCAGCACTGTTCTTAAAGTCATCAAGTGAGTGCTAAGCAGAAAAGTGGAATTATTTCAGTCTTTTTCCATCAGAAACATGACAATTTTATTTTCTCCTCAGCATAAAGTAAAATGATGCATTTTACCACAACTTTCTCTTAATTCTTCACATTTACACAATACAAAGCAAAAGTAAAAGGTAAAAGTTCTCTCCTGGTCCAACCTACTTCTCTAGTTAATTCAATAGTTACCATTACCCTTTTCTATTTTCTTCGTTTAATTAAATTATGTACTGTATAAATCTCAATCTACAAAATATAAAGTGTGCTATTTTTCCACAACTGAGTAACATTCTAATTCTGCCAGGCTGGTGAATCCTTACTTTTAATTGGTTCCATATTCCGGGCTGAGTCTCTTTACCCACTGTCAAAGATCTGGCAAGATACATTCTCTACTCCTAATTCCCACTGGGCCCATTAGGCCACCTATTTCTCTGCCTTCAGTTTGATGACCCCACTGGATGCATGGGTGCCACACAGTTGCCCCTTGCCACGCTGGACCATGGGAATGCTGTGCAACATCCTAGCACTCTATTGTCCAGTACAGGAGCCATTCACTGCATATGGCTGTGGAGCACTTGAAATATACCTAATTAGAGTTGAACTTTGTCATAAGTATAAAATACACAGCAAGTTTTAAACCTCTATTCTCAGCTTTCAAAATCTTCTTGGTATTCTGCTGTTTATTCCTGGGATTTTCAGTTTGGGGATTAGGTAGGGGCAGACAGCTTCTTCTCACAGAGACACTGTTTATGAATTGATAGTTTTGGGAGAGGAACATGAAAAGTTTTTACAGTTCCCTTGATGAAGTTTCTTAGATATTTTATCTGGGTCAGATTTCTTTCTATTGCCAAAATAGACTAGGATTTTGAAAATCATAAGCACATACATACAGGTAGCTTTTTTCTCTATATTCTGCCATATGCTCTTTCCCCTAATGAGAGAATGATCATATTGAATGCATGGGAAAAGGTGTAATGGGAGTCAGAAATAACATACCAAGGAAATAAAACAGTTAACTTTTTCAAAGCACTAAGCACATTAACATCAACAAAAAATGATTTATAATGAGGGGAAAATATGGGATGTTTATATGACATTATCTTGTTAAATTAACAAAAGGGAAAACTATAAAAAACAAAGACTATATATATATTTTTTCCAAATAATATTTAATATTTCATATGCACTGGTACTCATTCAGCACCTTTTTATGTAATCATATACTATCGACACCTTTCTAAAAACATCACCTATAGATCCATGTTTGTTCTTTTTAACTGCTATATTTATTCCATGTTATATAAGCAACATACTGAATGGTAGCAATATTTTACAAGCAAATACACATTGTTTCCATATTTATTGCAATTAGTGTAACAAATTTATTGTACCAATGATATGACACATATGTTTGAGTAGACAACGATTATTGTAATAGTCTCTTCTGAACAATATGAATTTGGATATAATGGGATTGGGAAATTGATTTCAATCATTTTTTTATCTTGAACTGGGATACATTCCCAAAATTCCTCTGGTCCAAATATCTTGTGTGGCATAGATTGGTAAGAAGTGTATTAACTACTTAGGAGATTGTTGCAATTACTGCCACCTTTTGGAAGTAGCCAACCACAGGTCCCAGAAATGTTCTCATCAATACTTAATCCAGAATTCACAACTTCTACCAGATGGCATAAAACATATCACAGGTTGAATTTAGAGAGATTTGGATTGGGCATCTGGATCACCAAAACTAACCTGATAGCTATGAATGTTAACTATGTTAATTAACTTTCTTGATATCACTTATTGTGTTCAGATGGAGTTTCACTTTGTGTCTGTAAGACATATTTGTAGAAATGAGATTTTAGGGTAAATGTGTGAACACAAATTAAATTTTGATAGATTCTGGCAAACTTCTCTAAATATATGTATAAATAATATATTTGCTCACTAAACTTAATTCCTCCTCCTATTCTGCACGTAACTATATTTCTCAGTTTCCTTTGCATTGATCAGGCCATGTCACTGGTTTCTTACTAAAGGAAATGCAGACAACAGGGATATGCATCACTTCCACAGAGGATCCCCCATTATCTTTACAGCTGGAAAGGACTCCAAGGTCATGAGTAAAGCGGAGCTACAAGAAGGAAGGATCCTGGACTGGAAAAACCCATGGATAAGGCCACATGCTGATTGGATTTTATGTAAATAAATACTATTCTATTTTATTAAACTGCTGAGATTTTTGGAGTTGTTACAGAAGTTAGCCTTTTGAAACAATGTAATGAATTTTCCACAACATTTTATTGGACTTCCTTCCATCAGGTGATGATAATGAGCTAGAAACTTAGCTAGGAAAGCACTTACCTCATCATCTTAGCTTTCCCAGTGGGAATAGTACCGCTGAGTTCCCCAACAAGACTTAAAACAAGGGATTCAGACAATGCATCCAGAGAGAGAGAAATGGAGAGAGAGCAAGAGAGACTTAGCTTTTTAAATGTCCTCAACCTGTCAATTTTCTGCACATATTTGAAAGTATTAGATATTACCAATTAAAAAACAGTTTTGATATGCTGATGAGAATTTTGTTTAATGTTTCAATTAGATCTTTTTTTTCTAATAAGATTAAGCATTTTTCATATGTTGTTACTCAATTTTTCCAGTGGATTACTTTTGATAGTCTGTAAAATTTTTTAATGTTTATTCACTTTCATTCATTTATTCAACTAAGATGTAGGAAGCACCCAATTTTTTCCGAGTAATTTGCTAGAGACCGAAGATGTAGGGATCGGCAGCTACAGATATATTCCTTATTCACATGGAGTTTGCTGTCAAATGAAGAAACAGGAGAAACGACTTAATAATTGCATTTCTACAGTAAAGATTTCCTGGCCTGGCGCAGTGGTTCACGTCTGTAATCCTAGCACTTCGGGAGGCTGAGGCAGGTGGATCACATGAAGTCAGGAGTTTGAGATCAGCCTGGCCCGTCTCTACTAAAAATACAGAAATTAACTGGATGTGGTGGCACATGCCTGCAATTCCAGCACGCATGAGGCTGAAGCTCAAGGATCGCTTGAACCCAGTAGAAGAGGCTGGAGTCCACTAAGATTCTGATATGATATTCTCACTTATTTGCCTATTCATTCATCTTGTTACTATCCTGACTAGAATAAGATATCTGTAAAAGCAGGAGCCTTGTCTGTTTTGGTCACCACTATATCTCCAACATAAATAATAATGCTTAGTATAGAGATTAGTACACACTAGTAAATATTTTTTTGAATGAGAGGAGTCTCACTCTGTTGCCCAGGCTGCAGTGAAGTAGCACTGTGATCAGTGATCTTTCATTTTTTTTAATAAATTGAAGGTCGTGGCAACCCTGCATCTAGCATAAGGCTTCACTTTTTCAACAGTATGTGCTCTTTGTGTCTTTGTCATATTTTGGCAATTCTCACAATATTTCAAGCTTTTTCATTATTATGATGATAAGGTAATTATTTTCTGTTAAGACAGAATTTCACACTGTCACCCAGGCTGGAGTGCAGTGGCCTTGTGTTCAGTGATCTTTGATGTTACTCTTGTAATTATTTGAAGCACCACCAACAAGAAGGCAAACTTAATAAATGTGTGTATTCTGACTACTCCAAGGACCAGCCCTTCCCTCATCTCTCTCCATCTCCTCAGGAATACCTAAACCCTGAGACACAGCAATACTAAAATTAGGTCAATTAATAACCTTAAGATGGTCTGTAAGTGCTCATGTGAAAGGAAGAGTCACATATCTCTCACTTTAAATCAAAAGCTGGAAATAAGCTAAGTGAGGAAGGCATGTTGAAAGCCAAAATAAGCCAAAAGTGAGGCCTCTTATGCCAAACAGTTAGCCAAGTTGTGAATGCAAAGGAAAAGAAAAGTGTGCTACTACAGTGGACACACAAATGATGAGAAAAAAACAATAAAATACTTAAGAATATACCTAACCAAGGAGGAGAAAGATCTCTACGAGGAAAACTACAAAACACTGCTGAAAGAAATCATAGATGACACAAACAAATGGAAACACATCCCGTGTTCACGAATAGGTAGAATCAATATTGTGAAAAGGACCACACTGCCAAAAGCCACGTACAAATTCAACGCAGTTCCCATCAAAATATCACCATCATTCTTCACAGAACTACAAAAAGGAATCCTAAAATTCATATGGAATGAAAAAAGAGCCCACATAGCTAAAGCAAGACTAAGTAAGAAAAACAAATCTGGAGGCATCACATTACCTGATTTCAAACTATACTATAAGACCATAGTCACCAAAACAGCATGGTACTGGCATAAAAATTGGCACATAGACCAATGGAACAGAATACAGAACCCAGAAATAAACCCAAACTCTTACAGCCAATGATCTTTGACAAAGCAAACACAAACTTAAAGTGGGGAAAGGACACCCTATTAAACAAATGGTGCTAGGATAATTGGCAAGTCACATGTAGGAGAATGAAACTGGATCTTCATCTCTCACCTTACATAAAAATCAACTCAAAATGAATCAATTCAAAATAAATTGCAGACCTGAAACTATAAAAATTCTAGAAGATAACATTGGAAAAACCCTTCTAAACGTTGTCTTAGGCAAGGATTTCATGACCAAGAACCCCAAAGCAAATGCAATAAAAACAAAGACAGGCCGGGTGTGTTGGTCCACTCCTGTAATCCCAGCACTTTGGAAGGCTGAGGTGGGTGGATCACCTGAGGTCAGGAGTTCAAGATAAGCCTGGTCAACATGGGGAAACCTTGTCTCTACTAAAAATACAAAAATTAGCTGGGTATGGTGGTGCACTGCTGTAATCCAGCTACTGGGGAAGGCTGAGACAAGAGAATCACGTGTACCTGGGAGGCAGAGGTTGCAGTGAGCTGAGAATACGCCACTGCACTCCAGCTGCGTGACAGAACAAGACTCCGTCTCAAAAAAAAGATAAATAGCTGAGACTTAATTAAACTAAATAGCATGGCAGAAGGAACAGTCATCAGAGTAAACAGACAACTCACAGAGTGGGAGAAAATCTTCACAATCTATACAACTGACATAGGACTAATATGCAGAATCTACAATGAACTCAAACAAATTAGCAAGAAAAAAGCAAAAAATACCATTGAAAAGTGGGCTAAAGATATGAATAGACAATTCTCAAAAGAAGATATATAAATAGCCAAAAAACGTGTGTAAAAATGCTCAACACCACTAATGATCCGGGAAATGCAAATCAAAGCCACAATGCAGTACCACCTTACTCCTGCAAGAATAGTCATAAAAAAAAAAATAGATGTTAATGTGAATCTCATGAACAGGGAACACTTCTACACTGCTGGTGGAAATGTAAACTAGTATAACTGCTATGGAAAACAATGTGGAGATTCCTTAAAGAACTAAGAGTAGAACTACCATTTGATCCGGCAATACCACTACTGGGTATCTACCCAGAGGAAAAGAAGTCCTTATACGGGAAAGATACCTGCACATGCATCTTTATAGCAGCACAGTTTGCAACTGCAAAAATGTGGAATCAACACCAGTGCCATCAATCAACAAGTGGATAAAGAAACTGTGATGTATATAACTGTGATATCTATATGTATCTATATATCTGTCTATCTATATATAGATAGATATAAATCACAGTTATATACCACAGTTATATACCAAAGAAACTGTGGTGTGTGTATGTGTGTGTGTGTGTGTGTGTGTGTGTGTGTGTATATATATATATATATATATATATATATATATATATATATATATATATATATATATATATAATCATAGAATACTACTCATCCATAAAAAGGAATGAATTTATGGCATTTACAGCGACCTGGATGAGACTGGAGACTATTATCCTAAGTGAAGTAACTCAGGAATGGAAAAAGAAACATTGTATGTTCTCACTCATGTGGAAGCTAAGCTATGAGGATGCAAAGGCATAAGAAAGACAGATAACTTTGGGGACTCAGAGAGAAAGGGTGGGAAGGGAGTGAGGGATAAAAGACCACAAATTGGATGCAGTGTAAACTGCTGGGGCAATGGGTGCACCAAAATCTCACAAATCACCACTGAAGAAATTACTCATCTCACCAAATACTGTCTGTTCCCCAATAACCTATGGAAATTAAAAAAAATAAAATAAACTTAATTGAACAGTTTGTATCAGGTTGCCCCAAATTTATCTTAATTTGTACCTTTCAAGTGGTTTGTATTAATTATACTAATATTGCACATTAAATAAAAATGTAAGTATTTACCCTATCTATAGTATATAAAACCTTATTATAACACAAAATGTATGTATAAACAGATCATTCTTGAAAACAAGCTGGCAATATTTACCTCTCAAAAATATTTAGATCCCCACCATACTTTCCTCTCACATAACACAGTCACATATTATAGATGTGTACATTTATTTTATGTACACAATCTCACTGAAAACAAATGTAACTTTCAAATAAAGAATAGAAATATTTACAGATTTCATTACCTAGCCTCTTTCTATGTAATGTATCATATTAGTTCTATTTGGAACAAAGCCTGCTTGAAAAGCTGAACTATACCATTTTACTGCAACAGACTTATTAGGCCTGTGGATGGGAATGATAAAGTGTGTGATAAAAAGGATTTAGTAAGTTTCTGGGCAAAAGGATGACTGGCTATACAACGCACTGATATCACCTACCAGCTCTCTCATGCACTACTATCCAAATGTACTGGGAGAAACATATCACTGGCCATACTGACAGGTGCTATAAAGCTAAGCTGCCCTTTACTAGTGAATAAAAATAAGCCAAAGTGAAGAATAGAAGTGAATTTTTTAAAGTAAAGTATTTTTCATGAGAACATTTGAAATTCATATTTGTTTTAACAAGTCAAATTACAAAGAATGTAATCTATATTCAATTTGTAGGCTGAAAGACTTCAGGAGGACAAATATTTAAAATAAATTTGTTGTGTTTACTGGGGGTACTATTATATTTTTTTTTAAGAAACATCCAAAATAAACTTACATAGCACAAACTTTCTTGTGAGATAGCTTAGTATGAGCCACTGAGCAGTTACTTTCCCTGTATTAAAGCCTGTGCCTATGGGATACGAAACATCTAAGTTTAAAATATTTCCTGTCTAATTATTCCAAATAGGGGTTTGGCAATACATAATTAAAATTTTTAGCTTCTCAAATTAACCTTATATGAGGCTTATAATTATACAATTATATAGTCATTGTGTTGAGGGGATGCACATGTTAAATGTTAAATTTGTTAGATTTTTTTTTAAGTGAAAATAAGTTTATTAAGTAAGTATACCTTACTTAGCCAAAAGAGTGGCTAGTTTATAGACAGAGCAGTGGCATAGGCTGGTGGCCTGAATATACCTATTATTATTTCTTTATTATATGCCAAACAAAGGGTAGATTATTAATGCATTTCCCAGGAAAGGGGCAGGGATTTCCTGGAACTGAGGGTTCCTCCCCTTTTAGACCATATAGGGTAACTTCTGGATGTTGCCATGACATTTGTAAACTGTCATGGAACTGGTGGGAGTGTCTTTTATCATGTTAATACATGTATAATGAGCAGAGAGGACAACCAGAGTTCACTTATTGAATAGGAGAATGGAGTGGTGAAATAATGAGAAAGAAATTATAGTTAATGTTAGAGATCCCAGGTTTCATTTATTTCACAGTGCCAGATGAGGGTTTGAAATACTCTTCACCACTGGAAGTATGAAACTGTCTCTAAGCAGTTTATTTAAAATGGAGGCAAGATTGATTTTTATTTAAGTCAATATTTTCCAGAAATTGATGGATATTGGTCATTATAACAGTCATTCAAAAGTTCTGCTACAATCAAACAAATGAATGTAGAAAACCAATATTAACCTAAACAAAGAAGTAATTTAAATAAATATAGGCAAAGAGAAGTGCAATTTGTGAGAGATGCAAGGATCCTTAGATAACTAGCCAGAGAGATAATGGTAGGAGTTATGTAAGTTCCAAGGCCGGATATTCACACTATCGATCAGAACTCGGTCCAGATTTCATTTGAAAGGGAAGGACACTCAGACCATTGTAGTGATAAGTCTTGCTACTTCAAGATTTTGAACTCCTAAAATGTCTGGAAAAATTTTTAAAAAACATTGTTATCTTATTTTAGGGAAATGTGGTGTTTGTGTGTGTGTGTGTGTGTTGCTCAATTTCTAAATACAAAGCATGACGCTATATCTATGAATAAAATTAAAAATTTGATTAATGTTGAGGTCAATTTGCTAGTGGATTGTTCTGAAAAATCAGGGTGTTAAACTTATAAAACTAGGACGTGCAAATGACACTGACTAAAAGTTGTGAAATAAAAAAGCTCCTTAGTTTTTAACTGTAATTTTAGAATCATAACTTTTAACATGAAACTTTATTAAGAATTTTTTTTATGTCTAAAATTCAGGGGAGTACAAATAAACTCTTAGTTTTAAAAATATCTTCTTAATTGAAAACTCATTTAATTGTCACAAGACAAAAGTGCTTTTAAAATCATTATATATTTACCCATGCTCATTTTTTAAAAATCTCAGTAAAAATGTTCTAATAATATGCGAAACTTAAAGAGAGTGAGCTGTAAAGCCTTTCCATGGGAAACACAAAGTTTCAGTCTTTATCCTAGAATCAGTAGTTTTGATCTGTTTTTTGAGTCTCAGAGTCTAGAGGCTTAGCCAAGAGTCAGTTGGATCAAAGCCTGTCTCCCTGAACTATGTCAAAAAGAGAATGGTTAATTGTGTTTACTATGAATGGGGAAGAAAGACACCAATAGTATATCTCAAACTAATGAATATGAAATCTCTACGTTAACATAGTGAGAAAAGACATCTTTCTATACATTATTTTAATGAAAGCACTTTAATACATGAAAACAAAGGATAAGTATGATTGGAGTTCTGTGAGTTTATTAGAATTAAAGTAGAAAATGGTTGTATGTACGCATACATTAAGAATGCTGTTCAAGCTAAGAAGTATCTTTTTATAAAAACTCAGAATATTTTTCTAATAAAATGTTCAATTAAATCATTGAAAGGTTCACCTGCAGTTACGAATAAAATGTTTAATGTAAAATAATGAAATATATCTTTCATGATACATATATAAATACATAGTACATAATTATTTTATATTTATATTTTGCTTAATAGCTAATATTTTATTTAAAATTTTTGTATTTACAATAAATGCCATTTCCTTCTAGTTTAATCAGCAATAAATACCACATAATGCATAATGCTTACATTTAAGTAGTTTTTATTCACAACCCTAGTGGTTTTCCAGAGAATATCATTCCATGGAAATAAGTGAAGCAATTGGTTTCTGTTTATTAATCCACTTCAGATGTCAGAAAAACATAACAGCAAACACAATACATTTGCACTTTAATCAATGATTAATGCTGATATTTCTGTTATATTCAGTTGACTTGTCTTTCTAACAAATATATGCAAATATATAATAACGATTTGCATGAAAGTCTAAATTAAATCACTAGGGACTTAAATTAAAATAGCAAATTATGTTTATTCATTTATTCAATCAAAATTTATTGACCTCATACTGTGTCAGATCCTAGAATAAAATGTCTGTCAAGATAGCTAATGTTTTAACACTTTGAAAATTTTATTGTGCCAGTTTTTAAATAGTCTCATAACTGTCTTAGGTCAATCTATAGAGATTATAATATTTTCAGACTGGATTCTGAATAAACCATTACAGGCTTTGTTTACTTTGTTTTGATCAAATGTCACATTTGGGAAATATTCAGTACTGTTCTCTTACTTTTTTTTCTCCATCAGATTTTTGTTTTAGAAAATATTTTTATTTTTATTCATATGATTATTTTTCTCTTTAAATTACTTTAGCATGGCAAAATTTACATTCCTTTTAATTCACTCATTTTAATTGTTCATTTCAATGAGACTTAATAAATATATTCAATTAGATGACCATCTCCACATCCCAGTTTAGATTATTCTCTTCACTCCAAGGATCAGTCATGATCCCTAACCCCAGACCACTACTAATCTAATTATATTTTTATAATTTTTTCTTCTCATGAAATTTTGTAGATTTGGAATCATGCAACAAGTAGTTATGTGTCTGGCCCTTTTTTGAGGTTTATTCACATTGTTGCATGTATATAGTGTTTTCCTTTGTATTTCACAGTAGTATTTTATTTTATTTCAGTAATGATTCATGGTTTTATTTATGCAGAAATTGAATTTCCATTGCTAAAAGTTTTTGTTCATCTTGATATTATTGTGAAAGAAATCATTTCTTAGCTTCACTTTTCAAAACTGTAAATAGTCTATAAAATTATAGTTGATTTTTATATAATAATCATGTATCTCATGTCCTTGTTAAACATTATTATAGGAAGGTGATAGATAACCCCTCCTAAATCCTTAGGAATCTCAGATATGATCATACCATCATTGAATAAAGACAGTTTTATGTCATCCTTTCCCACCTGTATGCCTTTAATTTCTCTTCTGGGTCTCACTGCATTGTCTCGGACTGCCTATAAAATATAATTGCCCCATGACCAATACAGGAGTTAGTGCCACCAACTCCCTCCTAAGCAGGCAAAAATCCATGTATAACTTTTGACTCACCAAAAACTGAACTGCTACTAGCCTGTGATGACCTGAAACCCTACGAAAAACATGAACAGTTAATGCTTAAATAGATTAAAATCTGCATGTATTTTAGGCGTTCATGACATGCCTAACTTTTCCTAATTTTTTTCAACATCTCTAGACTATGTGGCTCATCTGTAAGTTTTTTCAAACTGTAAAAAAACTCCCCAAAATTTTCCAATGTATTTGTGGGAAAAAATTATCCTATATGTGGACCTACACAGTTCAAACCCATGTGTTCAGGAATCAACTGTATTGATCAGCAGTGCAAAGAGTGAACGTCTGTGCTCTTTTTCCAGTCTTAGGTGCAAATTATTCAGACCTATATCATTAAGTATGAAGGAAGCTGTATGTTTTTCATAGATGCTGTATATTAGGTTAATGATTGCCCATGATATTCTTAGTTTGTTGACCCATTTAAAAATGAATGGATGCTGAATTTTATCCAATGGTTCTTCTACATTTATTGGGATGATCTTATGGTATTTTTCTTTTATTCTTTTAATCTTGTGGGTTTTAATAACTAATTTTAAATCTTCAAACAACCTTACATTTCTGAAATAAAACACATTTGCTCATGATACATGACTATTTTATATTTTTCTAAATAGTTAATATTTAATTTAATTTTTTTATTTTTACAAGAAATGCTATTTCATAGTTTCCTTTCTATGTTTTTATCTCATTTGGTATCAGGGAAACATGGGACTTATAAAGTGAGTAGAGAAACATTTCCACCTTCTCCATTTTCTGTAAGAGTCTGTGTGGACATGTATAATTTATTTCTTAGAATTTTGATAGAATTCACATGTTGAAACCATTTGGGCTTGAACTTGTTTAGGGGAAGATTTTTCTTTACTAAATCCGTTTCTTCCATTAATGTAAGTTTAATAAGACTTTCATTTACCTAAAAAGTTCACAAGGATTATTTGTGTGTTGCTAGAAATTTGTGTACTTCATTGACATAATGTTATTAATAATAATACCATCTAATCTTTTTAATTGTTCCAAAATCTGTAGTGAGGAAACCTCTCTCATTTCTGATTTTTGTAACTTCTGTGTGTGTGTGTGTGTGTGTGTGTGTGTGTGTGTGTTTCTTTTCTCTGTCACTAATAGGTCTGATAGGTTATCCATTTTTTATCTTTTGAAATAATTAATTTTGGTTTCATTAATTTTTTTGTTATTTGATCTCATTTATTTTTATTCTGATATTCTATCCCCACACACTTTTTTCTGTTTGTGTTTGATTTGACATATGCCTCGTTTTCTAGATATTTAAGGTAGAAGAAACTTAGATTAGTAGTTTTAAAGTAGATTGATTGCTACTTTTCATTTTCAATCAAATCAAAATATTTTCTGATTTTCTTTGTGACTTGTGTTATTTTATTTCTATATACTTGGAGATTTCCTAGATTTTATTCTGCTGGTAGTTTCTGATTAAAATCCAATGAAATTACATAATATACTTTGCACAATTTTAATAATTTTAAATGCAATAAGATTTTTTGACTTAGTATTTGGCTTATCCTAGACAATGTGCCATATGCACTTGATAAAAATGTGTATTCAGCTGCAGCTGGTTAGAGTTTTGTACCTTTCAGTTCAATTTAATTGATAATGTTAAGTAAGTATTCCATATACCTACTGATTTTCTGTCAAGATGGTCTATCAATTACTAAGAAAGCACTATTGAAATCCTCAATTATATTTAAATTTTAATTTCTCTTTCCAATTCTGCAGAGTGTGTGTGTGTGTGTGTGTGTGTGTGTGTGTGTACTTAATGTATTTGGGAGTTCTTTTAAGAGCAAATACATGTATAAATGTTGTGTCTTCCTGTTGTATTCAACCTTTTTAAAATAAAATGTCCCTCTTGGACTCTAGTAATATTCTTTTTCTTAGAATCTTTTATGTCTAATGATAACATAGCTACTCCATCTCTTTTATAGTTGTTGCCTGCTATGTCATTTATTTTAAATCTAATTGTGTCTTTGAATATAAAAATATTTTATATAGCGAGCATATAGCTACATCAATTTTTTCTTCATTTTTTTCATCCAGTCTGGAAACTGATGGCCTTTGATTAGTATTTAGTCTGCACATTTAATGCAACTATATGTTTGGATTTGGGTTTGTCATTATGCTATTTGATTTTTTAAATGTTTATATTTCTTATCTTTTTCATATTTCTATTCCTTCTTTACAAACCTTTTCTTTGTTAAATAAATATTTTTAGCTTATCATTTTAAGTTCTCTGTTTTTATGAGTTATTTTTTGTTGCACTAAAATTACAATAAGCATCTTTAATACAATTTTTTATAAAACATAGCAACTACACACTAGTATTATTCTATTCCCCTTCTTTTTGCTCTTATATACATGTATAATGCACCTAAATTCTTCATAAACCCAGGAATTTAGTGATATAATTATTGATTGGGTCAATATTATGATTCTTTTTACTAAATTAATAGAAGACTGAAAAAATTGTACACATACACATGTAGTCCACATATAATATATTTGCCAAAATATTACTATTTCTGGCATTGATTGTCCCTGTAGATCAGTTACTACATCTGATCCGTTTTCTTTTATTATTAGTCCTTCCTTTAGTATTTCTTGTGGGGGGAAAGTCTGCTGGAAACATATTTGCTGAGTATTTTATTCGTCTGAGAAGAATTTTATTTCACCTTTTTACTTGAAGAATCCTAGGATATTTCTGCTGGATAAAGAATTATTGGTTGAATTGATTATCTTTAAACCTTTTAAATATGTAATTCCACTGTCCTGCTTTTTTTCTTTTTCTAAGAAGCCAGCTGTTTTTAATCACGTTGTTCCGTACACTATGAGTTACAATCTTTGGCTTATTTCTCTTTGGCTTTCAGCTGCTTTACTATCATGTCTTTGTGCGATTCATTTTGTGTTTGTTGAACTTCTTTGATTAGTGGGTTATTTTACATAAAATTTAATAAGTATTGGATCACTATTTTCTCAAATTTTCTATCATTTTTCATATCTCCTCTCCTTTCGGGACTTCCATTAAGTGTATGTTGGAATGATTGATTGTGTTCCATAGGTCATTGAGTCCCTTTTAACTTTGATTTAAGCTCTCTTTTCTATATTTTGGATTAGATAATTTCTATTAATATATTTTCAAATTCACAGATTTTTTTCTTTATCATTTCAAGTCTGTTGTTGAGTATAATTAGTGAATGTTTTTCATTTTAGTTGCTATATTTTTAATCTACAGGATTCCATTTGGTTCTTTATTATAGTTTGTATTTTTCAATTGAATTTCCCTGTTTGTTCATTGTTCACATAGTTTCTTTACTTCGTAGATATATTCATAATAACTTCTATGAAGTCAGTTTTTGCTAAATGGAACACCCAGAACTCCTCATGGTCAGTTTATTGTGACCATTTTCCCCCTAAGTATGGATCACACTTTCTTATGGCACTTCATGTCTACTAATTTTGTATTAAAATATAACATTTTTAATAATATAGTATGGAAACTCTGAATTAAAAAAATGTTTTTCTGAAGGTTGCTGTTTTATTTAATCAAGTTGCCAGTACTTAAACAGTAGCATCTGTCCCTCTCATTGTGTTTAGACACTTATTGAACTGTATAGCATTTTTTCAACCTATTGTAAATTTTTAAAAAGTCTGTCTTCCTAAAGGATGCTTCTGTATCTGAATAGCTTATTGGTCAGGCAATGACTGGAATAGATATTGTGCTCAAAAACCTTAAGCACATAAAGGCTTCGCCCTCTGCCAATCAATTAGTTTTTGGATTGAGGAACACGTTCAAAGTTGTGACCAGCTTTCAAGATTTCCTTGTCTTTCACTTTTCTCCAGGTTATCTAATGTCTCAACTGCCTAAAAAAAGTTTCTTACTCAGCCAGGAATGTATGGAGAAATTTGCTTATGCCTTCGATAGCTCTCTCTTTTCTAAACTCTCCTATTTAATGTTATGGTTATAGTTGAATCAATTCAGCTAGCAAAGCTACAGTTATGCAGCATCCTTTCTTAATGACTCTACCACTTGCCGCTGACAAAAATTTGGGCTTCCCTTTGTCAGTCCAAATCAAGTGTGTTTCCCTCTAAAAAGAAAGCTGCTAAAGCTTTTCATTACCATCCTCCTGCTGGAAGAGAAAAATTCTTACCAATGAGATAGAGAGACAGGGAAGGGAACAATCACAGATTCACATCTATAGGTTTTCTTTTTCCATTCTGATACCACAATCCATACAAGTAGTTATTTATAAATATATTTTAAATAACTCTTCAATGTATGGTCTGCTATTGAATTTTTACATAATATCCCATTACTAATCAAAAGCTGTGTTAGCTCTTATCTCTTTGAATATGAGCACAGTTATACTCTATAGCCATAATAAAGTCATTTTGATGAAATAACAATAATCTGTCCAAAGTTGCCTCTTATTGAAAGTAAAAAAAATGTTGGGGAATAAACAAAATATAAAGATAGATATTATATATTATGCAGAGTAATCTGCATTTTTCTAATGAAAAGTAAACATGGTACATCTATAGGGAAAAAAATGTTAGTGATTAAAGTTACTCACAGTGTGTTACATTAGGTGATGTATAAAGAGAAACTCCAAGGAAAGGAAAGGATATTCAAAGACTAGAATCAGACTGACTGTGAGCTCCTCAAGTTCCCATTAAATAGCCAAAAAATGTCACCAAATCAGAGTTTTTATTTTTTAAGTTGGCATATTTGGGGGAATTATGACAAAGGAGGCAGTTGCATTTAATTGGAATAAAATGCTGAGCAGGGGCAGTGAGGAGGGTGCAGCTTTACTGTAGAGAAGGAAGAACAGCTCATTTAAATAGTCTTAATTAAATGAAAAACAAAACTGTGATTTCTGACAGGTAAGAATTCAATCAATCTGTGATAACCAGCAGGGCCAAAAGAAACAGGAACATATATTCAAGGTAGAGAAATGCCCACAAGAAGTCTAACCATGGAGAGCAGCGTTACCCTATATCACCAGCATACCCCTGAGAGAAACCAATGCATGACGAATTCAGTCATTCTGTCTTCGGATATATTCATATGTTTTCTCTATTTAAATCACATTCTAGATTTCTATATATAGATGAAGAATTAACTATGAGGGTTTGAAATGTATTCTTTATTCCTATGAAAAAACGACTTTTTAGGAATTTCCTAAAATATCTTTCAGAAAATAAACTTTTCAGTTTATGCTATCATACATATAATAGCTTCATGTGTCAACAATTCAAATCAATGACAAATATTTATTAACTCATTAGAAAAATAGAAAGAAAATGGACCCATCTTTTAAATTTCATATTAAACAATGAAATTTTATGTCCTATGCATAAGTGGTTAAAAAATATTATTTTAACTGGTCAAATATCTAAAAAGATTGCCAATTGTTAGGCTACTCCTAAGATAAAAATGAAAGATAACATAAAATTTATTTTGTCTTACTAAATAAATAAATAAATATAAGTAAACATCACTGAGAAAATTAGATATCCTTATAGAAAGAAATTATAATAGATACCTTCTTGACAAAAATTATATTTTGATTTAATCTATATGAAAATTCCGTAACTAATTATGATTGTCGGATTTATTTTTTGTTTTGTTTTGAGACAGGGTCTTGTTCTGTCACCCAGGCTGGAGGGCAGTGATGCAATCACAGCTCACTGCAGCCTCAATATTTCAGACACAAGCAATCCTCCTACGTCAGCCTCCTGAGTAGCTGGAACTAGAGGTGCACACCACCAGACATGGTTAATTTTTTAATTTCTTGTAGACATGGCATTTCACCACATTGCCCAGGCGGGTCTCAAACTCCTGGACCCAAGTGATTCACCCACCTCGGCCTTCCAAAGTGGTGGGCCCTTAGAGTTATTTATCCCTAGCCCTTAGAGTTATTTATGCATATATATGAATTTGCCGTAATGAAAAGGAAAAGTGAAAAAAGTCAGAAGTTTTGCATAATGGTGATTACATTTTAGGAAAGGGATTTGAATGTATTAATGCATACATGTTATGCTAATTCTTACACTGATAAATACTTGCATGCTATTATTTTTTAGCTACAATTGTATTCCACATATTCTTTTGTAGGAGTATATTCAACATAAAATAAAGAAATAGAAAAAATTAAAAACAGACAATTAAAGACAGTTAATGGATTCAATTTTTGTCAGTGTGAATTGAAAATATCCTTGGAGAATGCAATTGTTCTGTACCAGCATTTGGCTATTTCAGTCTAAAAAACTCTGGCACTAAATTTCCCTTTCTCATTTAGCATCATTCACTTCCCAAACAGGTCTTGGCTCTCATTCTACCTTGGGGCTGGCATTATGACTGTGTTGACTATATCTTGAGACTCCATCTATGTATGTCTGGCTCTCTTTTTGTCCAGAGTGGCTGGCACAGCCTTTTCTGTACTCCTTGATTTCTTATTTTTTCTGACCTGAATCTTTTAAAGTGATCCTCTTTTAGGGTTAGACCCTTCAAATTCAGGAACTCTTTTTTTTTTTTTTTTTTCCTAACAGTTCGTGGTCAGGGTTGCCTCTGACTTTGAATGATGACTCTTGGGATTGTGGAAACATTTTTCACAATTGCACCCTACCTGACACTAGAAATGTATAACTCATTATTTTCTTAGTGTCTTTTATTTTAGTGCGTTGTTGACTTTATTCCAAAAATTATACAAACTACTATTAGGCCTTGCCTATAATTGTTTCTGTCTTACTTAATTGCCTTTGTCTTGTTGCTTATTTTCTATGGTAGTGCTAAATCATTGGTATGTTTAAATGCTAAAGTAACTTACCAAGAAATTACCTGTAAATAAGCCATTGCTTAGAGACCAGCTTAGACATGTCTTTGAATTCTTAACTATGCAATCATAATTGTATTGGCCCTACAATTATTCCAAAAAGCAAAATGTGCCCTCAATTCTTTTGACACAATTTTGCATTAATTCTTATTGAATAGAACTCTTTTCACATCAAGATCTCTTAGTTATATTTTTCAAAATGGGGTATAAGTCTCTTGAGGACAGAAGTAACACCTCACCTATTTTTTATAACAATTCTTTACAGCTACCTATTACCTCAGTATCTAGCATTGGGCTAGATTGTCTTCCTCCGTTTAAAAAAAAAACAATGTTAGGTCAGGTATGGTGGTTCAGGCCTGTAATCCCAGCACATTGGGAGGCTGGCACAGGATTGCTTGAGCCCAGGAATTTGTGACCAGCCTGGGTAATAGAATGAGATCCCATGTCTACAACATTGTTTTAAACAACTCAGGTATAGTGGTAAGCTGCTGTAGTCCCATCTAATCAGGAAGCTGATGTGAGGGGATAGCTTGACTCCAGGAGGTCAAGGCTGAAGTAAACAGTGACTGCACCACTGTACTCCAGCATGTGTGACAGAACGGGACCTTGTCTCAAAAAAGAAAGAAAAAAAGGCAAAAGACAACGTTAATTATGTCTTCACTAAATATCTAGAGCAAGAGCAAGATCATGTAGGTACATAGATCACACAGGTACATAGATTCCTCCTGTTTATCAGACTGAAACTTCATGGGCTTTTCATGTTTTTCTCTCAAGAAAAAAATTAAACTTTGAAACCAACTTGGTGAACTTTGGAGACCAAAAATTATGGTATCCAAAGGTCTATTAAAAAAAATAGTGCTATTTGGTTACACCTAATTTATATCAAGAAAATCCTACCAATTAACTCTAGATTTCTAAGAGTTCAATTATTTTAGTAAATTGTAGTCTCACCGATGTCTGAAGTGAATAAATATCTACCCATATTTGCCATCTAATATCATTATTCCTGCTTATTCTTGCAAAGGCATTACCATGTTATTCAAGATCTCCTCAGACAAATAGCATTTAGGTAGTGATGCTTTATTGCTGCTGTTCACTATTTGGTGGTCTCTACATGAAAAGAGTGAAAAGAAGCACAAACTAAAATTAATAGCTTTAATTATAATTAGATATAAACATAACTGCAATAATAATTTTATTTCCAACTTCTAACAGGCTCTTAAGTACATCCATCTAAATTTTATTAATCAATCCCTAACAAATTTACATAGTATAGCTTAGAATGTATTTAGACAGGTAAGTGTGGTTTATACGTCAATTAATTAATTAAAGGTGTTTACCTGTATTAGTTCTCTCTGAAGAACTGCTCTACGTGGAACGAGTGGTCTATATTTTGCAACACTTTTGGTTTTCTATAACTCGGAACTTTGTGAAAATGACAGTAGAATCTTCTAAAAACTACTAACCCCACAATCTGGAATTTTTTAAAAATGTATATTGTCAGCAATGACATTCGATACAACATGGAATACCATTACTATCAGCTATGTGAAAAGCTATAAATGATTTCTGCTGACATTGTCCATGCCCCACCAAAATACCCTCCAATCACGCTTAACTTTCAGAGCATTTATTCCTCTGCTTTGGTGTGCTTTTGTTTCTACAACCTGAGCATCTTCAGGGCCTGTCCCTGGGCTTCAAAGTACCAAGGAGTTTTGGTTTCTCCTGAGTATCCTTTAACCAATGAATCCCTTATATTTCACAGTTTTCCAGCAGGAAAAAGGGGCTTTGTTTGGAATCCAGCACTTGCCCAACTTCTTTCTTGTTCAGTTTTCCCTATATCCTTACCCATTTTTCTTAGGATCACTTATGTGTAAGCCATAGGAACAGTCATGGGCTCATCTGAGTTTGCTTTTTAGGAAATGGGTGATGACATTTAATCACTGTGTTTCCACCCCAATCTCATTTTGAATTCTAATTCCCAATATTGAAGGAGGGGCCTGGTGCGAGGTGTTTGGATTTTGGAGGTGGTTTCTAATGGTTTAGCACCATTCCCCTAGTGTTGTCTCCTGATAGAGTTCTCAAGAAATCTGGTTGTTGGAAAGTGTACGGCACCTCCCCCTTCACTCTCTCTTCCTCCTGCTTCAGCCATGTAAGACGTGCCGGCTTCTCCTTCACCTTCTGTAATGATTCTAAGTTTCCTAAGGCTTCCCCAGCCATGCTTGCTATACAGCTTGTGGAACTGTGAGTCAATCAAACCTCTTTATTTAAAAATTACCCAGTCTCAGGAAGTTCTTTATAACAGCGCAAGAACGAATGAACTATTATGATTGCTTCTAATGCATATGCACTGTGATGGTGTATAAACTCAATTAAACCTCACCTAGAATCTCAGGATCACCCACAGTCAGGGAATTAAAGAGCTAGCATAAAACTTTCATATAAATGTAACCTTCCACTGTAAATCTGACTTACCTCTGTTCAGTATGCTGAGTATCCGTTCCCTTTTTAGATATCTTCATTATTTCATCATTCATCAGGGATACTTGAACAAAGACAAATATTGAGTATAGAATCTACAAGTGTTTGTATTATTCAAAGCTTGTTTTTCCAACTATGTTGGACCAAGTGCTTGAAGACTGCTTTCTCAGTAGCTGGATGACAATCATACCATGATTCTCTAACTCTGTCCAGAAGACTCCATGTCTCTACACTTTTGCCTAAACACTGCTTTACCACGCTTAGTTTGTTTTCTGTTTAACAGTGGTGTGGAGGTTGTGAGTCTCTTTTTTGAGGAAATATTTTCCTGGATTTAGTCATGGCAGAAAACAGATCCTCCCCACTCTTTGGGACCATATCACTTCTCTTATAATGGCCATAAACATCTTCCTGGCAGCCTCTGCTCATGAATATTTTTTTCTGAACACATAATATTCAATATTTGACGTTACAATAACACTGTACTTTCAGACTATCACAGCATTATCATACCCATTATTTTATCATCATTACCAAATTAATTTTATTCACATGTAACCCTAATTTCCTTTTAGAAAAAAGTCTGTATAGTCGATCTAGGAGAATGGTCATAGTCATTGGTTTGCCTTACAAATTTGAATACTATTTCATTCACTTCCATTTCATACACTTAAGATAATTATGTGAAGTTCTACTTGCTTAAACTTGCTTGTTGACTATGAAATGTGGTTGAAGTTCTGAATCAAATTCTGTTTCCATAAGATCATTTTCAATCCAGCTCCCCTTTAGCTCTTTTCTCTTCCCTCTTATTCTGTCACTTCACATTTCATTACTCAATTAATTTCATAGCATATGACAAAGAATATAAACAAGTATTAATAACATAAATGTTTAGAAAGATGTATATCATCATGTTCAAGATAATCAGAAATCAAAATATGTCCTCATTTTCATTGTGTTTAGTCAAGTCATTAACAAGCTGTGAGGTGTTTGAGGTTTTACCACCGGTATATAGGATTGTCTCAAATATATAATTTAAGAGAAAAAGGGCTCTGGAGATAAGATGCTGAATGAAAAAAAATCCAGAATAAAAAATTTATGAGACAAAGTTCAATAATTAGACATATGTATTTAAAGATTCTTTAGTTCTTTCTGCTGGAAGAGAAGTATAAATCCTGATGAGTTTTCAGTGATTTATTTACATGTACACTTACGTTTATTACACCAAGAAGTTCAAAACCTACTTGAAGTGGCTTACAAGTTTTTTAAGGTAGAACCACCAAAATTAACATAACAAGAGTCTGTTTGATAATAATGGATATAGATGTATCAGAAACATAAAACAAGTTAGTTAGTTAGCTTATGTTCCCAATATTATAGTGATGTGATCTTTTTAAATTAGAAACCTATTGAGAACACTGATAGCTTTAAATAAAATTTTTAAGCACATAAAGATAATTTTTTCACATGGTCCAAATCACTTCTGAGGATTATTTTATGTGGCAGATATTTTTACATATATATTTGAACAGTTGTCCAGAGTAGATAATAGATTATTGGAGAAAAATGAATCAAGTTTCAAAATTTTATTATGTCCCATGTCCCATTCCTCTACCTACCATACACTGTCCAATACACACACACACACACACACACACACACGTGCATGTACACACATACATCATGGTTGAAATATACTTCTTAATTTTCATGTCTAGCTTTTAATAGCTTTAAAAAGAGAATATACTTTGCAAAATTATAATTTAAAAATCAAAGGATAGCCTGCAAAGCTTTCAGAAAGTAAATATGAGAGAAATATCTGGCTCCTGTACTTAGCTAAGTTGCCAAATAGACTAGAGTATAAAAATCATTTTGAAATAACTTTTGAGCTACTGGCTGCATAACATATTGTCAATAAGAAGTATGGAAGTTCCATTTTTGGCCTTTGTTTTCTATTTATTTACATTCCTTATAAGTATATATAAAATAAAATTTTTAATAAATGTCAATGTAAAAATGAAAATCACTTATTCTTCAAATTCTTATCCTATTATAATAAAATCATTTAAAAATCATGAGTAAAATTAAAATTGAAAGCCACCAAACAGGCTTCAGTCACACAGCTTATAAAGCAGTAAGATTTGACATATATGGAGCTCCCACAATGGTGTAAATGTTGAAATACAGGTAATAGCTTGTGGAGAGGTTTTCCTTATTTTTGTTTTTCTTGCTCATTTAATAAGATCATTGATTAAAATGTCTTATATTTGGTAGTATAAATAACTCTAAAAAATGGAACTAAAATAGCACTTCATCAACTTTTCCCTGATTATTTACTCAGTTAAAAACACTAAGATAGAACATATGGTGAAGAAAACCCTTGTTCTTAAGAGTTAAAAGACAAGTAGGGAGATCCATATATCAATGAATATACTTGTGAAAAATAACTAACTTTCTCACATGCCAAAGTTTTAATGTTGCCCTTTATGAGAGAAATTGAAAAATGTCAATGGTGTTCCTAATGGAAGAAACTGAAAAACATAAAACTTTTGTCAGATGGAGGAAGCAGCTGGGGTAAGTAGAACTGCAGACAGAAAGATAGTGTGGGCAACATCAAACAGGGGAAAATTCACAGTTAACACACACTATAAATCCAACTCATCTAGAATCTAGGACATAGGGCTTTCATAGGATCCAAATCCTAAGGAAATGTGTATACAATATAGAAGCAATGCAAGGTTCCTTAGAAGAGCAGTGGCACCACTAGACTCGTATTTTGATATAACCACCTCTCTTCCCTACTGTTTACAGAATAGATATGAAGGTAGGGAGTAAGTAGTAGATAGAGCACAAAAGGCAAGTATCAATAAATTTTAAAAATTCTAGGAAGAAATAATGACTTGAATTAGATAATAGCTGAAGTCATGGAAAGAAATCTATACGTTATGGACATGTTTGCAAATATAATGAAAATTTTTTTCATGGATTGGGAAAGGTGGGAAATTATGCAGATATTAATGGTGCATGACACAAATATGATGGTAGCAAATATTTTAAAGTGTTGTTAAATAAATCAATTCCTTGCAGAGAATGTTAAGAAAGCCAAAAATATTGGAGGTTACTTTTATTTTAAAGATGATATATTTGAGATAGCACCTGCATATCATTAGTATATATCTAATGGAAGGTTACAATTATGGGAAAGAAGCTTAAAAAGTGAAAAGGCAGGGAAAAATAATGGGTGTCCATGACAATTCTACATGCCTCTGAATACATAGTCTCATTTATTTTTCAGGCAGCTTTGTAAGATAAGCATCACTATTTTATTGTTAGTATTGAGAAGCTTGAAATCCAAAGTAATTGATTTCTTTTTCCCTAAAGCATCAGAGACAGTAGCTGATAGAATCAAGTCTTCAAACAATCTCCAGTTAACAAAAAAGAGTATTTTCCCCGCCAGTATATTGACAGTGTGAAATAAGTCAATTTTTGAGTCATCTACCGAAGAAACAAAAATTAGGCCAGGCGTGGGGGCTCAAGCCTATAATCCCAGCACTTTGGGAGGCCGAGGCCTGCAGATCACGAGGTCAGGAGATCGAGACCATCCTGGCTAACACGGTGAAACCCCGTCTCCACTAAAAATACAAAAAAATTAGCCGGTTGTGGTGGCGGGCGACTGTAGGAGGCTGAGGCAGAAGAATGGGGTGAACCCAGGAGGCAGAGCTCGCAGTGAGCTGAGATCACGCTGCTGCACTCCAACCTGGGTGACAGAGACTCCGTCTCAAAAAAAAAAAAAGAAAAAAAAATTAAACTCATGGTAGTGAATGAAGTCACTTGTGAGTTGGTGAAAGAGCAATATAAGGAAATAGATGTTTATAAACTGTCATGACAGCTGGACAAATGGTTTCTAGGATGAACCATTAGAAATATACAAAAATGACTCAAAAGGAAAACTGCTGCATCTGAGGATGACACTAGATGTATGAGTTCAAAATCACAACTGCATTGCATGGCAAGGGGAATCAAGAAGCTTCTGCCATCAGATCACTACTAGAATTGCCTCTTGAAATGTGAGAAGTATTTCTTGAATTGATGCTACAGGTAGCCATTATATTTATAAAATATTACTTGCTGATAAATGTAAGAAGGAACAAAAAGAAATAAGAAAACAGAAAAAAAAAGTGTGTATAAAGGGGTGAAGAGAAATGTAAACCATGATGTAAAATAATAGCCTATCTAACCTTATTTACGTCTTCCAAATGTTGCAATCATGCATCCAAGTGACAGAACCTAATTGTTATCCAAACTGGTAGCTCTAAAGTAATTTGGACAACTTCTTTTAATAGGAGGAAGATGACACAGATGTTTAGTAAGCTAATCAATGACATCCTCCATCAAGAAAATAGGATGAGTACAGTCATGCTTGATTTAAAGCATAGTAGGAAAAAGAGATACCAGTGTCAATGACAGATAAAATATAGGCAGAAATCAAGAATGGGAATACCTATAATGCTGTTAAGGAAAGCTTCTTTCCCTCTTAAAAGTTACTAATTTAAGAACAAGAGATATATCTACATAGAATATGGTCACAATTTGTGGGGAAAATAAAAGATAAATACAACTGAAAAATATAGTTTTGTAAACACTTAGGTTACTACTGATTTAAGAAATGATTTCATTAGACTATTAAGGGCAGACTGTAGATTTTAGAAGAAGATTTAATGTTTTTAAGTAAGAAAAAAATAACATAATTCCAAACTAAAGAATTATGAAGGTATGGCATGTTTTTGTTTGAGAAACACCAGAGAATATTTCTAGCCAAAAGGAAAGTAGCTATTAGAGACCTCCAAAATGTTAATGAGTAGAACAATTGCTAAAGTAAGAGCCAAGAAATGGAGACAAATTTTAAATTAAAAAAAAGTTACAAAAGAAAAAAGAATTATTTGTGTTTGAATCATGATGAAGGTCAGAAAAACAAAATGAGTAATGAAATGATAAAATTTTTTAAATGTAAAAAAGACCATTTGAAAGACTTGATGTCTGATGGTGTTACTCTCAGAAGGGGAAGGTAGGTACTTTTGATAAAAATTGTGGGATTGCAGGTTTGAAGATTATATAAAGGGTAGAAGAAGCCAATGAAAGATACGTTAGAACAAAATACAAGATGCATTAAAAAAATTACCAATAGCCATTGAGTTGAGGCTTGATACAGTAGATGTAGAATGAGATATAATTTTATTTATTTCTCTCATAACATTGAGAATTGCAGATTGCGAAGAAAAATATTTGGGGAAACATAATTGACTCTTTGCATGGAAACACGTGTGAAGATGTGTACTGTATTTGAAAAAAAACTCAAGGACCAAATTAAAAATGATCATGCAAAACTGTAGGAATGAGTGAATGAAAAGCTTAGAAATAAGTAGATTTTTGCCAAAGAGTAAGCCAAGAGTTTGAGATCCTGGATGATAGCTGAGTCAAAGATATAATCATTCTAGTACATGGCTGAAATTACGTTTCAGGCAAATTG
Source organism: Homo sapiens (assembly GCF_000001405.40). NCBI lineage: Eukaryota > Metazoa > Chordata > Mammalia > Primates > Hominidae > Homo > Homo sapiens. The sequence goes on along the minus strand of NC_000001.11, from coordinate 190,522,563 downwards.
ACTATAGAAACATAATAACAACAATACTAGATTTATCACAATACATGTAACATTTATGAGGTGTAGATAGAAGAAAATTATAAAATTGATGTTAAAAATCTCTGGAAATTCATATAAAGTCATAGAGCTCAGTGGATATAAAAACTCACTTAGGGTAAAGCACGTGGGTGAACAACATCTTTCAGAGTAGTACATTTTAGAATCTAATTATAACATAGATATAACATTCTTAAATAAACAGATCGTGATTACTAGAAATTCTGTTTATCTTCATTGTTATACTGTCACTTTTCATTCAACATTATTAAGAAATCATTGTAGGAAAGAGAGTTTTGTGAACTACTACTAAAAATAGTGATAAGTCAGCCAATTAAATTCTAGAAATATGTTTCTACAATTTTTCTTTGAAATACTAAGATTGATTAGACATTTTAATATACACCTATTAAATTAGCTCTATCCTAACTTTCAAAATGAACACAAATCTTTCCACTGAAATTTCTCCAGTGTCTGGAAATAAATTTAATTTTTTATTGTTAATGTAATCATCTGTAGTTACTCTTCAAGTGGTTATAACATTATTTTAGACTGGTAATTCATAAAACTCTTAAGCGTATTAGAAAAGGAATTAAGATATTGTTCTATCTAGGTCACGTTCTTCAAATAAGGCTGTATCTAAATAACTATTTAGATGTTTCTAAATAGTCTAATATCTATCTAGTCTAATGTCTATGTAAAACAAAAACTTTTCCACTGCATTCAATCTATTCTATAAATAACAGAGATATATATTTGTGTATAAAATATATATGTATATTTATGTGTGCATAACATATATACACATATTTTATGTGTGTATAAAATATATACACATATTTTATATGTGTGTAGGATATGTATACATGTATACATTTGTGTATATGTGTATATGTCTTAAATATATGTTTATATATTTTATACACACACATGCATACACACACACACACACACACACACACATATACTTTAGCCTCTCCAGCAGCCATTTTGGATTATAGATATTTCTATGGCCCAAAATATGTATTTTAGAGAAAAAGATGGATAACTCTCTGATTTATTTTAGGAATCCACTTTTATCAGAACAAAGAGTATGTGTCTATTCGTATTTTTTAAACTGCCTCTGTTTCCCAGAACCCTGCTGCTACAATTAGAGGCTGAATACTTATGTAGAGTGGGAGAACCAGACTCTTTTTCACTACCAGTTCATAGCTAGACTAATCAGCTGTATGCCTGGAGTTTCTGGTTCATCTTCCCACTGAAGACTTGGATGCAGAATCACACTGTAGGTTATAGGGTTTATGATCTAACATGGTTGCTGGAGAGGCTGGATGAGACAATCTGAGAGGATGGTAAAATTGGGAGCTTATGGAAAAAACCTTGGAGAAGGAGAGGAAGGGCAAGTAGGAGCCAGGCAGATAAATATGCCTTAATCCATTTACTTTGTGCTGCAATGAGAAAGAGTTTCTCCTTGAAGATTTTTAGGAGAAGTCCCAAGTGTCCAGTAAGAGCTGTTGGAATAGCTTGCTCTATTTGTTTCAGACTTGTGTAAAATCAGTTGCTAACATGGCAATGCATTATTTCCATTGCAGCATAACTTTCTTGCCCCTATTGGTTTCCTTCTATTCTTATTACCTCATTTTTGCACCTTATAATAAGATACCCTTTCTTTGATTCTTTTCTTAGGTTCTTTTTTTTTTTTTTTTTTTTATGGAGGATTCAGGATAAGTCACCAGGGCTTAAAATAAGAGAAGAAGAAAAATGATAAGTTTAATGGATTTAAACACATAATCCCAAATTTTTCTTTTAATTTAAGCTATGGACAATTAAATACTCAAAAACAGCCAAAAAATGTATAGAGACTTGCAACATCACATACCAAAATCTAAGCCACTGTAATCAAATCATTATATTTTTGTATAGATATAAGAAAGATTACTCATAATCTAGGAATATATATTAATATATTTTAATTAATGATGAAGGTGGAATTTTAAGTGAAATTTAAAAAGTTTTAGTTGATACATGTGATTAGTGGGTGCCAATCAAGAAGAAAGTAAAGGCAAATTCCTATCTCACACTATAATTTTTGAAAAAATCCATAATTACTTACAGTATTAATAATTAAAATTTATAAGGACACCTAGGAGACTACATGTACAATATGAGGATAAGGAAGATCTTCCTATCTTACAAGCAATAAATAAAAAATAGATATTTATGCTATATTAAAAATCAAAATTTTTATGACAAGATTTGGAAATAATCCAACATAGATCATAAATAGCTAATATTCATAAAGCAGAGTTTAAAATAAAAATAAACATTTTGAAACATTTAAAAAACATTTTGAAACTTGAAAAGGAATATCAACATTTACAGAAAATATAAAATTTATTAACGGTTCAGTCTTGTGTTGCTTAATGACAGAGATATATTCTGAGAAATGCGTGGGTAGGCAATTTCTTTGTTGTGCGAACCTCATAGAGCGTCCTTACACAGACTTAGATGGTATAGCCTATCACACACCTAGGCTGTATACACCTGTTGCTCCTAGGCTACAGACCTTTACAAGCTGTTTTTTTTGTTTTGTTTTGTTTTGTTTGAGACAGAGTCTCGCTCTGTCACCCAGGCTGGAGTACAGTGGCGCGATCTCAGCTCATTGCAAGCTCCGCCTCCCGCGTTCATGCCATTCTCCTGCCTCAGGGACTCCCAAGTAGCTGGGACTACAGGCTCCCACCACCACTCCCGGCTAATTTTTTGCATTTTTAGTAGAGACGGGTTTCACCATATTAGGCAGGATTGTCTCGATTTCCTGACCTCATGATCTGCCCACCTCGGCCGCCCAAAGTGCTGGGATTACAGGCGTGAGCCACCGCACCCGGCCTACATCCTGTTATTGTACTGAATACTGCAGGCAATTGTAACACAAGGGTATTTGTGTATCTAAACATATATAAACATAGAAAAAGGAAGGCATAAACATTTAAAAACGGTACACCTGTATAGGGCACTTGGCAGAAATAAAGCTTGAAGGACTAGAAGTTGCCCTGGATGAATCAGTGAGTGAGTGGTGAGAGAATGTGAAGGCCTAGGACATTACTGTATATGACTGTAGACTGCATAAACACTGTACAGCTGGGTTATACTAAATTTATTTTTTATTTTTTTCTTCAAGAATAAATTAATCTTAGTGTACTATAAGTTTTTTTACTTTTATAAAGTTTATAACTTTTAAATTTTAAATTTTTGACTCTTTTGTAATATTTAGCTTAAAAATACAAACACATTGTACAGTTGTGTAAAACATTTCTTGCTGTGTATTCTAATTATAAAGCCTTTTTCTATTTTTAAAATTTGTTATTTATTTATTTACTTTCTAAACTTTTTTGTTAAAGACAAAGATGTGTATACACACATTATCCTAGGCCTCCACACAGTCAGCATCATCAATATCACTGAGTTTCACCTCTATATTTGTCCCACTGGAAGATCTTCAAGAGCAATAACACCCATGGAGTTGTCATCTTCTATGACAACAACAGAAGGAATCTTATATTATTTCTTTATAGAATACCTTTTGAAGGACCTGCCTGAGGCTGTTTTACAGTTAACTTTTTTTATATAAATAGAAGGAGTACACTCTAAAATAACACTAGCCTAGTAAATACATAAACCAGTAACATAGTTGTTTATTGTCATTACTAAGCATTGTGTGCTGTATATAATTGTATGTAATATACTTTTATAAGACTGACAATGCAAAAGATTTGTTTACACTAGCATCACAATGAACACATAATATGTTGCACTACACTGTTAGGATGGCTATGATGTCATCGGGTGATAGGAACTTTTCAGCTTCATTATAATCTTATGGGACTACCACAGTACGTGTGGTGCTTCATTACACCAAACGTTGTTATGTGGTACATGACTGTATATATGTGACAAGAAACTCGAATGTATTAGTAGCTAATAAAATGCAGTTTCCAAAATATCAGTACTCAGTATTTGCTTAGTATTAAGATTATGGTAAAAAAATACAAAGAGTAAATGGATCAACAAATATTATATATCAGTTTTTGTTAAGTGCTAAAATGAGGAAGAATTCAGAGTAAAGGCCATAGAATAATGAAGAGAGAAAAGTGATTTTTGGTTTTATATAAGGTGGTTCAGAAAGAGTCTCTTCAAGAAGGAAGTTTTAGTAGAGGTCTGAATAAAGACGGGTGAGTCAGGTAGATACCTGAGGGTGAGTCCCTCAGGCAGAACACTGCAAATGTAATAATGGAAGGCCCTGAAGTGCCAGCAAGCTTGATGAGTCCCAGGAGGGAGACCAGCACCTGAGACTGAAAAAGAGGTGAGAACAAGGATGGAGAAGAAACCAACTGATGTGGGCCTTGTAGACCATGGAAATGGGCCTTAAATTTAAGCTCTTGCAGGATTTTGAGCAAAAGAGAGTCAAAGTATAGCTTAGATTTTTTTTATTAAATGTAAAAAAGTAAATGAGAAAACAAGGTGTCAACTGTTACTATGTCCATATAAAAATGTACAAGAAAACAAGCTGAATCTCTCCAAACATGTGTGTTTGTATGAGCAAGGGAAAACGTATGGAAGGACACATACCAATATGCTAGTACTTGCTAAAATACATCTATGAGAGCTGTGTGGTCAGGATGGAATATTTCATCTATAGTTTACCTAGTATCAATTGTTACTGTGAAACTGCATTTTTTTATTTTAAAATCATTACTAAGGATAATTCTGAAGAAAGTGTAAATGTTTTATGCCATAATTATAATTGAAGGAGAAATACAATAAAGGACAAAATATTAAAAAGATAATTAATTCAGAATTGTGGCTGTAATTTGAAAGAATGACTTTTACAACTAAAAGCTAAAAAATTACATTTGTATTTTAAGTATTTATATAATGTTGATTACAGCTTATCAACTTTTAGAAATTATATTTTTGACCTCTAAAAATTAATATAAATCATGTTTAAAAATCTGAAATTGCAATTAGTCTAAAATTCTTGAGTTACTGAGATCAGTGGCAGAAAACTAACATTTTGTGTTTCTGTGACTTGCCAATTTTACATAATTTTTTTCTACCATAAGTAAAAAAGAATGATATTCATCTGTCTCATGGGATTGATACAAAGATTAATTAGATAATGTTTATAAAATGTTTTGAAGATTAAAAGTGCTAAGTATTATTATGCTTATTACTTCACCAGTGACTCATTTGTATTCCAAAAGGATATAATCTATTACTTGGCTAGCATTCAACATTTCAAATCATCAAGCCACTGAAAATAGCTTCAACTGTTTAGCAGACTGGGCCTAAAATAGTTTTCTAAAACAGTTTCTCACTAAATAATAAGATTTTTTTACTATATTTCACTCCATCTAATATTTCCCTAGAAGATTACTCAATCAGCTCTCAAGTACTCTAAATTATTTCTCCAGTGATTAATTCATTTTTTCTAATAAGTATTGCTTTGGAATAATGCCTATGGAAGCATAATTAAAACATTTGAAAGGATTTTCAAGGAAATCTGTGAATCTTAAAGTTAGCATATAATAAAATAATGAATTTGTTGATTACATTACTATACATATTTCAGGTAAGATCTTCAAACTTAATTCAGACAGACACTCTGTCTCCAATCCAAATGATAATCATATCTCAAAATAACCTCCCTCACTCATTTTTTTTTATTATTCAAATATATATCTTAATTCTATCTCAGGCATTCTTTCCTAGGTGGGGGGTTTTGACAATATTTTACAGCCTATATTAATGCTAAGAAACTGCACATTTGGAAATAATATTACAAAAATTATAAAAATAACAACATAGATAATGTTCAGTTGTCTTCCATGTTACAAAATGAAAAATAGGTGTAAAATTGATAATCCATTAATATCAGGTTAAAGGAAAAATTGAATAAATGTCAAAAATAAATCCAGATTCAAGATACTTTGATATTGTTTTCATCCAAAAATTACAAAGATTTATCATAACTGTGCTAGTTAAGGTGCACATTTTTCCTATTCCCCATTATCTAGCTTCCATTTTACATAGATGTGTGTGTGTGCTTTATTCTAATATTTTGTTCATTTCCAAGTTTTACAATTCAAAATATTATTCAAGCAGAGACATACTGATGATCTTTCCAATATTACCACCTTTTGGGTAACTCGTAACAATTTTGTCATGCCTTTAATTTAAAAAGACATTAAAGTTGTGTATACATTGTAACATGCATATCTGTTAAAGGAATATTTGTTCACCAACAAATATCATTTCTTCTCTCATCATGTTTCACTATCAGATTTGTTCAGCGATGTTTATAGAACTAATATTAATACATTTGGGATGCAATATACTTTGCTTTGACATTATGCAGTAAATAAATATATAGCCTGTTTTTTATGAAGGCAGTATCTGTTAATAGAATCTAGGTCTACAATGGCAAATAAAGTAGAATGCAAGATTTCACATGTTTTTTATGTTACTTGAAAGTTTTATGGATATTGATTGTTGAATTTCTGTAATGAAAAGCAAAGATGACTAGCATATAAGATTAGAAGATATTTGGATACCACTATTAAGATGTGCATTACAAAGTCTTACAAACAAAAAGGACATATTATTTAGGAGATAGTTGTAATAGGCTTTTATAGATTTTGATAAGCACTTATATGAGCAGTTATATTTTAATTTTATCTTTTAAATAAAATTAAAAAGTTAGAAAGCCTAAAGAAGATGGGGTCAGAGTGTTTAGAAAGTGGAGTTAGGGTATTAAAAAATCTACTAAAATTCACTTGAAATATAGTGAGTATAAAAGACAGAATGTAGCAAACATCAACATTTAAGGAACCACAATAGTAGAAACACCAATAAAGGACATTCAGCATTGAGAGTCACTAAGATCTTAGGTATAAAATTAGATGCCTCAAAAAGCAAGAAAGGAATTTGAGGAAATTGATACTAATTAACAGTGTCTAATGGTACAGAAAAGTTCAGTCACATGATACATTCAATAGAATGTTTGTGTACCCCAAAAATTTCTATGTGAAATCCTAAATCCTAATATAATGGTGTCTTACTCTGTTTTGTGTTGCTATAAAGAAATACTGATGCTGGGTTATTTATAAAGAAAAAAGTTTTATTTGGTTCATGATTCTGAAGGCTAGAAAGTTCACAATTGGGCACTTACATCTGGTAAGGGTTTCTGGTTGTTTCTACTCATCAGAGAAGCAAAGGGGAGCCAGTGTGTACAGAGATCACATGGCAAGAGAAGAGGGAAGGTGAGGGGTCCAGGCTTTTTTTTTTAACAACCAGCTCTTGGGAGAAGTAAGATACTGAGAAGTCACTCACCTGAAAAGGAGGGTACTCACTTACTCATGAGGGATCCACCCATGTTACCCAAACACCTCCCACCAGGCCCCATCTGCCTACACTGCCAGACCGGGGATAAAATTTCAACAAGAGGTTTGTTGGGGAAAACATATACACCATAGCAGATGGTATTAGGAGATGTGACCTTGGGGAGAAAATTAGGTCATAAGAGTAGAGCCCTCATGAAAAGGAATAATGTCCCCAAAAATTGGACCCCAGAAAGCTGCAATTTTGCTTGTGTTCTTTAAGCCACAGTGGCATTAGGGCAACAGGACTGGGAGCCATAAAGGAAGCCAGCTATTCCTGCAAAACAAATCACATCAAAACTCAATGACTGAAGACCACAGCATTTATTATAGATCAGAAGCCTCCAGGTTGATTGGGTATTTATTGTGCTGTTGTCTCACTTTTTCATGTGTGGACAGCTGCAGTGTGGATAGATTACTCCACTTATTTTGGCTGGTCTTTCTCTCATATTTTGAAATCAGTTGCAACCTGCTTAGTTTAGCATACTCTTAGCTAAGATGAGTGGACTATGATCCATATGATCTCTTAGCCTCCAGCAGGCTCAGCTGGGCTTGTTCGTCTGATAGTTACTGGGACCTGAAAGGAAAAGTATAAACATAGAAAACCTCTTGAAGTTCAGACTCAGACCCAACACATCTTTACTTCTGCCACATCCTATTAACTGCAGCAAATTGCAAAGCCAGCCCAGATTCAAGGGATATAGAAATAACTTTCACCTCTTGATGGGAAGGAGTAGCTGCGAAGACACAAAGAATGAGATAAAGAATCAAGGGCACAGTTAGAATAAATCTCCTATAGTGGTTTTAGTGGAGGAATAAGTGTCCACCAACAACTCTGGGTCAAAGTAGAATGCAAAGGAGTAGTCCAATCTAACAGTGTCTAACGGAAAAAGATGTAAACTTATCACAGACAAAGCTGATCGACTTGTAGCAATGATGGCATTTGGGACAAGGTATGCATATGAAAAAAATACAGTGTGAACTATTCAGTTAGATTTGAAAACAGCAAGGCTGCATCCTAGAATACTGCAGTGAAGACAGGAAAATGCCCAAGGGTCAGGTGAAATGGATTATATCTCAAGTGCTGTTAAGGTAACATCCAGAAAGATCAATAATGTCTCTTCTAAGTTTTTTTTCCCACAAATGTGGCTTGTATTTTTGTGTTTTCATAAGCCACTAAAAGCTTAGTATATAATTCAGAAAGGGCTAAAAGCATCAAAATGAAAATATGTATTCTTGAATATGATTAGAATTTTAATCTGATGTGACTGAGAAATGACTGAAAGTAACATAAATTAACTAAAACTGACCACGTTTTTGTGTCACTGTGCATGAGACATAATCAAATGTACAATATATAAGATAAATTTAATTATAGAAAAAAAGTTGTGTTTTTAAGGCATCTGAATTTATAAGTCCAAAATACCCAATAAAAGTTATTTCGCAATTCTACCCAATTTTGATACGAAGGAAACTTCCATAAAAGTCATAAGTAATTTGAGGGAAGGGCAAATTAGAACTATATTCATATGGTAAAAGCAGCTCTATTTCAGAACTTAATTAATGAAAAGATCCCTAGAGTTTCAACCTTGGTCACAATACAACCTTAATTCATGCACAGTTTTATTTCCCTTTAGTCGCAGGTAATCCTAGTAACAAAAAGAACTAGATTAAAAAACGATCAGATAGATCAAAGGATGTGATGTAGCAATACCAAAATACCACCATACTTATTAATCCAAACTACTGTAAGAACCCAAGCGTTTATATTATTTATAATTGGCGGGGCACCGTGGCTCACGCCTGTAATCCCAGCACTTTGGGAGGCCAACGTGGGTGGATCATGAGGTCAGGAGATTGAGACCGTCCTGGCTAACACGGTGAAACCCCATCTCTACTAAAAATACAAAAACAGGAAAAAAAAATTAGCCGGGCATGGTGGTGGGCGCCTGTAGTCCCAACTACTCGGGAGTCTGATAATGGCATGGACCCATGAGGCGGAGCTTGCAGTGAGCCGAGATCGCACCACTGCACTCCCGCCTGGGCAACAGAGCAAGACTCCGTCTCAAAAAAAAAAAAAAAGAAATAGATTTTTTATAATTATATATAAGAAATGTATAACTGTGTATCATCATCGATTCATGATTCACCTGCAATAACATAAATAGAATAGCCACGGTCCAGATCAAGCCCTATGGAAGTTTATAATTGTTCAAGAAAAGCTTCTTTTAGTTCTTGCCTTTATTCTGTGTCTATACAGCGCTCCCTGAGCACAAAACTTAAGGTTTTATATTTTACTTCAGCCAGTCATTTTAAGTGACGCTTATCCCATTTCATTAGTTTCCTTATATCTCTTTTTATATCTCTTTTTTTATTTCTCTTTTTATATCTCTTTTTCCTGTGTATTCTATATAGTTCACAATTGTCATTATTTTCCCCTCTCTGTTCTTTACAATATAATTTAAGGGTTGCATTTTACTCTAATGAAGATCTACTTATATTAATCTAAACTCACTTGTACTTAAAGTTTCCTATTATCTCCCTAGTTGTGTGCTATTATCAATATGTATTACTGTAAAATGTAAGTCCCTACCAGGCACAGGCACAGAGGTGCTACTACGACATTTGCAATAATCTGATTACTCTCCAACTTCTTCAGTATCAAAATAATCCTAAGATTTATGAGAAAAGGAAATAATAAAATTAGGTTATTTCTACTTAATTTTTCTACTTATTCCTTGTTTTAGGAATAAAAAGCTAAACACTTTGAAATAGCATGTGAGCTAGTTTATGTATCTCACAATTTATGCACTTTTTTGTTTTTTTTTTTTGTTTGTTTGTTTCTTTGTTTTTTCTTTAAACACTGCTTCAGCCCCTTATTATTTGCAGAGATTTCAAAACATGTGACCAAAATTGCCAGGCCAATTGTTTTTGAATGTTCCTGAGCCAGGCATTTATTCAGATTATCAAACAATGAGAAGATTTTTAAAAAGCTACTAAATTTAGGCAGACCAGATTACAATTTTAGACATTCATTCATGTTTGAACGTCTAATCTAAATCAGTTCCCTGCACTTGTTCATCTTGTTCAAACATTCACTACATTTCAGAGAGTGGACGAAACATGGGTTGCTTTTGTTTGCTTTTCTTTCTTTCTTTCTTTCTTTTTTTTTTTTTGAACAACACCAAGGATTAGTACGGTACTTTATTTAAATGACTTGAAGAAAATGCAGAGAAGCAAAGAGATTCTCTTGTGCTTGAAGAGGGTAGATTTCCAGAAACCCTCATCAGCTAACACATTCACACAACCTCATCAGTTCACTACCCTGGAGGTGTTTGTTCCTCTAAGTAGTGACATGAATCTATAACACCTCAGAAGCATAAATGCCAAAGTCTGGGAGCCAATAACTCTCTGTGCTCTGGCAGAGCAAACAAAACCAATGGCAAAAAGGGGTATTTGGGATGGAATCTGCAAATTCTAAGAACTCTTCCTCTTGTCACTTGTCAAAAGCATGCAATTGGATGTTTCCGCAATCAGCTCAATTATTGCTGCTGCAACTCTGAGGGTGAAACAAGTTTCTCTAGTGCAGTAGCGATTAATGACACTATAGTTCTATTATAGATATTAGTAATGAGAATTCATTTAAAATGTAATTGTTGAAATTGAGCTACAAATATTGTAATAACAAAAAGTGTTCATGTATTTTGTTTATAAATATATATAAGTGATATTGGATTCTGACTTTGTTTTTCTCTCCTCTTCTTGGTGGGATCATCATCACAGTGGCAGAGGGAGTCAGTCATTAATAGCAATTACATGGGAAAAGAAGGAAGCATTGGAATTTGGGAATCTGCATACTATATAATCAGTTCTATTTAAAAAAAAACAAGCATTTAGCAATTGAAAAAGGATTGAATTTGGATTTACGATTTGAACACTTGGAGTGGGAGTCAACTGCTAAGTTTAAATCGGAATGACTTGCTCTTTGTGGAGAATTCTCTGTCCTCTCAAAGACAAATTTTGTCTTTCAGACTTTCCCTCTTTCAGTCTTTCAACCTTTCAGACCAAGTGGGTGCACAGTGCATCCTCTTGACTTCCCAGCTTTTATACCAGATTTCTGGAATCCTGATTCACGAAGTTCTGATCTGCTCTCTTTATACTAAATCTCCTCTCAACACATCTCTTGCCTTCTTTCCACCCCCATAAATGTCATCTCTGCTGATTCTTGGTCCCATTGTAGATTTGAAAAAGAATTGGCCAAACTCTTTCAAAGTAATATATATGTATATTTTGAGATGGAGTCTAAACTATGTTGCCCAGAATCTCGAACTCCTGGACTCAGGCAATCCCCCCTGCCTCAGCCTCCAGAGTAGATGGGATTACAGCCCTGTGCCACCATGCCCAGCTCACTCACCTTGATATTTTTGTCTGCACTTTCCCTCCACAGCACACAGCCTTATATCCAATCAGCAAGTGCTCATTTTATTTGCATTTTGCTTTACATAAACTCTAAAGTAGTATATATTTATCCTACATATGATATGGCTGTAACTACTAATAATGCCCTTCTCTGTATGATATTGTTTGATATGAGAGGTCTTGAATATTTTACCAAAAAAAAGAAAAATTGAGTCCTAGTGTTTTCTTGTAGTTTTCAAAGGTGCTTAGAGGTGAGAAGAATTTCTTTTAAGAATATTAAAGATATATTTGCCTAATATACTATATGTTCTTCTATAAGAATCAGTACATAGAATGATTGGAAAAAAATACATTACTTTGAAAGAGTTTGGCCAGTTCTTTATGTTATGATTCTGTTGTCACATAGGTGGCTTGAAAAAAATATTCAAGAGTTGTCTTGAACCAGGCCTGGAAATGTGAATGAATACAGAAAAGAAGGAGCCAGCATTATAGTCAATAGCATGTCACAATATTAGTCAGCAGGGAAATCAGTACTGGGGGAAAATAATTTTAATTTTTTTTTCTAGAACTTGGTCATTCTAGTACACATTTTCTATCACACACATTTCAATATTTATTCTTAATATAAACAAAATATCTGATTATCTCACAAGAACACATTATGAACACATATGATATATATATATATATCACACACACATGCATACATACACATACGCACATATATTTGAAACAGGGTCTTGCTCTGTCACTCAGGCTGGAGTGCAGTGCTGCAATCGTGGCTCACTACAGCCTTGACATCCTGGGCTCAAGCGATCCTCCCACCTCAGCCTCCCAAATAGCTGGGACTAGAGACACATGCCACCATGCCCAGCCAATTTTTTTTTTTTTAATTTTTGTAGGGACATTGTCCAGCCACATTGCCCATTCTGGCCTTGAACTCCTAGGCTCCAGTGATACTCCTGTCTTGGCCTTCCATAATGCTAGGATTAGAGGTGTGAGCCACCACACCTGACTACACATCTTTTATAAGAATGGTAGTGCTATTTCTCAGCAATTATCCAAAATATGCATAATTTAACCTGATCATTGGTGCATTTTTATTATTTTACTTGTACCCAACTATGTCTACTGTCAATTTCAAAAAAAAAATGAAATACTATGCTTTCTTTATGCTAATATCGTATTTCCATTCACATGATTTGATGATAGGAGCTATGTTTCCGTTTAAGAGATTATTACAGTTACCATGAGAAGCAGCCATTTATTCATAAAAGGATCGCCAGTTTTGGTCCATGCCTATTAGGTAAGCTACAATTTCTAATAATCATCAATAATATGACTTGTCAAATTGATACATAATTTTATTTAAATATATACTAGCTTTTACATGAGTTACATCAATTATCATCTTTCTCACTCTATTTAATTGCCACAGTATATTCTAAACCTGGTAAAAAGAAATGTTTCTTATTTTATTTGAGGCCAGTTTTTCCACATGCAATTTCAAACCATAATCCATCTTAATGCTAGAGGACTTTCCTTTGTGGCTTCAACATCTTGTTAGGCACTGGATTCGTCTCCTTGCTGTGTGAAGATGTCTGCTTCCCCAGCTATGACGGTTTATCTCACTGGCTCTACAACTGGACTGCTTCTACTTGAATCAGTTTTTCCATCTATCATCTGTGTCACTTTGACTAGGTTAATTAGGAATCCCTGTGCCTCAATTCCCTCTTTTGTGAAATTGGGAAAACTGTACCTATCACCACAGGATTTTGTGTGAATTAAATGAATTAATCTAAGAATAGCATTTGGAAAATGGCTATCCAATGATAAACATTCAATGAGGGAATGTTATATTATTACTAATTTTTAAAATCCATATTTCTGTCTTCTTTCATTTATGCATCATTCTCTTTCTCTCCTTCCCTTTAAAAATAAGTTTTTAAAAAATATTAGTTTATACTTACATCTCTACTTGTTTACCTTATATTCACACCTTCTTAATTTTTAGTTTGTATAAATTTTCAAGCTAAAAGAAGAGTGGCAAGAATATTACTAGGAACATTCATAAATCCTTCACTCACATTTGCCAGTTGCTAACATTTTGCTATATTTGCTTAGCACTCATTCTCACTCTAACACACACACACACACACACACACCACTCCAGAATATTTTTGACCAACTTTTATGTCATCACACACTTTCTATTTTAGTTGGGTTGGACAAGACAAAATTGACTTTTCTATTCCTGGCTGTCTTTTCTATTCCTGAAAGAGATTGGAAGCAATGATTCTTCAGTAGTAATGAGCATAGTTTGTCCTATATGAAATGATAAGTTCAAGACTCTCCCATGCCTTACAGCATTCTGTATTTTTATCTTTCTTCTTCCACATAGAACACACATAAATGAAGTAAATTTTATGAGTACGCTGTATAATGAACAGTAGGTATTGCTATACATTAAAATCATAAATTTATACTGATATTTCTGATTGTAAGCTAACACTACAGAATATTTTCTGGCCTTTCCTTACTCTATATGTTTTACTTACTTCTTCTATAGGGAGAGCTGTGGCTCCAATATCAATGTGTTTATATTCATTTGCTCAATCCTACAGTACTGCCCAAATGGTTACAGAATTTCTACAAAGTAAGTACTGTGAAAAACAAATTGGTAAATATAATTGAATTATGGGTATTTTTCTCTTTTGAATGAAGGTATAGAGTTGAATTCAAAAAGATTAGAAATTCACTTTTCTTGCACTTTTTATTTTGGAATAATTTTAGATGCACATAAATATACAAAAATAATATAGAGTTCTGTATATCTTTTACATAGCTTCTCTGACAGGTAACAGCTTACATAACTATAGCACAATATCATAACTGGAAAATTCTCATCAATGCAACTATTAACTAGACAACAAACCTTCTTCAGATTTCATCTCATTTTACATGTAGTCATTTTTTACATTCACTTTTACCCCAACAGCAGTCTGACTTCTATTGTTACATGTAATTAATCTCCTCCAGAGAAAGTCATCTCTAACTTGTCTGGATAGAGATGGATGCAATGGTTGCATACTTTCCAACCCATACTTAATTGATATTTATGTGACAATAGACACTGTTGACAACTTCCTCCTTTTAACGTATTTTCTTAGCTTCTGAGACAATGCTCCTTTTCAATATCTCTTCTCAGTCCTTTTTGAAGCTTTCCTTTCTGTATCTACTATTTGAATGTCAAGATTTCTTCAGTTTATATCTTTGTTGTTGTTTGTCTTTCTACACAGCTGACACAGAATAGCAATTTAATATATAATTACTGAATAAATAAGTTGAAATATTTGCTGTTGTGGAATACTATTTTGGTATAGTTGCAGTATAATGTAACTATCATTATATTACTAAGTTTCTAAATAGATTTTTAAAATACAAGTAATTAATACACTTAATATTAAATTCAGTCATCAAAATTAGAGGTAAAAGGACAAATATAAGCTGAAAAAGATTTTTCACTACAATACTTCCTTTAATTCTCAGCTTTGCTAGTGAAAACTTGATTATAAATCAGTCTGATTTGGTTTGAATTCTTTCAATATGGCTGTATTGTTAAGATCCCTGCTATTCTGATTAAATAAATCTACTTGTTTCCAAGCATTATCTATCTAAATTCTGTCTCATTTAATTTATAGTACAATAAAAAGGAGACTAGAAAGCAGAAAAAAAGTCAAAGTGAAGAGCTAGGAATAGAAGAAGAGACGGAAAGAAAGAACAGAAGCCATATATGTGATTAGTTCCAAGGTGGAATAATTTTATAATCTGAAAACTAACACTCTGCTTTTGAAATATATAGTAAACTATATAATATGCAAGTACATAGAGTAGATGCTAAACATATTATTATCTACTTCGTCTATCAATATGCTTCATCTAACAGTATACTACCTTATAAATAATAGCATAACATTTATAAAATTTAGAATATAGAAAGTATCTATTCATAATATGAAATATATTGTGCATGCTAATATACTAGCATATTAGAATTAGGCCCTCTAGACTGTGCCATGAGGAATGGTGCATTCTGGCCCAGATACTACACTTTTCCCACAGTCTTTGCAACCCCCAGACCAGGATATTCCCTTGGGTGCCTACACCACCAGGGCCCTGGGTTTCAAGCACAAAACTGGGCAGCCTATTGGGCAGACACTGAGCTAGCTGCAGGAGTTTTTTTCATACCCCAGTGGTGCCTGGAATGCCAGCGAGACAGAACCGTTCACTTCCCTAGAAAGGGGGCAGAAGCTGGGGAGCCAAGTGGTCCAGCTCAGCGGATCCCACCCCCACAGAACCTAGCAAGCTACGATCCACTGGCTTGAAATTCTCACTGTCAGCAGAGCAGTCTGAGGTCCACCCGGGACACTCAAGCTTGGTGCGGAGGGGCATCCTCCTATTGCTGAGGCTTGAGTAGGCCGTTTTACTCTCGCGGTGTAAACAAAGCCACTGGGAAGTTCAAAATGGGCAGAGCCCACTGCAGCTCAGCAAGGCCACTGTGGCCAGACTGCCTCTCTAGATTCCTCCTTTCTGGGCAGGACATCTCTGAAAAAAAGGCAGCAGACCCAGTCAGGGGCTTAGAGATAAAACCCCCATCTACCTGGGACAGAACACCTGGGGGAAGGGGTGGCTGTGGGGGCAGCTTCAGCAGACTTAAACATCCCTGCCTGACAGCTCTGAAGAGAGCAGCAGATCTCCCAGCACAGCGTTCGAGCTCTGCTAAGGGTCAGACTTCCTCCTCAAGTGGGTCTCTGACCCCCGTGTATCCTGACTGGGAGACACCTCTCAGTAGGGGCTGACAGACACCTCATAAAGGAGAGCTCTGACTGGCATCTGGCAGGTTCCCTCTGGGACAAAGCTTCCAGAGAAAGGAACAGGCAGCAATCTTTGCTGTTCTGCAGTCTCAGCTGGTGAGGCAAATGTCTGGAGTGGACCTCCAGCCAACTCCAGCAGACTTGCAGCAGAGGGGCCTGACTATCAGAAGGGAAACTAACAGAAAGGAATAGCATCAACATCAACAAAAAGGACATCTAATCAGAGACCCTATCTGAAGGTCAACAATATCAAAGACCAAAGGTAGATAAATCCACAAAGATGGGGAGAAACCACCACAAAAAGGCTGACAATTCCAAAAACCGGAATGCCTCTTCTCCAAAGAATCACAAATCCTCACCAGCAAAGGAACAAAACTGGACAGAGAATGAGTTTGACGAATTGACAGAAGTAGGCTTCAGCAAAATAAACTATTATCAGAGTGAACGGGCAACCTATAGAATGGGAGAAAATTTTTGTAATCTATCCACCTGACAAAGGGCTAATATACAGAATCTACAAGGAACTTAAACAGATTTACAAGAAAAAAAAAACAACCCTATCAAAAAGTGGGCAAGGGATATGAACAGACACTTCTCAAAAGAAGACATTTATGCGGCCAACAAACACATGAACAAAAGTTCATCATCAATGGTCATTAGAGAAATGCAAATCAGAACCACAGTGAGATACTATCTCATGCCAGTTAGAATGGTGATCATTAAAAAGTCAGGAAACAACAGATGCTGGACAGGACATGGACAAATAGAAAAGTTTTTACACTGTTGGTGGGAGTGTCAATTAGTTCAACCATTGAGAAAGACAACGTGGCAATTCCTCAATGATCTGGAACCAGAAATACCATTTGACCCAGCAATCCCATTACTGTTATATACCCAAAGGATTATAAATCATTCTACTATAAAGACAAATGCACATGTATGTTTATTGCAGCACTGTTCACAATAGAAAAGACCAACTCAAACGCCCATGAATGATGACTGGATAAAGAAAATGTGGCAAATATACACCGTGGAATACTATACAGCCATAAAAAAGGATGAGTACATGTCTTTTGCAGGGAAATGGATGGAGCTAGGAACCATCATTCTCAGCAAACTAACACAGGAACAGAAAACCAAACACTGCATGTTCTCACTCATGAGTGGGAGTTGAACAACGAGAACATATGGACACAGGGAGGGGAATATCACACACCAGGGCTTGTTGGGGTGTTGGGGTGCAAGAGGAGGGATAACATTAGGAAAAATACCTAATGGAGGTGATGGGTTGATGGGTGCAGCAAACCACCATAGCACGTGTATACCTGTGCAACAAACCTGCACGTTCTGCACATGTATTCCAGAACTTAAAGTATAATTTAAAAAAAGAAAAAGAATTAGGCCTTCTGGTGCTTACACAATATTATATATTTTTAACAAAATAGTTATTTCTTTCTAAAGTGTATAATTTTATACACAAATATAAAATAAAATCATTTTATGTCTTCATTCATGGGAAACAAAATCCTATGTGACAAAATAGATGTATTTATTTATTTTACATAAAGAAAAAATAAAACATGAATTAGAAGACAAATATAAAGTTCCACACAAATGTGAAGGTTACTATTAATTATAAGGATAAAAAGGGAACTATGAAAATAAACAAATGATACAATATAAGCAAACATTAATTTTGAATATTACATATGAAAACATATTAGAAAAGAGTCATTAGATTAAATGACTCAAATAAGAAGTACATTAGCTCAAAACTTTCAAATACAGTGGCTCCATATATAAAACCTCCTAAGCCCCCACAATTTTTATAAAACCTTACTGTGGAAAGATATATTATGTTTTATGACATGTTTGCATGTAAATATGAATTAGATTATACATGTTGGGTAAATAGATTGATATCAGTAAGGACATGCTTGTTTATATGCAATTTTCCCCATCAGGTAAATGTTTTGAAGAGATGCTTAAAAATGCGGAAACTCCCATGCAAGCATTTTCTTTTGGGCTAAGAAGTGAATAGTTGACAGAATTTTAACTGCTAAACTTTCCAGTCTCTTAAGCTATCTCTGGAATGTTTAAGTGTAGTAGGGAAGCTGTAAGGGCATATTCTCCTTTATTTAGAAAAATAATTGGAAATGTCTCCTCCTGGATCACATTTATTAGGTTTGGTGAAACTGTTCTGCATTTTGGGAAAAAAAAATAATGTCTTCTGGAATCTTCATTTTGGGGTAGGCACAAGTCGCATGACTTAAAGCTACAACAGATTGTCATTCCAGGTGCAAATTCTCAAAGAGTTTTAATTGTACTAATATTTTTATTGGGATTGCTACTGCTTTTATCAGGTCTCTGATTGCAATGTCCCTAGGATTTGTGCGGCTGGCACAAAATCAATCTCTATCACAGCCAGATTCTTTTAGTGTATGATTTTGCAGAATAAGAGGGTTTTCAGGAACACATATTTAGCAGAATCTCCTGTACCATCTTATGATTATAATGTCTTAAAGTAGTAATAGGTAAAGATAAAGTGCTAAAGAATATCTTCAATGTCAAAACATAAGCATTTCAAGAAATATGTTAAGTAAAATAAAAAAGCTTGCTACTTGGGAGGCTGAGGCAGGAGAATCGCTTGAACCCGGCGGAGGGGGGTGTTGGGGGCGGAGGTTGCAGTGAGCCGAGATGGCGCCACTGCTCCAGCCTGGGCGGCTAAGATTCCGTCTCAAAAAAAAAAAAAAAAAAATGCGTGCTGCTAACTTAATACCCAGTAAACAATACCAAAAATTACAATAGCAGAAATAGTCATGGACTTGTAGCAATTAGAGAAAATAGAAAAATTACTTTATTTGAGCAGCAATGTTCTAGCAATCTAAGTAAATAATAAACTCTTCAGTAGAAGTAACCATAAGTTTTCTTTCTTATCTCTGAATATTTTTATCTCATTTCTTCATTAAATTCTCAAGTAGGTTTGTGTTGCCAGGTCAAATTTTAGTTTATTTTTATGAAAGAAAATATTACCGTTTTTGGAAGTTTATACAACAATAAGAATCACATTTGTACTCATTCTATAACTCATTTATAGTCTTCTTACTGATTTTCCTTAGGAAAAAAGTTACCAAAATGAAAAAAGAAAATAAAATATATTAATTAAAACATTATTTATAGTTATATTCAAAATGAAATAATAACAAATGTTTGACAAGTTACCATATATCAAATCAAAATATTTGCTTGTTATAATAATGATTATTACTGATATATCAAAATAGTAAAATACTGTATGAAATAATATAAATAAGGAAAAGCAGTATATCAAATGATAACAATACCTTGGTGATAAATAGTGTTGCTATACATTTAGAAAAAGTGCAAAGGTAACATGCAAAAATGAAAGTATGTTTTATATGATAGAATTAGTTTGATTTATTTCATATTTTATCTTTTTATATCACATTTTGAATAACTTCAAAATAAAATGCTAAAGTAATTTTAAGTTGCAAAGTTGATATTTTGTTAACTTTCACAAGTCTATTCTTTAAACAAATTTAAAATACAAAATAAAAAATGTTGTACTGAACCATATTTAACATTATGTTAGCTACTGCAGAAGTAACTGAATATAGATCTAGAGAGATGAGAGATAATACTCTATAATATTTTTTAAACTCTGTATAGTCTATGTACTGTGTAGATACTGATAATTTATATCTACTGCATGTATTACCATTATATATACCATTCTTGTATGTTTTGTCTTTTTCTGTATACTCATGTATATTTATTTTGTAAGGCATCAAGACTAAAGGCTAATTTTGAATAATCTACCAAGGTACGATTTGAAATAATGTTTTAAATGAAGATTTTAAAAATATTTATAGCTAAGCACTATAATTACTTTGTTATGTTTGATATTTTGGAAATTCCATTTTTGACTACTTTATTATCTGTTATCTCTTCTTATTAATATAACGTTGATAATTTGTGGTCATTCCTCCTTATTCATTGTAAGATTATACAAATTTTCATTTTTGTTGAACAAAGGCATTCTCCTTAATCAAATTTCAGTTAGGCTCCTTCAAGCCATTTTTCAACTCGGCCCCGTCTTGAGCTTGGTCCTCAAGAATAGGAATCTTGCTAAGTAAATTTCGTGAGAATTTCCCACCTTGGATATCTGATCAAATTTCATTGCTCACCATCCCCTAGGTGCTATCTGATCACCCTGGCCTGCCTTCAGCAAGAATCCTGTCAAGTTGGTTTAGTCAGAATCCCACCTCAACCCCTGATGTTTCTTCTTAGTAATTTTCCCTCCATTGACCACATTATTGTTCTTTGGCTATACATCCTCACTTTTTTGTAAGTTGATATGCTCAATGTTGAGCCCAACCTATCTCCACTACTGAAAAACCCCTTTGCCATAGTCCCTTGAATAAAGTCTTCCTTTTCGTCTTTAACAAGCATCAGAATAGTTTTTTGTTTAATATTATATTCTACCAGTGAATTAAATTATATCTCTAAAATTGTTCTTCTATTTTTTAATAATGCTCCTTTTGTATTGGCTCAAAGTCTAATTTGTTAGATATTAACATAGTTATGCTACCTTTTTTCTGCTTTATAGACTGCATATATTTTTATTAATATTTTATTTTCACCTTTTGAAGCTATATATTTCAGCTATGTGTCTTGTGAACAGCTTATGTTTGAAATTGTCTTCTTTTGATTATTTGTGTATTATCTACTTTTTAAAATTAGAAAATTATGGTAGTTACCAACTTTTTCACTCTTTCCTTGGTGGTTATCTTAGATATTACAATATATATCATTGATTTACCAAATATTGGCATTTGACTTCTCCCTGGCCTGTGCAAATACTTTAGAATGTGCAAATTATTTATTTCCCTCATGGTTTATATAGCATTATTTTATTTTTTGTGTACTTTCAGAATATGCATAATATTTATTGTTTTGCACACTATTTATTTAAGTTCATCTACGTATTTTATTTCCCATTTCTCTTCATTTCATTTCGGTTTTCAAGCTTCTATCTGTTGTTTTTTTTATTTTTATTTTTTTGCCTATAGAAGACACTTTAGAGTGTTACTGATATTCAAACATTCACTTCAGTTTTGTTTGGGGTTTATTTTCAATTAAGTACAAATTCTACGTTGGTATATGTTATCAGTGACCATCTATTCAGGGATTTTATCAGATTGTCTCTTTCCCTTTCTCTCCCATTTCTGTGTGTGTGCGTGTGTGTGTGTGTCTTTCTCTTTCTTTCTCTCTCCCTTTTCTTCTCCTTCTTTTCTTTCTCCTTTACCTTCTCCCTACCTGTTTCCCTCTCTCTCTTTTTGTGGCAGACTCTGGAATCCATTTTTTGTCCCTCAAGGGCTTACGGCAATGGTCCCCAACCTTTTTGGCACCAGGAACCAGTTTTGTGGAGGATATTTTTTTCCACAGACAGAGCTTGAGGGGATGGCTTCAGGATGATTCAAGTGCATTACATTTATTGTGCACTTTATTTCTATTATTTTTACATTGTTATATATAATGAAATATTTATACAACTCACCACAATGTAGAATGAGTAGGAGCCCTGAGCTTGTTTTCTTGCAACTAGGTGGTTGCATCTTGGGGTGATGGGAGACAGTGTCAGATCATCAGGCATTAGATTCTGTCTCCTAAGCGGCATGGAATCTATATCCCTCACATGTACAGTTTTTGCTCCTTTGAGAATCTAATATTGCCTCTGATCTGACAGGAGGCAGAGCTCAGGAGGTAATGTAAGCCATGGGGGGTAAAGCTGTAAACACAGATGAAGCTTCCCTTGCTCACTGGCCCACTGTTCCCCTCCTACTGTACGGCCTGATTCCTAACAGGCCATGGACTGGTACCTGTTCAAGGCTCAAGTGTTGGGGAACCCAGGCTTAAAGGATATAAAATGTCTGTGTAGTTTCTCAGCTTCATACCCTTTTATTTCAGAATTGACAGATGACCTTATTGGAAAAAAAAATCTCAAATTTTAGGTTCACCTCTTGTTTGTTGTTGTTGTTGTTGTTTTTGGTGGATGTTGCCCCTGTAATTTGTACTGTTTTGTTAAGTCTTAGATGTTTTCAAGGAGATAATTATTACTGCTTATAAAGCTTTTCTAGTTATTTTTAGTGGGAGCACTGGTCTGAATTACCATTTCTGTCTCTGCTGAAAGTAATCCTCCAGTACTTGCAATATTACATTGGTAAGATTCAACCATCTTGTTGAATGTACGTGGGGTCCAGTAATTGCACTGTTCTTAATTTTTCACGGTTTATTCCTGGCAAAAGATGTTTTAAAACATTTTTATTACAAAGATTGTTTTTCTAAATATTTTTGTGAATATTTATTGGTACACATGAGCAAGAATTTTTCTTGTATGCAAGACTTACCCTACGGGAGCCTGTGTGATTTTTTCCTCCAAAAGGGTTTATTTCAGCTACTTCTAGAAGCCAGAGAATGCTTCCAAACAGGAGACACTGAATGCCTCAGAGGAGAGTTCCATGCTCAGATTCGCCACATTAGTGTTTAAAACTTTAAAATCTTGAGGCAATGGTCTATGTCTCAGGGAAAATCAGCCCCTTTGGGTTCCTGCTCTTCCGCACTGCCTGGATGCCTGTTTCCATTATGGTCCTTGCTGCTGCTCCATCTTCCTATGGCTTAGGTCTCTTCTCCCAGTTCTTTAGACTCTAATTTCCAAGTACTTCGGCATCCTCTCTAGCTTTTTCTGACTCTTCAAATTACTAAAGTTTTGCTCCTTGACCATGAAAGCATAACTTCAAAGAATTATCACAATAAATTACACATAGTCCTTATAAGGATTCATTATATATCTCAATTATTATTTTATTTATTGTGAACCCCTCACTACTGAGCACAGAAGAGTTAAATGCTTGGGACAAGGTCACACAGCTGATATCTGGAAGAATCATTTTTCAAACCTGATTCTCTGACGCCTATACTCTGTTATTTTCTTTTTATACATGCTATTTTTCCAAAATAATTCTCACATATTAAGTTCCTCAAATATAATTTAAAAAATAAAGTTGAACTAGACAGGTCAGTAAATGCCTTGGGATAGCTGATCAAATTAATCAGTGAAATTAGCAAACAGAAAAGAGGAAATTTCAATGTCACTCTGTTTAATTCCTCAAAGCCTTTTCAACCCCTGTAAAAGTAAATATCTCAGGGCCTTTAATTATTTAATGGATTGGTTGCAAAGTTGTATGCCTCACAAATTTGAATCACTTAAACAGAAATAAAGTGCCTAGGCAAATTCTGAGAAACTGGATTAATAAAATGAACTATTGATGTTGGCTTAGATAAGATATTACAGTTGAAAGGCAAACTTGCAAACAGAAGAGTGCATTTGTATATATAGTACATTTTATTAAAGAAAAAAACGTACAATATCTTTCAACTAACTTTTTTGTACAGCATCTTTTGAGTCTGTCTGGACACTTTTTTTTACATCTATCTTGAGTATATAATAATGCATTGTCTTGTCATATATTGGATAAATGTACTAATTCTTTTTAAATTTGCTCATGTCTGGCCTTTACTTACTTTGTAATATTTGCCAATTGAGAGAAAATCTAATGTTTTCTTTTCTCTTTTAAAATATAAAATGTATCCCATAATAGATGCTGCTATCTGCTACAGGAACAAAAATCTAGAATTCTGAACATGGAACATTTATGAAGAAACATGTTATAACTAAATGATAACATTCTTTCTCTATATAATGCTCGCTGTGAACCTATTACTATTAAGTCCCACACAGACTGTGAGTTTCGGAGGAACAGCAGAGAGTAATAGCCCCCATGGTGCTTCAACCAACCCTGGCCATTAATTGTATACTCTAAGTGGCTCATTAGAAATCTTAGGAAGTGTCTTTGCTATACAGGCAAAAAAGGATGATTGGAAAGATAAGATGCAAGATGAGAAAGCACTGCTACCCAGTGAAGTCAAGTGACAAGAACATTGTGATTGACTGTGTTACAAGGCCACTGTTAAATTGAGCAGAATCAAGACTGACAGAAAACTCTGGGGTTGGCAATCAGTAAGCCACATTTTGTTACATGCACAAGGATCAGAATATATTTTATGAAACATATAGGAAAGCTAAGAGGCATTGTGGAAAGAAAATAAAAGATATTTAATAGTATTTTGGAGTTAAGCTTACTTCAGTTTTAAAAAACAGGTAAAATATATTTTTAATGAAAAGAACATTTTTGTGTTTGCAACCAAAAGTTTAAAGGTTAATATATTCAGATACCATATAAGGTATAGAAATAAGTTTGAATCTTTAACACAGTTTTCCAGTAATCAAATTACCAACAAATTTTAAAAATAGAATTAGTAATTAAAAAATTTAAAGGATATAAGAATTTGGAATGCAAGCAATAATAAATTACAAATATATATTTAAAAATAATATGACTCTAAATAGCTTTATGGAAAAGTTTCCAGATGTGGGGGACCTTATGGTTTACAGTAACAAAAAGTTATTTTAGTGTTTTATCTCTATAGAAACATTTTTGTTCTAACAAGAAATCCATAGGTGTTTGGAACAAGTAAATTTAAAACATCATTTTACATGAATGTGAAATACAGAAAAAAATTTCTATTTTTTAGACATTTTAGGCATTACATGCCTAAAATGTAATGTCCTAAATCCATATTATAAATTCTATATTTGTCAGTCAGATAAATTTTGAATATTCCTTATAACTGAAACTGTTCTTAAGAATTTCTAAGATTTAAAGTCTCTTTTTATTCACCATGGATTAATAACTCCAAATCATTCATTTATTCCTTCATTAATTTCTAACCAATAGCATCTTCTTGCTCTACTGCTTATACAACATTGAATAAGTCCTGTTCCATGCTCTCAAGGATCTCAGACGCTAGTGAATGATAATGAGACATAAACAGTCAAGTGGACAACAATAGAGAGAGAAAGAGATTAAATATAAAAACAAATACAGGTCATGGGGTGGCCTAGTCTGGGAAGAATTTATAGAATTTTTAAGAAATGTAGAAGTAAATAAAATGATCGTGACTGAGGCCATTTCAGCAAACAGAATACCATGATGTAATATAGGAAGAGCAATGAGAAACAGCATATGGCATTTAGGATAACATGAGGAAATTTCTCTTATTGGAATGCAAAGGACTAAACAGTAAGTAGAGAGATGGCTATACCCTAACACTAACAAAACTGCATGCTGATATCCACCATTAATATGGATGCAAAAATGTCAACAGAGATCTAGCAAACTGAATCCAGCAATGCTTAAAAATGCTAATGCACAATCTATCAATGTTTATTCCTGGAATACAAAGTTAGTTTAATATTTGAAAATCAATCAGTGTAAATCACCATGTAAATAGAATACAGGAAAAAAATGTAAACATGAATGGATGCAGAAAATCACTTGAACAAATTCAGCATCCAATTATGATATAATCTAGTACTCTAGCGATGTATTATGTATTTATGAAAAATCTAGAGCTAATAACTAACACTGTTTTCCTTTAATATTGACAAGTCAAGGATGTCTACTCTTACTGTTTCGATGCAACATAGTGCTGGAGGTCCTAACTAATGCAATAAGAAGAGAAAAATAAGTAAAAGTTATATGGACAGGAAATCAAGGAGTAAAACTCTTTATTCAGAGATTACATGATTGTAAGTTTAGAAAATCCTGATAATTCTAAAATAAATGTTAGAACTGATAATGAGCTTAGTAAGATCACAGGATACAAGATCAAAATACAAAAATCATTTGTAACCATATATAAATCAATGAAACATTGAATTTTTTCTAAAATGTCATTTATGTTAGCATCAAAAATATGAAATATTTGGGGATAAATGTAACAATAGATTAAAATCAAGGTACACCTTTGTATATATGTATATATCAAATATTATATAGCATATATGTATATGTTCATATACACACTCATATGTGAAAGAAAATGCAGTGTAGATATTTACTACAACAGCAGCCCAAGAGAAAAAACACCATGAATCAAACTGATATGTCTTCATGTGGTACTGTGGCACTGTCTGTCTCATAAACTAGGATGGTGGAGAGAGAAACTAGGATGGTGGAGAGAGAGAATAAGAGAAAATATTACTACATCAGCTCTATTAATATCAATAAATAATACCGAAGGTAACCAAGGAATACTACAACAATTAGAGTTAATTCAAACTTTATTGTTTTAACTGTATCAGTGAAAAGTTACTGTTAACTTGTCCAGATCTCATCTCCTACAAGTTGAAGTCACAGAAAAAAAGTTGGGAGGCAGTCCCATAGAAAGCAGTCATAGCTAGGGTTAGGCAATCAGTTCTGATCAAGAGTTGCCAGAACAGCAATATTATTATGCCTTACTGTTCCTTTTCTTCTCTGCACTTATCGATATTTGAAAAGTATTTAATCTTTATTCATAACAAGTGATTTTTATTAAAAAATATGAAGAAAGTTGATAGTACTAATCGATTATATGTGTCTTACTGTGGGTGCACCAGTGTTTAATATTAGAGTATTAACATATAATGTCCAGCTAACTCAATTACAGATTTACGTTGATGTGAAAACTTAATTCATTTTCTTATACAATAAATACTGAGTGATCACCATATGAATTGTGGCTACATGAGAATGGTACCTAATCTGTGATATGACAGCTGAGTAGAAATTGAGTCAGTATAGCTGAAAAGAGATCTTATTTCAGGCAGACAAATCACAAGTGCAAAAGACATGAAGCATGTGTAAGCATGGCAGATAGAAGAGAATGAAAGTAGTATTGTAAGTGAAGAGAGCACAGTTTTATACAACCTGAAGCTGGAGAATTTGGTTGGGGCCAGGCCATGGAGTTTAAAAACCAAAGAGAGGAATTGTGAATTGATCCTAAGAACAGTGGAAATAATTCTAATCACAAAGAATCATGATTGGGTGTATGACACAATTACATAAGTTTTGAAACTATATCTCTGACTAATTGTAAAGAATTCAGATTAGATGTAGTCAGGAGGTGCTTTCAGTAGTCCAAATGAGAAACAACAATGGATTGAGCAAGGAATGTGGTGCAATCAGAACGATGTAATCAGAATTAAGGTATTTAAGATACTGAATGTACTTACTGATAACCAAATATGCGACAAGAGTAAGTCAGAGATTCGCAACTCACTTACACAATTGGATGGCTATTGGTACGATTCACTGACATTGGGAATATTGCAAAAAAGGTTAGGTTTTGAAGAGAAAGATGGCTAGTTCAGTTTTGAATTTCTTGTTTTGATGTGCTTTGTGACATTCTTCTAATAGGAGATATAGTATGTTCAGTTGTCTGCATCAATCAGAAGCTCAGAAGAGAAGTCTGAGCTGGTGGTATACATTTTCCAGTTATTTAAATAGAATTTTCCATAAACAGGAAAGAGAAACAACTGTGAATCATTCAAGCAGAAGAGTGAATTTATTGGAAGGATTATTATTAGCTAAAGAATTATTTAATGTAGTCACAGAAGTAGGGCTAGAAAACAATCAAGAGCAAAGAAAGCAAGGTGACCAAATCAAAGTAAAAATCAAACTGCAAAGTTCATGCGGTAAGCAAATTTGTATCTCTTAACCTCGAAGCCCTCTGTGCCACAGGATATTTGATATGGCTGAAGCCATTGCAGCTGCTGCTGCTACCAGAACTGCAAACAAGATGCTGCTGTTGCTCCTACTGTGAACACCAAAGTGAATCCTTTGCTTTTTGTGATTAGTTTTTTGTTCCTAGTTGGAGATTTCAATTGCTAGGCATATGCATTTGATCATCCAACCTAGAACATGTTTGTGCTGGAAAAGTGCATCCTTGTAGCTTCTTTGAGTCCCAACCAGTCTTATTCAGTGTAGAATTTCTCACCTACAAGAATGGGGTTCAGACAGTGAGCAACCAATATTGTAACAAATGTCCATTCCAGTCATTATACTAACTATATAATAGATTTTTTAAAATGTTTTAGGGAAATAGTATAGAGTAAAAAAATAAAAATACTTCTATTTAAAATTTTAACTAATTATTTAGATATGGCAGAAAATGTCTCAGGAAGTCTTAAATGTGACTCTCCTTAATTTTTGCCCCTATATATTCTTGTGGTGTTTGTCGACTGATTTAATATCCTGGGCTTCCCTTTTATGATTGCCTTTATACTTGAGTATAGTAAGGAAATGTACATTACCCACATTTTATTTCATGAACACTCTCTTTGGAGGATACTCTGCATGTAAGTAGATAAGTCGGAAAGCAAGTAGTAAATGACTGCTGGTCTAGACTTATGATTAAACAGAAAAAAGACTGCATCCCCTCCAAATTCATGTGTTGAAGTTCTAACCACACCCCAGTGTGACTGTATTGGAGATAAGGCCTTTAAGTAGGTGATTAGGTTTAAATAAGGTCATCAAATCTAACCTTGATCCAATAGAATTGATTCCCTTGTATGAAATGAGAAAGAGACATGAGAGCTTTCTCTCTACCATGTGAGGACACACTGAGAAGGTGGCTGTCTGAAAGCCTGGAAGAGAGCTGCACCAGAAATTGACCATGCTGGCCTTGATCTTAGACTTCCCAGGCCCCAGAACTATGAGAATAAATTTCTATTCTTTTGACTACCCAATTTATGGTAGTTTGTTATGGCAGCCTGCGAAGATTAACACAGGAATACATTCTCTGGCTTTTACCGATTTTGTATTCCTTATGGTTTCAGAAAGATGAGAGAAGACAATGGTGTATGTCAAATAAGATCATTAGGTATACTATAGATGATATTATACAGTATTATGATAATGTTTGAAAAATTTTCCATGAATGCATAAAATAAAAATGTTCTGTATTAAAGAAAACATTTTAACATTTACCTATGATATAAAAATAAATGCAGTTTTCCAAATTCTAATGCAACAATGAATTGTACTCACTATTATATATGAAACAACTAATTATATATTAGGTAGAATTTTCTACCCATAATGTTTAAGAAAAACTCATTTATATAAATATTATGGAAATAATAAAATCATTTAAGTGTATTAAATTTTGCTAGTATTCATGTGTGGTATGTGCAGCATTATAAATACATTAAGCATTCACATTCCTTTTTATTATACTTTTATTAATTTGAAAATATATATTTTACCTTTGAAAAGTTATACATTGTTCTTATAGTTATTCAACAAAAATTGTGACTTTTAAAAATCTACTGTTAATGTCTCGTGCTCAACAATAAATACTATATTATTTTACAAGCAAATGAGATATTTTCAATGGGCCTCTCAAAATAACTTAAAATCTTATCAGAGGAATTTAGCAACAATTGCTAAAAGAAATTCCATTTTACTGGAAATATTTGGTTATATTATCTGTGATCAAAATTTCGACTCATCTTTCCCTATATCATCTCTCAGTTTTTAATTGATTATGTTACTTTTCCCTCTATGTCATATAAAAAATATAATGAAATCTGGAAGAAAATTATTATTGATTTTATTTTACTTAACTATGAAATTTTGGGGCTGCTTATGCCTATAAAAAATTTCTTTAAAATTCCTTGTGTCTTGTCTCAAAGGAATATCATGATATATGAGAGGATGGCAAAAAAAAAAAATTGAGGAGACTAAAGCATGTATATAAAAATAAGCATAGTATTTTAAATATTATTAATATATAACTTTATAATACTTGAGAATATTAATTCCTTTATTTTAAAATATTTAAATTTATTTTCTTTTATGATCTAGATTGAAGGGATTTTTCTATAAGTAGTAATTTTAAATGCTTAGTTATATTTAATATACAATAGTGTGGGTAATGGCATAAACAGTTACATTAGTTCATTTATAATTCTTCCTTAGAGTTCAATTAGAATGTATGCAATTTAATGATTACACTGGACAATGTTCATGGGTTTTTCTTAACTGAGTATTTGGCTTGGGAGTTGAAGGGTGGCTGAAAAGATAACATTTGTTTGAGAAAGAAAAAAACAAGATGATTACTATTCAAACCTCTTTCAAACACATTTGCATGATAGTTTTAATCAATCAATAATACTGTATAGTACTGTAAGGAATTTATAATAATCTGTCAACTAAAACAATCTAATTTCAGACAATCGCTATTTTGCTTTATTCTCCCCCTATTGACCGTGAAGGTCATAACATTGTAACTGTAGAACCTATATACAAATTGGTAGATATTTGCAATGCATATGGTTTCTCTGTATCTTCTCTATACACTTTTAGAAGAACTTCAGCCTCAACTTACTTTCCCCTTGCCTTCCCTTGTAATACTGAACAGGCATGGGACCCAGGCCTAACTATTTATACCCAACTTGATATTTAATTTTTAAAATAATAAATTAGACAAGCAGATTTTTAGTAGAGTCCATGATCTCACAAGAGTGGAGATAAAGGCGTATGGCCCTTGGGGATAGAAATTGTCTTGAGTCAGATATTCAGCAACTCATTGTGGCATATTAATCACATAATGGAAAGAAGTAAAGAAAAGATGAAAGATGCTTGTACTAAAATAAAAGCACATTCTTGCAGGTGGACAGATTCAAACCGGTCACTGTTTTTTTTTTTTTCTTTCTTGTAAAAGTTTTACATACATTCATTTATAGTCTAATGCAATCAGAAAATATTGAAAATTTTAATTCAAGGGTTTTTTTCTCCGAGGATGAAAACAGTGCCAATCAAAGTGCTGAATGTCTTTCTTCAGTTTCAACTGGCTATATGGTATGAAACCAAGGTGCTCTTTGTTTGCAAAAACTAAGCATTAAAGTAAATAAATGTTTAAGACTTTACTTTGAGAGTCAGATCTCAGTGGATTCACAGCAGAATCATTTTACTCTAATAGACAACTTTTACTCTAGAGAATTTTTTCTCTAATGTTTAGAGCATTAGACATAAGGGCCATTTTGTTTATTAGAGAACGCTAATAAAAGTCCTTCTAGGCCAGGGCAAGTAATTACTACGGGAAGAAGAAGGAAGCAAGATGGAGGATGAGAGTGAATAAAGGTAATTAGAAGTCTAAGGAGAAAGGTTTCAGTTCCATTTT
Organism: Homo sapiens; assembly: GCF_000001405.40. Lineage (NCBI taxonomy): Eukaryota > Metazoa > Chordata > Mammalia > Primates > Hominidae > Homo > Homo sapiens. The sequence goes on along the minus strand of NC_000001.11, from coordinate 190,490,648 downwards.
TCTCTGGGAATTTTGGAAATGAACGACTCTTAATGGGTGCTGTTCACAGTATAGTACAAATTCTATTGTGTCATTTTAGAAAGAGAAGGGGACTGAAATAGCCCTACCATGTCTCTCACGGACTATGTATATTATGAAAAATATTGAAGTCTGTCAGAGAAAGATCATGCTAAACAGCTGCTTTTGGATTCAATGAGGTCTGAGAGTAGGACCAGACAGGTATAAACATGGAAATTTCTCCCAACATGATAACCTAAAGAAGGAGGCAAGTTTTACAAGAGGCCAGTGTGGCTAGAGGAGAGTGACTAAGGTAGATAAAATAATAATAGAAAAGGGAGAAAAAAAGATTAAATGTTTTAGGGCCTTGGCAGTCATGGCAAGGATTTTGGTTGTAGATATATGGAAACCTATTGCACATTTTGAGCAGAGAAGTTACGTGATTGATTTTCAGTTTAACCAGTTACACTATTTTCTGTTAAGCACAGAAAGAGTGGAATTGGGAAGGCAGAACAAGGTAAATAAGAATTTATTGGAATAAACCAAGTGAGAGATTACAGTGACTTAATGTGACTTGATTAATGTGTTACCAATGAAATGATTGAGCAGTCGTCGGGTGATAGATGTACTTTGCTGTCTTTCTCAAGAGGATTCATTGAATAATTGAGTGTGAGCTCTAAAAGAAAGACAGAAGTCAAAGGTTCTTTCAGATTTTTTACATAACCATCTGTAAGGATGGATTATTGCTAACTGATTTGGGGAAGAATAGAGATGGAACAGGTTTGAAGAGTGGGGGTACAGCAGCTGAATTTTAGACATACTAAAATTAGGATGGCTATTATGCTTCCAAGTGAAGTTGTTGATTAGTAAGTGGTATGGACTCTAGAAGGTCTGGGGAAAAGCACCAGCCTGAAGATGTAAATTTGGAAGTAATCTGTAGATTATATTGGAAATCATGAAAATAAATGAGACCCTGAAGAAGTTGAGTGTAGATATAAATATAAAGGATAAGTATTGGACCTTAGAGAATTTCAGCTTTAAAAATTCAAGATGATGAAAATAAATGAGAAAAGATGACTAAGAAGCAGCCAACCAGAGATGTAAAAGGAAAACCAAATAATTGTTTTGTTCTGGAAACAGATTAAGAAACTATGGAACGGTGTATTGTGTCAAATACTGTTAATTTGTCAAAGAAGATGCAGATCAAGAATGAATCATTGGTATATTTCAGCCATCTCCTGTGCTCCACCTACACATCCTGCTCTCTCCCACCACCCCTACCAACAAAACCCAACCACTGATCAACCACTGATTTTTTTATTGTCTCTATAGTGTTGCCTCTTCCAGAATGTCATATGACCACTTTCAAACAGGCTTCTTTCAATAAGCAATGTATATTTAAGTTTCCTCTATGTGTTTTTGTGACTTGGTAGTACACTCCTTTACTCATTGACTAACATTGTATTGTATGAATGTAGGATAGTTTGTTTATCCATTTGCCTTTTGAAGGATACCTTGGTTGCTGCCCATTTTGGGCAAATATGAAAAAAACTGCAGATATTTCTGTATACATATGTTTTAACTCATTTGGATAAATAAATAGCAAAGAATGTGGTGGATGAATTGGATAATAAAACTATGATCAGCTTTGTAAGAACCCGCCAAACTCTTTTTCAAAATGAATGTATCATTTGTCATTTCCACCAGCAAAATTAAGAGTTCCCCTTGCTCCACATCCTGTAACAATGTACTATTGTCTGTTTACTTGATTTTAGTAATTTCAATAGGTATATAGTGGTATCTCATAGTTCTTTTAATGTGCAATTCTTAATTACATACAATGTTGAACATATTTTCATATGCTTATATCATGTCAGCATATCTTCTTTGATAAAATTTTTTGTTCAGATCTTTTGCCCATTTTTAAACTGGGGTTTTTTGTTGTTTTTATTAAGTGTGTTCTTTCTATATTTTCATATCAATTCTTTATCAGATATGTGTTTTACACATATTTTCTCACAGTCTGTGGCTTGTTTTTTCATTCTCTTAACAATGTCTTTTTCAGAGCAGAAGATTTTAATTTTAATGCAGGGTAACTTAACAGTTTCTTTTTTCTTTTATGAACTGTGATTTTGGTATTGTATTTAAAAATTCATGATCAAACTCAAGGTCATGTAGATTTTCTTCTATCTTATATCCTAGAAGTTTTAGAGTTTTGTATTTTACATTTAGGTCTGTGACTCACTTGGAGTTAATTTATCATATAGATGTAAGATTTGTGTCTAAATTTATTTATTTTTGCATGTGGACATCAAGTTGAATGTTAAGTTTGGGCACGGGGATATTTTATGGGAACACTGAAGGTCATAGATATTTATTCACTTAACAAGTATTTATTAGGCACAAACTATGTACAGAGTTCATTCTAGATGTTGGCAAGGACTGGAATTCTCCCTATTACCTAGTAAGGTACCACCTATCAAACTTTCTGTTTTGATTCCTTCACATAAACAAATCTGAGGACCCCAACCTGCACCAAGTGTACAATCCAATGCTATGGTAATGTACATAACTAAGAATATACATAATACATAACTAAACTAAATAATGTTTTGGTCTGAGAATATCAATGTAGCAGATTGCTATCCATGTTTTCTTTTTCCTGGACACAAAGTTTGACTTCATTTTACAGCTTTTTATTTATTTATTTATTTATTTATTTATTTATTTGTTTGTTTGTTTATTTATTTTGTAGTTAGATGTGGCCATGAAAAGGTGTTCTCAGTGGAGTGTGAAGGGAAGTGATGTGGACCACTTCTGGAGCTGGCCCGCAAAATCTCCTAAAAGATCATCCACGCTCTCTCCCTCATTTACCAAATGCATAGAGAACATCAAAAGACTTCCTACAATGTTGGGTTAGTCAATGAAAAGCTACTGGGGTCCTAAATCACTGTGAATCAGACCACCTCACTCATCCTGCTGACGCAAATGAACCTTGCGTGAATACAAAATTAAATTTTATTTCTTTCTTATTTCTTATTTTTTTCTTTCTTTTTTTTTTCTTTTTTTTTAGACAGGGTCTCATTCTGTTACCTAGGCTGGAGTGCAGTGCCTCATTAAAGCCTTGACCTCCCCAGCCTAAGTGATCCTCCCACCTCAGCCTCAACCGGAGGTTGGGACCACAGGTGTGCACCACCAAACTTGGCTAATTTTTTTTTTTTTTTTTGAGAGATAAAGTCTCCCTATGTTGCCCAGGCTGGTCTCAAACTCCTGGGTTCAAGGAATCTTCCCTCCTCTGCCTCTCAAAGCACTGAGATTACAGGCATGAGCCACGACATCCAGCTAAGTTTTCTTTTCAGCAACTGAAGTTTGGAGTTGTTCATTACAACACTTAACTTATATGGACCAGATCATTCATCCGGCCTCAACTGCTGCCTCTTAAACTCTAAGGAAACCCCTCCTGCCAACAAATGCAAGAAATAGATAACAATCTTATATGCTTACAGAAGCTAATAAGTAAACAAAAGGCGTGAAGCATGCTGGATGTATGGCTGAGGAGATCATATGCCTAGGCTAAAGACAGCAGCAATCATTTAAGGATAGTTTCATTATTTTTTTTGTTTTGTTTTCATTATTATGACAGTGTTAACAGTTGGCAGATACTTGGGGTATGTGCCTTTGGTTGTCTTATTCAGCACTTTTTTCTAGGAAGTGCTTGGCTCATAGATCACAATCAATATTTTTTTTTCTTTCTTATAAAAGGATGATTGATTATGTAAATTAAATATAGGAGGCAGTTTTAAAAACCTTTATATTTGTCAGTATACTCCTCTTATCCTCTAACTAGGACATAAATAATGTAACTTACTTATATTTACATCCTTGTAACATTTAAAATCTTGCTTCTTATATGTAATACTATCAATAAATGATTGTTGAATAAATGCTCAATAAATATTTGTTGAATTGACTTTTAGACTTGGTCTCTTTCCATAAATAAGAAATGAATTCACTTTATATAGTCTTTTAAAATTACTTTTGTCTATAAATTCATATTTTCTCCTCAGAGGCAAAACCGTAAAATCAATGTGAAGGATTGTTTTTCATCCTCCTACAAAGTATGTATTTCTTTTGAATAGGAAATACAAGCATTAGAGAGATTTAGAGATCCCGAGAGGATTGGCAATCAAGTAGCTTAGTTCTTCTTTATTTTCATTAAAGGGGTGAAAGGCCTTTGGAGTTCATGAGACACTAAAATTAATGATGCATTCTAATTAAGTAAATGTTCAGTTCCTTTTCTTAATTACAATACTGTACAAAAACGTAAGAAGAAAAGGTCAATTTGCTTCATATCAATCTCTTCAATAAAAATAAAAGTCCTCCCACTCCCTGCCAGTCATTCTTTGGGTGGTCTCATTTTAAATCTCAAAAATTTTAAAATATTTTGCTAATTATTAGCAGCTTCTGTATTTAATTTTATTGTGTTTAGTGTCTTTTCTTCATACCAAGGTTAGTACATTTCACATAATCTTCAAATTTAATGAACATTATGCACTTTCTCACAGCTATGTCAATATTTGTTGTACCTAAGTCAGCATGTATTTTGTGCTAATATGTGTGAGGCTATACGCTAAATGTTATATTCTAAATAAATAAAATTATGTAATACTATATATCTTTAATTCACTAGTTAATTTCTAGAAAGTAGTGCTATGTCTATTTTTCCCTACTCTGATTTCCTATCCATCCCTCATGTAAAATGAATAGGAAGAATCAACTTTGTTGTTATTTTTTTCGGGACAGAGTCTCACTCTGTTGCCCAGGCTGGAATGCAGCAGTGTAATTATGGTTCACTGTAGTCTCAACTTCCTGGGCTCAATCAACTCTACCGCCTCAGTCTCCTAAGTATCTGAGATTACAGTGCACACCAGCATGCCTGGCTAATTTTTGTATTTTTTGTAAAGACCATGTTTTGCCATGTTGCCCAGGCTGGTCTAGAACTTCTGGGCTCAAGGGACCCTCCCTGCCTAGACCCTCCAAAGAGTTGGAATTCCAGGTGTCAACAACTGTGCCCAGCCTCAACTCAGTTCTTGACTCATGAAAGATGGTGATTTGCTCAGTACCTGGAGGAATGGAATGGCGAGGAAGCAAGAGTTTGCTGTTAAATCATCTAGTTCCTAGAGAAGAAAGAACATACTACTTATGTTCTACTCTGTTCATGAGTATTAGTTTCCCATTGCTGCTGTTACAAATTACCACAAGTATAATGACTTACAGTAACATAAATTGTATTAGTTTGCAGTTCTGGAGGTCAGAAGCCTAAAATGGGCCAGCAATGTTTCATTTCTTCTGGAAGCTCTAGGGAAGAATATTCCCTTTTCCAGATTCTAGAGGGCATCCTGCCTGCATTTCTTGGCTACTCTCCTCACTTCTCCCAATCACTCCACCAATGCTTCTGTCCTCACATCTCTGACTCTTTCATTCTACCTCCCTCTTGCAAGCATGCTTGTGATTACATTGGGCATTTACAGCTGATCTAAGATAACTTCTACATCTCCAGATACTTAATGTTTTAACATTTGCAAAGTCCCTTTTGCCACAAAAGGGAAGTTATCACAGGTTCTGGGAATTAGGATGTGGACATTTTGGGGGTCATTATTGTTTCTACCACACCCATACTAGTTAATCATTAAAATCCAGTTACAAGGAAAGATTGTAAGGAAGTTATATCTTACCATTTCCTTGAATATTCTCATATTTATTATTTTTGTAAGTTGTTTCAAAAATTGTACGTATATATATATGCCTATCAATATGCATAAATTCATATATCTACTATGCCAATGAATATATTTTAGTCACTACACTAATAAATAAATGTTGGTGGTACAAATAATTTAAAGAATAATTATTTTTGTTAATGTCAAAAAATGTTAATTCTGAGAACTTTGAGTAGCAAAATGTTAAATAATTATAAACTAACAGTTTTATAATTCAGCTTATGATACTACAAACATTTCACTCTTCCTTAAATGTATTTTACTTGCAAGAAGTTGACACATGAAGAATGTACACTTATATATATAACTTGTTAGTAAAATTATATGACGTTTTCATCATATTTCTTCAACAAACTAGGAAATACAATACAGTGAATAAAAAGAATTCAACAATGTCTTTTAGTAATTTTTAAGAGCTGATTGTTTGCATCTTCTCAAAATTTGTATGTTGATGCCCTAGTCTTCAGTGTGATGGTATTTTGAGGTAAGGAATTAGGGAGATAATAAGGTTTACAGTGGAACATAAAGGTGGGTCCCACATAATAGCATTGGTGCCCTTAAAAAGAAGAAGTTATCTTTCTCGACCACCTCCCCCTCCTCTACTTTCACACACCTATGAAGTCATGTGACCACACAGTGACAAGGAAGCTATCTGCAAACCAGAAAGCAGGCCCTCTGTAGAAATCAAATCAGCTGGCACTTTGATCTTGGAATTCCCAGCCTATGTTGTTTAAGCCACCCTGTCTATGGTATTTCCTTGTAACAGCCTGAATGAGCAGACTAAGATAGAAATTAGTAACAGTGCTTCAATTTCCTCATATCTCACTTCTCTCATATTAAGATAAAATACTAAGTTACTTCACAACATGGTGAAAGGATTAAATTAATATGGTGAATAGTAAGGTATTTATAAGACTATAAAGTCTTGTGCAAAGGTCATGATTTCTAATATACTTTGGTTTATTAGGCCAAATGTATGTCAAATATTCCAAAAGTTTTTTGAATAATGCTGTAATTTAATAACAATATTTTTAAATGCTGGATACAAATTAAATGCAATAAACCTTTGCAAGAATGTTAAAGAGGGAAAAATTGATGAAGTTCTTAGTTTCATCCATTAAATTAATATTCATTGAGCTCCTTCTCTATGTAAGGAGATGTGCTAGGTGGTAGTGATACAAAGTCACTGAGTTGAGAATAAAAACATAATCATGGTTCCTTCTTCATGGAACTGAGAGTTGACAGTATGTGCTTTGAAATAGGTTAAGCTCTGCCCCCCAGTTATACGCATGTGAAAACTATTTTTTTTTTCTTCTTGAGAAGGAGTCTTGCTCTATTGCCCAGGCTGGAGTGCAGTGGTGTGATCACGGCTCACTGCAGCCTCTGCCTCCTGGGTTCAAGCAATTCTCCTGCCTCAGCCTCCCAAGTAATTGGGATTACAGGTGCCTGCCACCATGCCCAGCTAATGTTTGTATTTTTAGTAGAAAGGGGGTTTTGCCATGTTGGCCAGGCTGGTCTCCAGCTCCTGACCTCAGGCAATTCGCTTGCCTTGGCCTCCCAAAGTACTGGGATTACAGGCAAGAGCCACCGCGCATGGCCTGAAAACTAATTATTAATCACACAAAAACACACACAGCAATACAAATGCTACTGAAATATGGTTCTAGAAATGCTTCTATAAAGCACTAATTTTTCAGATTAGTGCAAAAATTTAAATTTTAAAAGCATACACTGCAGACATTTTAAAATGTTTGATTTGATTCTATGTTCATCTTGTTTAATCCAGTAATGATAACCCTTTTGAAGTGATGATTAGTGCCAAATAGATCTTAATGTTGATATTCTACTTTAGAATTGCCATTTTCAAAACAAAAATGGCTTGTATGTAACACACAAATATTGATGTATATGAAAACACTGGTATGGCTCAAACTACTCCAGAACACTGAACCTTCCAAAATAGTTGAAGTCTTGTAGCTTTTATTCAAATTAGAAACTATTTTTATACTAATGGAACATGTGGTGAGATTTTTTTGTTTGTATGTTTTACATAATGTTTCCATTAAAAGATGTTGTCTTAGTCTCTGCGTTTCTTTCATATTGTGTGTGTGTGTTTCTGTGTGTATAGTTTCAGATATGTATTAGAGTCTAATTAAACTTCTTATTTTGAGAGGACAGCTTTCCTCTTGGAACAATCCTATTTCTACATTTTTAGGGAATTTAAAAAGTAGAGCAGACAGGTGACATGACGGAGTATGACACTGCAGGTGGTTGAAATTATCGACAGTTTATATACCATGAGGGAAAATAGTCTAGGGAACAGCAACTCAATGAGTGTACAAAAAGAATACTGACTATATATATATATACACGTATATATATGTGTATATATATGTATATATACACGTATATATATGTATATATATACGTATATATATGTGTATATATATGTATATATATACGTATATATATGTGTATATATAGTATATATATATACACATATATATGTGTATATATATGCATATATATATACACATATATATGTGTATATATGTGTGTGTGTGTATATATATATATATATATACACATATATATATATATATTTTTTTTTTTTTGAGACAGAGTCTCACTCTGTTGCCAGGCTGGAGTGCAGTGGCAAGGTCTTGGTTCACTGCAACCTCCGACTCCCTGGCTCAAGCGATTCTCCTCAACCTCCTGAGTAGCTAGGACTACAGGCACGTGCCACCACACCCAGAAAAATTTTGTATTTTTAGTAGAGACAGGTTTTCACCATGTTGGCCAGGATGATCTCCATCTCCTGACCTCGTGATTTGCCCGCCCGCCTCGGCCTCCCAAAGTGCTGGGATTACAGGTGCGAGCCACCGCACTATGTCTAAGAATACTGAAGATATTTTCTGCAAAGGTAAATTACATGAAATCTCCAATCATGGGAAGGCGGCGGAGTGGAGGATAAAATAAAGCAGGGGAATAAAAGTTTTCTACAATAAAGAGTATTAGTTATCAACAAAATGGACTCTAAAAAGACTGGCTACTATTTATTCATCTTTGTACTACTTTCTCTTCCTTTCACTTATTTCCTAGGCCCCCTCTCAAACAATGCCTGTCTTAGTAATAGAATGTAACTAATATAGAATGAACACTAGCTAAGAAGTTAATAAACCTGCATTTAAAGTTCCTTAGGTTATTAGTTAGTGTATGATTACACTAATCATTTAACCTCTCTGGTTCTTAACTTCTTCATCATCATGAGTGATAAGATTAAATGTTCCTTAATGTCCATTCAAGTTCCAACACACTTTTTATGAGACTTGAACACATTAGCCCCAGTTTATTTAGCAGCATTATTGATCTTACAAAATAAAATGTGAAGATTCCTGCATACACAGGTATTTTTAAAACTTTAGACTCTTTCAAAGAGAAAACTCTAAAAGCAAACATAGCAGAGATGAAAATGAATAAATATAAACATTTTATTGAAATTAATTATATGTGCATAAATGTGTGGGTCATGTTTGACTTTCTTTGCTATGCAAATAATAGTCTCAATTTATTTATCTTTATATAATCCGTTTTTGTTACAAGTTAGATTTAATGTTAAAATCACCTGAATCATATCAACATTTTGCTTCCCAGGCAAATTGCTTTCCAATTTCTGTAATAAAATGTAACTTGAATATTGCTTTTAGATTAGAAATTTTAGTGGGTTAATAGGTAAGAAAAAGAAAAAAAAAAAAAAGAAATATATTAGTTGGTTCTCATACATAGCTCTTATAAGAAGGCAGCACCAGGATGGCTAACAAAAGCATTACCAATAATATAAAATATACTAAAGTATTAGCTGCAAATATGCACCGTGATTATCTAAGAAAGACATTTTCAACATAAAATTAAAATGCATAACTTTTGGAGCAATCTAAGTATAAACCAGATTTGTTCTGAAGGTAAAAGGCAGCTAGGAGATATAAAGCCTATGGCTTCATGAAGGAGTTGATCAAATGTAACCATATGAATTAGTATAGTGCTCAAATACTTAAATTGTTAAATAAACTTTAAATGCTGTAAACACTTTTAAAGTTCATGAACTATGGGTCACAAAATTAATATTCTTGTTATCCTTTTTTTTTCAAATTTTTAAGAACAGCAATCACACATTTATTTCACATATAAAATAAAAATCTGAATGTTACATTTTTCCAATTTAAGTCCGGGTGGGTCCTCAATAAACAAATGCATTTCTCTGAATAGCAAATTATGTAAGTAGCTTTAGGCAGCATACCAAAGTCTTATGTGAAAAGTATGCTCTCTAACTCTCACAATTGTTAAGGTTTATTTGCAATGAAAGTAATTCAGAATTTTCATCCTCTTTATGTGAACCTCAGATCCTCTTAGCAGCATTTGCCAGCCTCTCTAAAACACAGAGACATACACAGACATCATCCTCTTGTTAAAATGAGACATCAGAAGAAACACTTCTGCTCTAGGACATCATTAGAGCTGGACAACAGCCTGAGGAGAGAAAGAAAAAAGTGTTATACCAACATGCCCTTAGTGAATTTTTTTTCTCTTGCAAATGTTGATGGCTATAAAGACTATATAGATAGTTGAGAACAAACATATTTTGTCTTGCAATATGCCACTTGACTACCTCTCTTCTGAAATTTTATACTACTGATTTCTAGAATACTGATTTTCTAAAATGAAGTTTATCTTACCAATAACATTTTAGTATTATACATTTCAGATGATTTTTCAGTCATCCTGTTTTCATCAGGAATGCATTTTGTGCCAATTAGCTTATTCTTTGTCATTAAATTTAGAGGATAATAAATTGCAGTAGGATAATAACAATAGACAAGAAAGTTTAATTTAAATGTTTTACCAGTAAAATATATTTTATAATTAAAAATGCAATGATTTTTCTGAGAGCAAATCTCCCTTAATTTTGTGCATCAAAAATGGTCAGCTTACTCTTGAAAACCAAGTTCACACAATTTGCAAAACATGTTATTCTCTACACTTAATGACATATGATGTAAGCACAATCAAGAGCCGTTTGGCTTCTTCCCTACTGCTACACCAATCCACTCTTCACATTGTGAGCGTGCACAGGCTGGGGGTGCTAGAGACTCATGGAAAACCAGAGGGCTTTATGAATTTGTAGTACCACCACAATATGCCATTGTGGATACTACTAATTTGTATCTGGTGCAATAATTGGAACCGAGATGCACATTTAATAAGTGGTTTCTATAGCTTTAATATACCTGCGAAATGTGAAAAATAACCATTCTTAATTTTGGAACTGAAATTGTATTTCAGAACATGGCCAAGACATACTAAAAGCATAGACATGAGCCCACTACCTAAAACTCTTTTCTTTATTTTCAGAAAGGAAAGACAGTTAGTAGGAAATAAGGGAAATACTTAAATACCACTTTTGGAAACAAACAGGGATTTAACTGCTTTATCTGTCTTTGAGTTTTTAATGCAGGATATAAAGGACCTTAAAGCGTTCATATTGTCTCCTTAAAACCCTCTACTTCAATTTCACCCTTACAAGCTACTACTCTCCTAGGGAAGAGGAAAAAAAAATTTCCACTGACCCAGCTCGTGATTTACATACAGAGAGCAAATAAATGAATGGAGTGGGGGATGGGGCAGTGAGAAGCAATCTGTTTCTTTTTCAACCGCAGAAAATAAGATTACTTACCAAGAACATTTTTATCCAGGGCAAATGTTTATTCCCTCTATCATTCAGCGCCTCAGTCTCTGCAAGAAATCAATTTCCACTCTACCTTTCCCTCCTATTTCTAAAAAAGAGAGTGAGGCGGATAATTCTTAAGCTTCGGGGTCCGGAGGAAGATAGAGCTAGAGCGGAGGGCAAAAGACTCCCACAGCGCTCTTTATACAGATCCCAGCTCTGAGAGCGAACCCATGGGGAGGGGGCGGGGGATCATCTCTAAGGAGAGTACTCCGAGTAGGGAGGGGGATTCATTCTGCAGCCAAAATATAAATCATCTACAAACAGATTACTAGCCTCTCAGTCACACAGGCAGTTCCCTTGGGAAACCGGTTTCAAAGAGGAAGAAGTTCCTGGAGAGAGAGAGAGAGAGAGAGAGAGGGAGGGAGAGAGAGAGAGAGAGAGAGACTGGGGTTTGGACTTGCAGAGGGAATGGGGCCAAGGAGAGGAATAGGGAGAAGGAATAAAGCTAATCTTACCGATCGATCAGGCGATCGTTTGTTCAGTATTGGGACACGAAAATGGCAAGATAATGCATTCGGCAGCAAAGCCATTTCTGGCACACTCTCTCTCAGTTACTGCAGGAATCAGAGGGGAAGCGGGCGCCTCGAAACCTACCACTTGCTCCCCAGGGACCGTCCTCAGAACCTCCAAAGCTCTAGCTTCTAATGCAAGGCGTTCGGAGCTGAGGGTTCAGGTGGAAGTCAATTGTCTTGAGTCACAGGCAGCAGGAACGCCAAAGAAGTGGGACCTGGGAGGGCTGCTGCCGCCGCTGCTGCATCTAACCACGGTTCCCCGTCCCCTTGCCTAAGCCTCACCGGCACAGCGCCCCCGAAAGCGCCTAGCGACTCGGCCTCCTCCGCATCTTCAGCCCTTCGATCACCGCCCGCACCCCCCACCCCCCACCGCCTCGTGCAAATCGCTGATGATTTGGTCATCGTAATGTGACCGGTCGTAGTGGTTTATTTGGGGAGTGGGGGAATTGGTTGTGTTGGGCTTCCTTACTACGCCTCCCTCAGTTGCTGCAAGTGAAAATGTTCAAGGGAAATACTAGTGAAATGCACTGATGGAATACTATTAATCCTAATGATAATGGTCCCAACGCAGGTAACTCTTAAAGAACTGAGAGTGGGAAGATCAGAGCAGGATTTCCGAAGTGGTGCCCTCTTGAATTCTCATTGGATCCTCCCCAGCAGCCTAAATCATTCTTGCTGCTATATCTATCAGGATGACTACAGCCTTGCTCACTAGTTCTCTCTTTATCTCGTTGTCTTCAACACATCCTTTTACTTCTCTTTGCAGATTTATCTGTATTCCACCTCCTGTTCTCTGGGGTTACACAGCTTCTGCCTTTCCCCACTGTATGGGGATGTGCAGCCTGTAAATTTTCACTTTGCTTAAGGATCACCACGAATCACCCCCCACCATTCCCCACCCCCCCATATAAAGCATTTTCACATTCTGCTTTCTTGCCTTGGGGGTTCGTGGCTCTCTGTGTAACTGGTTTTTACTTGGTTACATGCCACCAGGAACTGCTGATTATTTTAAAGTCCTACTACCCTGCAGCTCACTACTTTACCTTGATTTGGAAGATCATGGAATATCTATTTGAATCCTGGATGTATTTTTCTCACAGTCTTCTTGCTTCCTGAAATTTCCTCTGGTAAGTTATTCTCTTTATCTGTTACTAGAAACTTAACTATTGCTATTTTTAATAAGCTCTGTTTTGTTGAAGTATTTCATTTTTCACATTTTTGTTACTTTCAGAACTGAAAGATCCATATGGCCATATTTATTAATTAGTATGTTAGTGGCAACTGCACTGCTAAGACATAACCCATGTAATGTATTACCCCAATATCCCATGTATTACCCCAATATCTTTTACCTTCTTTATTTTTAAAATATTTGTCCTCATTTATATTATGGGTTACACGGACATTAATCGCCCCCACCCCCATTAACCCTTCTTGGCACACATTCCTGTGCCATTTGAAATGTCACATTTTATAGGTTTATCTAAGAGAGAGCTTAAAAGAGACCTTCTGACAATTGCAAGGTCTGGAAAGTTCGCTAGTCGGATATTCAGAAGGTTGTTCAGGTCAGCATTTGTTCATGATAAGCAATTACATGACTGAAGGAAGACTTTGTTGCAAAGTGTATTTTTATGAATTTAGCAAGACCTTAAGCACTAAAATGCCACTGAATGGTAGGAAGAGGACTGTGAGTTTTGAGGGCACCATTTTTTTTTCTTAAAATATTTCAAATCACACATAAGCACGTTATTTTAGGCATTGTATTTTAATTCAGGCATAGTATTTGTCAGTACATTTCTGATTTTGTGAATTAGCTGGTGAACAGTTAATTGGACACAGAGTACTCATTTCAGAGAGGAGCAATCAGAAGAAACCCCTGATTATCTTGGTTCTGATAAATTGAAATTCAAGAATAGACTTTACATGAAAAATTTAATTGCCTCACTCTTCATACTTGTCTGCCCCCAACCCTTGTGTTTAATAGGCATGTTAATATGGTCAGTGCCTTTTGCTTTTATGAACATTTCTATGGACTTAACTGACAAGATTATCACCTCCTCTTCCGTATAGTTGTGTTGAGAAACATTTTAATCTTTACTTTTACTTCACAATTGACACATAATGAGGAAAGCACGATATTCATTAAATGCCAAACCTGCATGTATCGGTAATTTTTAACACCCACTGAGGGTTTTCTCTGAACATCCGCCCCCCGCCCTCAAATTAAGGACAAGTTCCTGGTCTCTACAACATTTCCTTTTCTTGGGATACATGGAGGTAAGAACCTATTGTTCACGCTTTTCTTTTCCTTTTTTTTTTTTTTAATTTCTGGGAAATAACTATTCTTGTCGTCATTGATGGCTGACGCGACAACCCAAGCAATGTTTTTTTAAATTCAAAAGCCCTTTTAGCTCCCAGACATAAAAGTACTCCAGCTGCAGCGTCGCCCCATCCCCCCGTCTCGGGATTCAAGGGCTTTTCCCCCTTGACTCCCACCGAGAGGGAACGGGGGTTGAGACTGTGGTCCGCACCACTTGGCGCCCCTCACCCGTCACTAGGTCACTAGTTTCTACCTGGTCTCTTTCCCAGTCCGGTCGTCCTGCCTGACAAGCCAGTGCCATCAGAGTCCGTGACTTCATTTGAAGAAAGGAGGGCTTCATATAATTCAATTCAAACATTCTCTTTGGAGGACTGCTGTTGTTGCGCAAGGGTGGAGGGAGGAAAAAAAAAAGAAAAAGAAAAAAAAAACTTTCAGTACAGTCAGATCCAGTAAGGAACAGACAGTCAGTATTTAGGTAAGTGCGTTTTGCTGTATTATACCTGAAGCTCAAGCGTGTGAAAGGGAAATTTACATCTGAGGGGCTCCCGCTGCCAAGAACGTTTTAACTGGAGGGTTATCAACAGGCGACTCTGCGTGGAGATTTCTCCGCAGCTCACGGCAACGCCTATGCCACCTGAGCTCAGGGAACGGAGGAGAGCAAGGTGCCTGGTTGACCAGCTGGCCCCAGGCTTGGTGTTGATGTGGGAATAACCCATGCGTGTAGGAAAGGTGTCCCCTACTCTGACCTGCTAGCTCAGGCTCTGCACTCAGCCCCTGCAGCGAACGTGTGCTTGGTGTGGGCATTTGCAGCCCCATAGAGTGGGGTGCGCCAGGGGGTTTCCATCCTTCCAGAATGCTCCATTTCCAACCTTCCTAAGCCAAACTTGAGCAAACCTCTTCTGTATGAGAGAATAGACTTAAGATCTCTGGAGTCTCTTAGTACCTTTTTGCGTTAATATTTATTTATTTTAATGAGCTATATTTAACGTTAGTAAACGACGATTCCTCAGAATGCCTGCTTTATAAAACCCTAATCACTGTCCTTGTCTGACTGCGAAGTAGGGTTTAGAACTGTTGAATGACTTCTTAGGCTCTGTGTTAAAGTATTATTGCTGACGGTCACTCCTTCCTTTCCTTCACCAACTCCCAAGAATCTGGAGGGCGGTGGGGAGAGCGGAAGAGAGTTAGATTTCAACTTGAAGCTAGAGCTTGGAATATAAGGTTGAAGTTAAAAGCAAAGAGTGAGGGTTTGGAATCTGTCTAGCTTATATTATACCCACTTTAAAGTTGGCCTTTTATTTTTATTTTCCTCTTTCTGGAGGTGGGGGTGGGAAGTAGGAAGATCTGGGACTGGGAGCGCTCTCTTCCAGAGTCCACCGGAGAGGGGGTGGTGCTTCTTGGCCGCTGGTTACTGCTGGTTCCACAGCCAAACAGTGACAGAGAGTTTAAGTCTCTGATGGCTGTTCTCCTAGTCCCCAAGAGTTGAACCGGAGAGGCTTTTACTTTGCACCAGGTCGAGAACGTGATCAGCCCTTTAGAGAAGGAACCTCCTTGTAACAGGAATTCTGCTGGGAAACGCCGTGTAGGCACTACCTCCGAAGATAAGATGCATGTTTGGAGCTGTGTAAAATGCCCACTGGCTGTTTGAAAGAAGGAAAAGGTGACTAGGGTTGCAAATTAACCTTAGTATCACTTAAAAATATTCTATCTAGTCAAATGTACGTAAGCAAAGAAGAGAGCACCAGGATATAAAACTGCCACAGCAGCTTGGAAGACAGATGATTCAGATTTTGGGGACTTTCTTTTGCGTGTTACATAGATTTGTTTGTCATCATGCAGTTAAGCAGGTAAGGAATGAATGTATTTTCTTGACAATCATATAACTTGTGTTTTACTATCGTGATGTTTTTTCTGTGTTGCAAGCAATGGAATATATGCATTTTCAGTTGGTCCTGCTATGATGCATAACTTCTTAATATTCACATTCACGAAACAGGGTAAAACAGTTTAGATGTTTAACATGCATTAATTTAACTGCTTAGTGTGCATTTATTTAAATGTGTAGCCATGTTACAAAAATCAGAAACTGGACCAAGGTTAGAGGAAGAAATGGGAAGGGTAGAGAGTTAGAAGAAGAAATGTATAATCTTAATAAAACATGGAAGATGGCAGTTGCAGAAATGCATTAAAAACATTGCTTCTTCTTAAGGTCCCAGACCTTAATATATAAAGGACAGGTGAAGAACTATTAAGGGTTTCTTGAACTATCAAATTAATTCTGACTACTCGAGAGAACTGTTTTGTAGGTATTTCCATTATTTTCTCCACCTTAAGAAAAAATACATGAGGTGGGGGTGGGTTGGGTTGTAAAATAGAAGGAAAAAAGAAGAAAGCTTGCCCAAGGGCAGTGTAGCGTACAACCCCAGTATGAAAATCTTTGGGTTTAGAAAACCAGTTGGAAAACTGAAAAAAAAAAAAAAATAGAAAATTATGGGTTTTCTTCCCCAAATAAATTTATTTTACATTTTCAGTTTTGTAGATTGAGCAGCCAATAGATTTCTTCCACTATCAGATTTTTCTCAATTAAAATGACAAACACATTCTGAATACTCAAATAAGCTTTGTTATTATTATTGATATTGTTTTGTTATTTTTTGCTAACATGTTGAAGGAGCCTGGACTTTCCACACAGTGAAGCAAAAAAAAAAAAAAAAGAGAAAAATTACTAAAACACCATCATAAAACTCTTCTATTTGTTAATAACACTTTCTCTTCTCTAAGAAATTGTATTATTTAAATTATCTCTGGAAATAGTTTTAGTACTTATATTTATTGATGTAGATCCCTGATCAATAATTTTTCTGCTAGTATGGCTTACTGATAAAACCTGGAAGAAATAAGAAAGATAATTGTAACTTTGGGTTGTAAAATTGCAAAGTTGTAGTGCTTTTCTTAGTTGGATGCAAAAGGTAGTTTTTCCTCCACTAGGGAAAGTAATTTGTCAATGAATTCTAATTCCCTAATACTTTTGCATTTAATCCTTAGCAATTTTATTGTAGTAGATATGCTCATTGTGTATATATGTTTGTGTGTGTGTATACATATATATTTGTATACATGCACACATTTTTGGTGGTGGGAGAAGGTATTTATTTTAAATCTATGTTGTTTTAATAATGTTTTCCAAATGAAATAGACATGATACCATATAACGATCAATTTCATTTTCTTTTAATCAGATAATATTACGTGATTTCATCCTCTCATAGGATATCTTATCTTAAGAAATTCATCATCATCATAGAAATGTACATTTTCATAAACTACAATACATCTTGATTTTCTCCATGCAAAGTTATTGTACATTATAATTAAGTAAATAAAACCTAAGTAGGAAGAAACCATTGGGACTCAAAGTGTGTGTGTGTGTGTGTGTGTGTGTAATTTCTACCATTATCTTGACTCCTAGATTTGAGGATTCTTTAAATAAAAGTGTATTTATTTGCAGTGTAGTGTATTTGTGGGTTTCTCTCCACAAGTACAAAGAATGCAACTGTTGGGATTTCCAAACTTTTATGTTTCATTATCAACCTATGATTCAGTTTCTTATGTTTCCTGTATTTATTTTTAGTTTTTCCACATTATCTTTAAAAGAGGCAGTTATTTACTAGAATAAGAGTCTGAAACATTTTGTAATTTAGCAAATTGCATATTAATATTAAAAGAGTTCAGACGCAAATTGGAATATGACACCAACTTGTGTTATCTTTGTTTTGCACACATATTGTTTTTAGAAAAAAAATATTTTTTCTTGAAAAATATCCCAAAGATTTTTGGATATTATGATTGTGTGCTTATGATTAGTGATGTTCTCTTCTAAGGCTTTTAATGTTTTTTTCTTTCACATCGTAATAAAGGGTTATTGGGAAAAGTAGAGTGCTTGTACACGTAGACTTCCTTCCTGAATTTCAGTTCTAGTTCTACCTGGCATTAATGTACTCCTGGTAAGATTTCTTGACCACTCTTCATTTATTTTTCTCATCTCTCACATGGAGGAAACAATGCCTACCTCAGAGAGTTGTACATAAAATGACATAAGAGATATGGATGCTTTAAAAGGACAAATATGTTATGAAAACAAAATATATTTTTCAAGGGATACCATGTAAGTTTGAATTTTTAATTAGACATTTTTGATAAACTTGTATCTCCACACAATAAACAATGTTGACTCAACTTTTTTTTAATGCTAGTATCAAATCTTCTTGGTCAGTGGTGTTATGGTGTCAAATGAATTTAATAAATATTTGATATTGATTAAGTATAACAGTTTCAATATGTGTAATTTAAAAAGCTTGAAATAATACACTTCCTGAGGCATATTAGTTGTTATTTATAGTATATTTACCTTTGCTTTTATTCAGTTTGGGGTACAGTCACCTTTACAAAATAGTTGCTTTTGATTGGTTTCTCATTGTTATTTAATAGAAAGGACATCTGATTTCTTAGCAGATTTATATTGTCAACCTGATGATCTCTACTCTTAATTGGGAACAAGATTAAAATATTTTCATGTAATCATTTAAAAATGGAGAAACTTTAGACAGTCAAACTTCTAATTTCCAATGCTTTTTACAAACTCATATAAAGTTTACTAGAATTAATTAGGATGACATCCGGCATTTTTGGTGTTTTAATTTAGCAACTACTTGGATAAACTTATTTAGACACTTCGAAGTATAACTCTGTCCACTTTCTTCATGCACTACTATGTGTTCTGTATAACTTTATTATTTTAGTGTTAATAATTCATAATTTTTAAAGGAAAGCAAAATAACAAATAATCTATGTGAATATTATTGATTGCTAATGGATAATCTTAGTTGCTAAAAGGAGGAGGATAGTTTAATAATATTTATTCTATTTTAGGAAATATTCTATCCTGTTTTTTGAAAATGAGCCTCTGAGTATAAAATTTAATAATGAACACTAATGACCTTTCTACTGAAGATATACTTGGAAGTCCTGGCCAAGTTCTTAATTTTTTATTTTTTAATAGCATCAAATAGCCACCATAACGATTTTATACTGGTTATGAAATATCCTCACAAAGAACTTTGAAGGTTTCTGCCCCTATCTTTTCAAAGCATAAATATAAGCTAGCAAGAATATTTGTATCCAATTACTCACCTGCAGACCTATCCAATTACAAAGTCTTCATAATTACTTTATAAGCTTACTTTATAAGCCTTTAATCCACTCCTCTACACTTAATGTTTAAAATAAAGTATTCATTCATACAGTTCTGGAGCATTTCCCAATTTCATACTCAAAATAACTAATCAAGAGTAATTAATTGATGCTCTAATAATTGCAATAACTCAATTATGATTTACTAATCAATATCTTTTCCCAAAAATTGAAAGATATAGCATAAATATTTATAATGAGTCGATTGGATTACTTGATGTTTTATCATGAAATACATGTTTGTGTTCAAATTTTGAAATGTTTATATTCAACCATGATTGTATCAATTGAGATGGTGAAAAATGACATGCAATCTACTAAACTGAGAAATCTTATAGATTCTCATTCTTCTATTTCATTGTTATTTTCAATAATCACTATTCATAATTTGTCAATGTTTTATTGTTCAAGTTTAGAGTTAAAAAGTACCCTCAGTGCAACCTATTTTTACTATTTTTTTATAAGTATTTGTTTTAATGCCTAAACCCTAATTAACTCAGATGAGATGTGGTTGCCTTTAAAAGCACCCAAAGCAAAACAAATTCCTTTTAATAGCTAATAAAGTAGCTACCATATTATAGTTCCAGCAAATTAAATCTATAAAGTACACATTTATTGATTAAATTAATAAATACATGAACATTACATTAGAATTTATTATAGTTCTCTGCCATGTAAGAATTATTCTCTCATAATGGTGTGTTTCATTTATATTCCATTATAGATTTATTGTGAAAGAATACTTATAGATAGACTTATTTTTCCTGATTTCTGTGAGTATTAGCCAAGCTCATCAGGATTAAGCTTTTTTTTATTAACTTTTCTGGACTGTTGCATTTGTTAATTTTAAAAGCTATCTCTAAAATATTGCACTATTAAAAAACAATCTAGAGTTGGGAAGACCAGAATTCAGTAACCATGCATTTTAGATTTTTCAGTGTCAAATAGTGGCCAGTATATAACTACAATGTTATTTTACAGATTCATTAAATTCTCACTGTCACTAATAACAAATATTTTCTTTGAAATGTTTCAGATGCTGTTCAAAAATGTAAGCCAGTCTAAAAAATGTGATTAAATTAAATCAAAAACTAAATTTAGCCATTAAAGCATGAGTTTATTCAAATATCATATTAAAAAGCACATATCTGCATGAAGGTTGAGTATGATTGGGTTCTATATAATACCTTATGCATATATTTTTAAGACAAATTTTTTGTAACTGCTTTTAAATATTCAATTTAATGTTGCTCACCAAAGCCCCTTCTGTTATAGCTAAACTAAATATAGAACAAAAATTAATAAAATCAGGAAGTTCCTGGGATAGATAATAAGTAAAGTGGTTTTCATGACTTTAGTATGGTAATATTTCTGATGGTTTGAAACGTCAGCCCTGTAAATGTATATACACAGAAGAAATACTGTTTTTTTCAGACATGAACACTTCTTAAATAATTATAAATACACTCTAAATTGGTAGAAGAAAAATTATGAAAAATTGAATAAATTATGCAGCAAAGTTGCACAAAATACTATTTTAAGATAATTAATGCTTGCTTTCTTAACATTTTTGCATATAACGCCAAGCATGTTAATACATAGATCAAGTCTAGCTTATTGAAAATATTAAAATTAAATGACTATACTTGAGTTTACAGTAATAGAATTTCTTATTATTCATCCAGACCAGTTCACTAATATATAAAGACACAGTAATAGTACATTTTATAAATGTGGTAAGTAATATTGTCAAGATTATACCAAACAATAATGAGGAAGAAGACTATATGTTTCAAAATGGAGTAATTTAGAAGAAAATGAATTATCAATGATTAGTACCAACAACTAGAAAGTGTAATTTTTTCCTAAATATCAATTTTACTCCAAAGAGAGTTTTTTAAACAACTTGTTAATTTTATTAAAAGAAATTTATGGGTAAACAATTATGAAGAAATCTGTGCTTATCAGATGTATAAGATACTCATTTCTACTTATTCAAAGTTTCAGCAGGTAATTTGGAGTAACTCAAAGACAGCATTATTATTTTTCCTAACGTGAACTAGAGAAGTGAATCTAGCTTTCTCTGTGAATTGAAACTTAAACTTCATACCTAAGAAAAAAGGGTCTCCTGAAAAAAAAAATTTAAAGGACATTCAAAGTATATTTTAGAAATAATTTTTACACCTTTTTAAAATTAAATTAATTGTTTTATGCAACTAACTCACTTTTGAGTGGAGACACTTTATGGATTCATAAGCCTCCTCTACTCCCACCCCCCAAAAGATATACAATTTTGCAATCCATAATTCCTTGTTTGAGAACTTTTATATCAAAGTCAGATTATTGTCTTATTAAGTGTGTAGCTATCTTTATATTTTGGTCAAAAATGTAACGCTAATATGTTTGAATAGTAACTTACCTATAGGGAAAATAATTCAGAGGATTCTTGTTTCCTTTTAGAGTGAACTCTGGCAGGTTTTTGTATGTATCTTTCATCCAGCCATGAAATGAAGAAATTTTAACAAATATCTTGTTCAATCAATTTGAAAGACGAAACAACAAATTACAATTGTAAGATAGGCCAGAATAAAAATGAAAGATCACTTTTGTCATTATATGACAGGCTTTTTAAACCTATCATTCATAGCTGTTAATTAAGGAAATCAATTCTGATTTCAAGTAAGAATCAGCAGCTCCAATAATAAGTGTTTGATTAACTGTTAAAATATTTCTTTTTAATAATCTTTAGTAAGGTAAATAAGTTTATTATCATGATTCTTTAATTACAGAAGTGATATAATTTTGAAATGCTTTCCTATATTTTAGATATATATTTGCATCAGTCAAAGCTGAAGACAATTTGCTCAAGATCTGAAACCAGACAATTATTAACTATTAATTAAAATGTATTTATTACTAAATATTGGTCTCAGATAAGTCCAGTAACAGTGATTGCTGTAATTATTGTTCAGAAGGTAATTCTTGACAAGTTCAAACAAGATGATTTTAAAAATTACCACTTAGTTTGTGCATGACATGCTAAGAATAGCTAATATTTAATAGTCTCTCTATGTCAGATATCGTAATGTCTCATTTTAATTTTCTTTCTTTTCAAAATTTGAGTGATTCTTTTTTATGTAAAGACTGTTATCAAAAATCTCTAAAAATGTTTTTCAAAAATGTTTTTAAATTTTAAAAATGGTTTACTTTTCTTTTGAAATAGTACCTCATAACCTTTTGAGTTTGAAGACAGTTTGGGCTATTTTAGAAGTTAAATTAATGTATTGACAAGTGGTCCTTGGAAATGTCAAGTGTTCTCAAAATTGTATATTGGGGAATGATAAAAGTAGATGCTTATTGTAAGAAAGAAAGCTTAGTTAGACACCATGTAACTTTTGGAGACATTATAAGGCTAACCTCTGGGTTAAAATTTGGGCTATCCAAGCCTCTCTGTCAACTGGGTAAGTTGTGCTAAGGTTTTCTAAAGAGGCATTCTTTAATTAGAAACACCCAGAGTTCTGACATGCTTTACTAGATGGCAGTTAAGGAGGCAATTGGAAAACAGCATATAAAGATTTAAGTACTTGGTGTTAGTTTTGTTTGCTTGTTGTCGATCACTTCTGTTTTTGACCCTTTTTTTAAAAAATGTACATTAGATGTATGATGAATTATGTGCACTGGTGTAAACCCTGGGAATATAGCAATGAAAATATGTAATCATTGCTCATAAGATGCTTACAGTTTTTTGCTATTTGTAGTACACTTTTTAAAATTAATCTACTAAATCAAATTTAATGCTTGGTCACTCATTTTATTTGCACACATGTCCAATTTTGATACTGTAAATATAACTCTCTTAGAGAGAAGAGGGTTGTCTAATTCTTCATTATAGAGAAAAGTCAATGAATAATGCATTTTCTATGTAGGGTATTAAAGAATAACTATTAAAGAGAAATGGAGAAACCAGGACATTTCTGAAAATAGTCATAACAATTCTCAGAGTGATGATTTAGTGGCATTTTGTGTGTTGTTGTGTTCGTTGTGTTTTTTTATCTCCAAAATATGTTGGCTTCTTTTTAATGGAAACATTTCCAATAATTTTTTTAAATTATAATAATTAATGAAAAATCAGATTAACATTACGAGTGTTTTATTTACAAATTTATTTTTTATTCAATTTATTATTAATAAACTCCATTTATTTAGGACCTTCTACATGCCAAGTTCTCTTGTTGGTGCCACAGAGATATTAGTGTATAAAACAGAGACAAATCTGCCTCATGTTGCCTAAACTACAGTGGAATTGTTACCATGTGAATTGAATGACTTCTGTAACCAGTAAGAAGACAAGTTAAGGGGTTTACTAATAATATTTGTAACACACATTCCTCGGTTAAAAATGTTGAAACATTTTCATTTCCTTAGAAATTGGTAAAAAAGAAACTGAAGATTATTATTTTGAAATTCTGAAAGTTTCTTCCTGTGGACTAGATAAGTACTACCTCTTTTTATCTTAGTAAAAAGTTTTACTGAACCATCTTTGAAAGCTCCTTAAATGTAATATTTATTTGTCAGTGATTTCAGAGTACATGCTCTTATTTATGCTTCTCTAGAAAATAACTTCTAAGTAAACAGCTCATTTCACCTTGTATGCCTGGTTAACTCCAGGGTAAGCCTGGGAGCAATTACAGATTGAGAGATTTCCATTTGGTTACCAAACTCCAAGATTTCTTTGTCCCAGTATTGAGAATTGTTCTTAGATTATATTAGTAAGCCATTATTTAGAGCAGTATGAATATCTTTGCTGAACCATTTTTATACTTTTAGTTTTTATTTGAGATCATTGTTAAAGAAAAAAAAAAAAACTTTGTAAAACTGAAATTGAGCACACTATCCAAAAGTGCAGGGGCAATATTGTCCACATTTTCTTTAAATTGACACTTACATGACAAAATTCTTTTAATAACAAAAAGCATTTATTATCCTTGCAAGTGGAACACTTTCTATTCTTAGATTCTGCCAGGAAAGGCAAAATCATGTTGCCAGTCATAGCAACAATTAAATCTTGATATCTGCACCTAACATTTCTACTTCATTTCTACATATCGTTTTAATCTTTTTTTTAAAACTGTCTTCTGTTTTACTGTTTTGGTAGTAAAACATATTAATTGTCATACATTTTCTGAAGCTGTTAATAAAAAAATTATTCATAATACTTGTTAAAGACTTGTGGGATAGACCTTATTCAAGGTGGGCTACTTTAATGGGGTTTGGTAAGTGGAAGACAGCTGTTTCACTCAACTCTGAACTCAACAAGAAAAAGTAGAATTTCTAGCCAAGGAGCAGGATGGGGATCAGTGGATGGAAAATTACTAAGAGAAAACATTAGGGGTAAGAGGGGATTCTGGCTAAACTGATCTAACAGGATTCTTGCTAAAGACAGGCCAGGGTGGTCAGATATCACCTTCAGGATAGTGAAGAATGAGGAACCCAAACGGATATCTAGGCGGATCATATATTAAGGGTGAAGATTCAAATAAAACTGACTTAGCAGGATTCTTGCTAAAATTGGACAACATAGAGACAAATGCAGAAGCTCAGAAGTCAGGGGCTGAGAACTGAGTTAACAGGAGCCTGACTAGAGTTAGGTCCAGAAAAGAGTCTTTGTCAAAGCGTTCCCTATACTTTATATTAAAATTAGATTTTCCAATCTAATATACTTTCTAAACATCTTTCATTTGGACTTCATTCTTTAGTGCCTGACAATTTCTTTATGAATTAAAATGAAGTACAATCTGAATCTTACAATGATATTTTCTTATATGATCATCTACGTTGAAACACCATGATATTTTATATTTATCAGAAAACCTAGGTGATTCTTGTATTTGGGGCTCTTAAGAATAATTTCCCCTATGTGCTGGGCCGACTTAAGGAATGGAACTTACCTTCTCTTCATTCTTCTAATCAGTTCTACCATTAGGTATTAGCATTTAACTTCCTCTTTGTTGGTAGGACAAGACTGTATTGACAGGATGAAGTAGGAGATTAGTTTCCTTAGCAGTACACATTTCTCAGAGGAATACTAACCCTCATTAAGTTGGAAAACAAAGCTGTAATTCAGGGCACTATATTGCCTGATCAGCTAAAATAAACAAGAAGAATAATTTTCTGGAACACAGGTTTAGCAGAGTTATATGACTAGAAGAATGCATTTCTGAGGTCGGTATTAACTTGTATAATATGATTGAAGACAAGGAAGCTCAGTTATTTTGAGAAAGAAATAAAAAAGAATAGAAAAATAAAAAAGTGCAATAATAATGCATTGCTAGCACATTAATATAATGGAAATCTCCTGCTAGTGCAAGCATATATAATAAAGCAGCCCAAAAATATTTATTCTTTATAAAGTTAAAAAATAAACAGGAGTTCATTTCAGTACCTGTTCCAAAAAGTTACTATGCCTAAGACAGTGCATTACGTAGTAGGGGCTCCAGGGATTACGAAAACATAATAACTGCCAGCAAATCTCTCGTAATCTGGTCATATGAACAAAGGTGTTAAAAAGAATAACAACAGCATATTGTAAAATTTTACAAGATTCATGAATGAAAATCTATCCAGTCTCTACTTACTTTAATAATTTATGACCTACTTTGTTCAAAAAATTTAAGGTAGTTATTAATACACCAAGACATTTGTCTTTGAAATTCAAAAGGGATTTCTATTTCAAATAAACATCCATTTCTGCCATTTTTGTAGCCCCTCATTAGATAAATTCAGTTTGCTTTGATGCTTGGAATTAAATACCATTTTTCTTTAAGGATTATCACTAACTTTTAGTTTACTTTTTTTTTTAAAAAAAAACACTTTTTGAAAGACGTAATTTTTGTTATAATTCCTAGAAATATTCAGTGATAATTTGTCTTTTTAAATTTCAGAATTATTTTATTCCCATTTTTACATATTATTGTTTATTTCAACAGAAGATAAAGATAAAGCAATTATTTATCCATACTCTTGTTGGAGTATAGAAATAGAATAGCAAAATCCTACCTATTTATAGGACGAATGGCCTACATTGTGCAAAACAAGATTTCATATCTTGAAGAATTATCTGACATCTTTAGAAAATACAGTAGCAAATTTTAGTTTGCTGGCTATCTAAAAATTCATTACCTTTAAATAAAAAATGTAAAGATTAAGAAAGAACAATTTGAAGTTGTCTGAAATCTAAAATTATAGATTGTAATCAGTATTTCACTAAAGTGTGAAGTTATACATCATTACCAAAAAGCAATGATACAAATTATTGAATAATGAGGCTCTCATTCTTTTACTAATCTGACTACAGAATATATAGAATTTATGAACATCCAAAAATGAAAATCTGTGTTTTTACACATGTAAAAAGATAATGTATTACCTTATTTATTTATGTTTGAATATGTTCATGGAATATAATACCTGAGTATTGACTGATGTCCTAAAAGAGCAATGTCTTTAAAACTTTTTTTTTGTACCCAGGATATTTCTTGGCAAATGATGTTATAATTTTTCCTTTTTTTTTAGTTGTAGTTCTGAATTTTCACGCTATTATCACTTAAAATAATACTTGTTAGAAATGACCCTCATATCCTTATATCCTTGTCATTATCTATTGTATGGGAACATGAAAAAACAGATTTTAATTAAAATTGTATGATTGCATTTTAGCAAAATATTAAGTGTCATCTCATTTCTCTGAAATTTTATTATGTCTCCCATTGTTAGACACCAACTATGTAAGTGTTGAATTGTCTTATTTTTAGTAGTACTATAAAGCAATTTATAATAAGATTGAATAATCAAAGCCTACTGGATTAATCTTACAATTTTTCTGAGGAACAGATAAGTAAATTAATCCAGTTTAGCCATGATTATACTTTTCAACCCAATAAATATCATATGTAATATGAAAAATGTTTTCTAATTTTTGACTTTTCAGTACATGTTTTAAAATAAATCACATTTAGTAGATTTAAACTATCACTTTAATTCAAAATATTAAACTATACAAAGCAAACACTCAATGAAAACCCATAATATGTAGTTACTCAGAACACTTGCTTGCTTTTAATAGCTTGAGATAATAGTATTCTTTCATTTGAATTTTTATTTTATGCAAAGGTGACCTCAAAAATTCTAAGAAATAACTTTCAATTTGCAATTGGTTATTTTTAGGTTACAGTAGAGTACAACAGGAAAACTATAGTATTCAGTTTGACTTCAAGAGTACAAATGAGATCTTAATATATACTACACTGTGCTGCTGAGAACTGAAATAAGAAAATTTCGTGAAATGCTTGGTATATCAAAAAGATTAAAAAGGTGTTAATTTTGTTGTGAAGAAAATAAAAATAGCATTTCATTTTATCATCATTTTCTTTACTTTTCTCACAGGTAGTCAGGGAGATCTCAATCAAAATAATCCTAGTATATGATTTTCCAAATGGAGAGGAACAGGCTATTCAATTCCTGTTTCTTTATTATTATTCTTTAAATTCTCATTGTGCTCCTCAATTAGAGGGGGATTTTGGTTTGGCTGTTTGTTGATTAGGATCTAGGTTTGACTTTCATATATAGTTTCTGTCTTTAGAAATTGAATTATAGAACATAAGTGAAAAAGTCCTTAGTTTTCCAGTTGTGCATAATATGATAATCTCTTATTGTTATGTCCAAAGCTAATAAT
Source organism: Homo sapiens (assembly GCF_000001405.40). Lineage (NCBI taxonomy): Eukaryota > Metazoa > Chordata > Mammalia > Primates > Hominidae > Homo > Homo sapiens. Next base: position 190,462,273 of record NC_000001.11, on the reverse strand, counting down.
TAATAATAATACTTTCTATTTTTGTCCTTAACATTTTTTAACATTAAGAATATCTTGCTTTGGGCCAGGTATGGTGTCTCATGCCTGTAATCCCAGCACTTTGGGAGACTGAGATGAGTGGATTACCTGAAATCAGGAGTTTGAGACCAGCCTGACCAACATGGTGAAATCCCATCTCTACTAAAAATACAAAATTAGCTGGGAATGATGGTGCATGCCTATAATTCCAGTTACTTGGGAGGCTGAGGCAGGAGAATCGCCTGAACTGGGAGGAGGAGGTTGCAGCGACTGAGATCGAGCCACTGCGCTCCAGCCTGGCGAAACTCCGTCTCAAAATAAAATAAAATCAAAATTAAAATTAAAGAATATTTTGCTTTGATACTCTTTGAGCTTGTCAATATATGTTTACAATCTGGTCTTAAAAATCATTACCTCATAACTCAATTTGCTCCCTTTCTTCAACTGCCAAAGCTATTTTCATCCTGACACTCAGCTCAGATGCAGATTCGGATACAGATTCTCTGTAGATTCTATTTCCATGAAGAATAAATTTTCTTTTTATTATATGGTCTTGCCAGCCATATCACACCACCAGTTGCAGTTGCACCCTAATTTAGTACTTATTTCATCAACATTTATTCATTCACTCTAACAATACTTATTTATGCAGGTTTATTTCAGAAACTTTGGTGACTATTTTCTTGTCATTAAGATAGGAGCAATTATTTTTCTCCCAAAATTAATCTAATTGAAGGAAAGGAGATGTGCAGGGAAATAGGGCAAACATGCAAGCAAATATCATGTAAATGTACCATCATAGGGAAAGTAATGGGAGCATAAAAAAATGACCAACCAACTTTGTAGGGTCATGAAAATCCTTGTGAATGAAATGATAATCTAGTCTGAGGTTTTAAGGTCAATGTTAGGCAGATGAAGAGATCCTAGTCCAAACAGTCATTCAGGCAGAGGAACCGCAATAAACTAAGATCTTGGAGAGAAAATGGGGTGAAGATGAGGTCTATGGTCATGGCTGAAAAACAAAGTTGGTGTTTGGTTAATAACTCTCCTGGCACATATACATAAGAAAGATATGGATAGAGAGTTAAGCAAGGAAAGATAATTTCATAAGTTATTTTAAAGAGATCAGATATCCTGAAACAAAAGTCATTACATAATTGGGGGTAAAGGATTTGCATGTTCAGATTTAACTTTTTAGTAAGATCACTCTGACTGTAGTAAAAAGAACAGATTGGATAGAGCCACATGGCTAGTGGGAAAACTAGTCATGAAGCTATTGCAGTAATACATTTTAGAGGCAAAGTTGGTATTGTTGAGCGTATACTATGAGCTGATCAAGTAAAATGGGGGTGGAGAAAAAGTGGTAAATCTTATATTTAGGGGGAAGAATGTACAGAACTTGAGGACAGATTGTATATGTGAGTGAGAAGGTAGGTCAAAGTCATGTTTAGGCTTAAAAATTTGAGTAGATGGAAGTATCATTTAGTGAGATAAGAAAACCAGAAAAAAGTTTGGAGAACGTTTAGTTTTCCTTGACAGAGGTATCATGTTCTAACAGAAATGGCCACAGGCAGTATGCCCTGCCTTCCACATGGCCTTCCTAAACCGGTAAGTTCCTGAGGCTAGAAGCACTATCTTTATTAAGACTTAAGGCCCACCTCTGTCTCAAAACTTATCATGATATTTTGCACATTGCAATTGATCAATAAGATTTATTTTTTTATTCTGGTTTTCTACATTATTACTTCTACCAAATTGGAATTGAAACAATTAATAAACTATAGTGGAAAAAGTATTGAAAATTTATGTTAAAATATTTTTACCTCATCTACCATTTATTTACTTACACAATTATGTATTTAGTATTCATTTATTTCATAGCTAGTATTTATTTAAATGAATAATCAAAAAATAATTATTATAGTTATATATGATTATATAATAATGCTGTAGATTTTAAACAGATTCTGGGGTACTACATATAAATATTTTATTTTATAATAAATAATTCTAACATTTATAATTTAATAGATTTAATAGAATAATATGTATCGTATTATTTGAAAGAATGTGACTTTTTAAATAGTTATTTTGAATATTGGATATTTTATTTTGAAGATTCATAGTTTTACATTTATAAGCTTCAGTATTAGTAAGCATTAATGTTAAGAAACTATTTTATAGAGCAAAGTAGTATTTGCTCAAGAGAAGAAATTTAGAGAATGGTTGCAGACATTGGGCAAATCAGCCAATTTTCTTTATACCTTTGTCCAATACTTAAAAATTTATGAGAGGGAGAGAGACAGGGAAAGAGAAAAAGAGACAGAGAGTGATAATATGGTAGAAAAAAAAGAAAACAAAACTGGTGACTCTAACTGACAGATATGTAAGAGTTTACCGTATCAGTCTTTCAGTTTTCCATGGGTTCTACATTATTCAAAATGAAAGTAAATATGTTTGATACAATGGTTTTCTGAAATGACTTTGCATATTCAAGTTCTTCAGCAGGTTTTAGTTCCTGAGAGAATATTTTGGATATGTAAGCAGCAAAAATCAGTCCAAATGCAAATACAAAAAAAGAAATGATACAGTTTGCAATGTTAATTGTTTAACAAATAGTAATAATTATCACTGGACATCTAATTCAGTTGTGGATAATAAGATACTGAGGTTTAAAAGATGCACCACTATGACATGACCCACCACTTTAAAGGATATTAAGTTTAATTCAGTGATTCCGAATATTTTGTTTATATCTTTGTAGTTTCAGTTCTACTGGAAATTCACTTTTACTGTTATAGTAAATATTTCTTTCATAAATTTCAATATTTATGAATTTCAAATATATATGATATATCAGTATTTTAGATAAAAGTAAGGTACCACCACCTTGGAATAAGACTACTGACAGCTAGTAAGAAAGAATAATCATATTTAGACTATATATTATACACATATTATTTATGCATTTATTATGTATTATATGCATTAGTATACATTAGTATATATGTAACATATTTTTGATGTATTTTATTTCTGCACAGATTGTCAAGGCCATTGAGGATTTGCAAATAAACTTGTATCATGATGTGGTCTTCACAGTTATTTTTTTTTTTTTTTGTGAGAAAGAATTTAAGAGTAGGACCTATACTAAATATCTGCTTTTCAAATAGATATTTCAATATTTATGACTTATTTTTTATGAAAAAAACCATAAATACTTAATTAAACACCATGTTTTAAACATAAAGTCATGTTTTTAATTTTGTATTGTTTTTAATGTTTTGTTTTTTTGTGTTCTTCATTCTCTTTTATTTCTCTCTTTTATATAAAATCACTCTCCCATGGTCCAGAAAATATGGTGCATTGATGTTCTCATCTCTTTAGTTGGCCAGTTAGCCTCTTGGTTATGAATATTAAATTCTGGACTATTTTGCATTTCCCCACACTATAGAAAAAGTGATAAATTCATTATTAGTTTAATAATTTCTATCCTCTTTCATTGGAACTTGTGATTTCTCTTTCTTGGCAGTATATCTAAGTTTAGCTGTTCACCTCACTTGTCACCTCAAAATATCCTAACACTACATCGTAACAAACAAACTCTATTTACTAAACCATCTCTGACACATGGATTAATATGGTTATAACCCAAACCAAATAAAGCAACCAATTAAGGTAATTCAGTAATAATTTATAAATTAGTACTCATGAAAATATGAATTAAATGTACAATGATCTACTTTTGTGACAAACCAGGTAATGAAGCTCTTCTGATGGTGAATATTGAGTTTAATTACCACTTGTCCTAAAGATGGCTAGAAGCTTACATGCTTGCCTTAGGCATTCTATTATGACTTTTCTCCCTGTCATGTAACTTGTGAAAAAAGTTCTTAAACACTATTTCAGTATAACTTTATTGGGATATCTCAATTTGTTCATTACAAAATATCTTTATAAAGTTCTTACAAATACAATGATTTTAGGATATCACCAAAATTAACTTAATTTGGGGTAAGATTGACATTCCTATGTGTTAACAAACTTTCAGAAAAAAATTATTTCTGTACAGAAGTGGGGAACATGTTCCCAAAGTCAGAAGTAGAAAAAACAGAAATAATTAAACCCCCGAATTATGTGATAATTACCTCATAATTACCTGGTAATATTGTTAGGTAGTTCTCTGCACAAAATTAAAGAAAACCTTTCTATCTTCCCATATGTTAAAATGCATAACAATGTGAAATGATGGATATGTTAAATTGTTCCACTACTGTAACCATATTACATCATGCTATACGCCTTAAATATACACAATATAGTTTTTTTTTTTTTTAATGAGGGGATATGAAGACTATGAAACAAGCTCAACACATTTGATAAAGAAAGTGATAAGAAAGTGGTTCTGGGTAATTCACCTATTGAAAAATTACAGAATTGTAGAACAGGACCTCAAATGCCATCTAGGTCAACTGTATCCTACTTTTAAAACACTTTGTGTATTACAAAAATCACATGTGTGAGTACAAAACATTTGTTTAATTTTAAGGTGTATAATGGCATGGCTTCATACCAGTATAAAATATAACTTAAAACTTTACCACATGTCCTTACCATATGGTAGGCACTATTCTAGGGATTTTACAAATATTAACTCACTCTATTTTTATAATAGACTGATGAGGTGACCTCTATAATAGTTTAGGAATCTGACGCACAAAAGAAGTTAAGTAACTTGCCTAAAGTCAAACATCTATAGCGTTAGTAGAAGGGCTGGGTGTTTTTGTTTTGTTTTTGTTTTTGTGTTTTTTTGAGACAGAGCCTCCCTCTGTTACCCAGGCTGGAGTGCAGTGGAGTCATCTAAGCTCACCGCAACCCCTGTCTCCCAGGTTCGAGAAATTCTCGTGCTTCAGCATCTAGAATAGCCAGGATTACAGATGTGTGCCACCCTGCCTGGCTAATTTTTGTATATTTTTAGTAGAGAAAGGGTTTCACCATGTTGTCCAGGCTGGTCTTGAACTCCCAACCTCAGGTGATCCGCCCTCCTCGGCCTCCCAAAGTGCTGGGATTATAGGCGTGAGCTACCGTGCCTGGCCAGGGCTAGAATTTTAACATCAGCGGTTTGGCTCTAGAGTCCATTTTTTTAACCACTATGAATATTGTCTCTTGACGTTATATATCCTAATTTGCTATATTGGTTGTTGGGTTTGGAGAAAATCTGATTTCATTTTCAAAGAACTGTTTTCCAAGTTATTTATTAGGATGAAATAAGTACTGTTTGAATTTTTTCAATAATATTCTTGTTCACATCTACATTTGTTAATAAGAGAACTTCATTTAGATGGTGTGACTGAAGTTTTATTCAATTAAGAAACACATCCTTTCAGATGATATATGTAATATGGACTTGAGTAGTGGTTTGAATAATTTATTCTGTCTTTATGAAATGAAAAATTACTCATTTAAATTAAGAAATTATATATTCTAAAAATAATGATTAAATTTTGCCCGTTTAAATGTATATGATAAGCAAAATAAAAATAGTGTGTTTAACAAAGACGAGTAATATTTTTTAGTCACAGGATTATTATACTATACCACTACACATAAGAATAATTGTGTTTATAAATGAAAGTAAGCTATATTTTAAAATAAATTGTATAGTTCTCATAAGAAAAAATATATAAAATATTTTTTCAGCAAATTTGAAAGTTAGGAGTTGAATCATTTGACAATGGTACATTTATATAGATAATAGAAAAAAGCCTAGAATCTCCAAGCTCCTATTCCAAAATTCTTCTATTATAATATTCCTTCTTATAGAAAATCATTTTTAAAATGTCTTCACTTGTAAGGCTTCCCATGTTGTTTACAAAAGACGGTACGCTTTAATCCCCTCAGTGAGCAACTCATATGATTGAGGCAACTCATACAGTATGTGAGGAATGTCCTTTTATGGATATCGTGATATTAAGAGTTCACTCATTGTATCACTGCTTTGAGCTACTTCAGAGCCCCAAAATTATTTCTCTATATCTCTCAGATAGAAATAGTTTAGGATTAAATACAAATAATGGGGTTATAGCTAGGAAAGTACATTAAAACCACCAGTGTTCTTATTCAAATACCAGAGAAATATGGTAGCTACTATTACTGATATATCTTAATACTGTAAATCTTAATCTTTTTTTCTAAAGATGTTTTGCTGAGTAAGAACTCATGCAAGTAAACCTTTCTCATTAGTCAGAATCTTTGCACTCTGTAGTGCTATGTGCTATGAATAATACAGTTTGAAAAGCTGATGAGGATAGAAAGAAAAATTGAATTCAAATATTTTTAGAATTTTCTGGTGTAGCATATAGACATTGCATCAGCAGCTTTGCATAAAGTGTCTTACACTGTACCATACTGGGATTATACGTCTTATTACTTTTTTTTGAATGATTATACTACAATGTATGCAGTTTCAAAGTCTATGAATAGTCTGCATTAGCTTAATTTATGTGCATATAATTTTGGAGGTATGACTTTCTTATGAATAAGACAGATGCACATTTAAATCTTTAAAGACCCTAGAAATAATGTAATTATGATTTTGTTTAAATAATCAGATATGCAGTTTTTTCCTAACAGAATAATGAAAAAAAATCTGGGAAAAGACATTACTCCTCACATCCACTCTCACACACACACATCTGTTCATGTATCAGTCTGTCTTTCTATCATCTCTCTGTCTCACTCTGTGTCTGTCTCTATATCTATATATATCTATAATAGGTATACACACATATACACACATATACATACATATATTTATGTATTCTTAAATCCACAGTTTTACTCCGTGTTTATGTAGATTATGGAAATAACTACATGAATATCTTTGCTTCATTTAAAGCATTTATTTAAGATAAATATACAATAAAATTAAATCTAGTATTAAAATTTGTAACACAATTTATGAAATATATGAAATACTTGAACTTATTAATTATTTATTTGCATCAGTCCAACTTTATAAAACATTCAACTTCTGATTTTTGCTCAATAGGCTTTAATGATCCACTGAATAAAATTGTTATGACAAAGTCTGTTATGACTCAATGTCTTATTTTCCATTAATATAAAAAAGGAACAAAGTATAAAAGATATACAGCTCTAAAAAAATAATTTTGGTTTGTATTTTATTATCTGCTGATAATACTAATTTAAAACAATGATATTAGATTAAAATTTAAAATTAGCCACCTCAACACCTTAACTGAGAGAAAGGAATCTTCTAGGAGTTAACTAATTGCCTGTGTATTTTGTCTAGGTGTTGAGGGAAAGCTGAGAGAATGAAGGCTCTAAATCCCCAGTGGAAGCATGATATGGCGAAGCAGAGCTGGTGCTGAATTGTTCTCTCTGATGGCTCTATGGGAGTGGATAGCACTGAGTCTTCATTGCTGGGTTTTAGCGGTTGCTGCTGTTTCGGATCAGCATGCCACAAGCCCCTTCGACTGGCTCCTCTCTGATAAGGGACCCTTCCATCGCTCACAGGAATACACAGATTTTGTGGACAGAAGCCGGCAGGGATTTAGCACAAGATACAAGATATACAGGTATGAAGCAAAGGGAAAGCAATTACAGAAATATCATCCTTGAAGGTTGTGTATACATAAGTTTCTCTAAGGGAAAGTTTCAGACGGGAAAAAGGTATTATCAGAAGGGTTGTTATTTACCATGCACCATAGTAATGTTTTCTTGCTATTCAAAGTATTTCTTATAGATGTAATATATTATGATAAAAACAGATAATGGTGACCACTTGTCTATCACTCCCAAATTTAAGCATGCTACACTGCCTTAAAGTAAATGGCAATGTATTTGGAAGCCGAGTTTCTTATTTTAAATAGCCAAAATTTTAAAGTGAAATTTAAAAAATTGCTTTTCCTTTCTACCTTATACAATGCTATGTTACCTTTTTCAGCCTAAATGGAAATGGTATCTTCTACTAGTCACTGAGAAGTTGAGTCACCTCATCCTTTTTTACCTGAAAGGTAATTGTACGTTCAGAAGCTAAAGGAAACAGCAATGGAATAAAAACAAGTAGCAGATAAATAGGACATGATAGCAAAGATCAAAGAAATGGATGGGATAAAGATATATGATCTTTAACATCTATCAATGTTCTATGTTTAAAATCTAAATAAGTTACACAAAAAGAGTAATATATTAAATTCAACAAAGGTTGCCTGTTCACCTGATGTCCCGTGAATACATTAAGTAGAAGAGTGTACAAGTGGTTGCCTGATGGATTAGATTATATTGATCTATGCCATGAAGAACATTTTATGTGAAGCTATCACTTCAATTTGTTTATTGGTGATAGACTTTTACAATTCCTAGTTAATGGTTTAACATTTATAAAGAAGCACATTTGTTGTGTATTTTTGTGTGGCTGTATCTATGTAGATACTCCTATATAAATATTTTATTTTATGTTTTATGTGCACCAGAGGGCACTGTGCTTCATGTTTGTCTGTAGTCATTTATACAGCATTATGAGAAATTTATAAATCCTATCAGCAATGTATATTTACAGAAGACACTGAATGTCCTGAGCAAGTTCCATGAAGCACCACACAATTATTGCTTTGCCTTCTCAAAAATAAGAAATCCCTTATTCCATGCAGTCATAACACTGTCATAAGCCTAATGAAAAGATTTACTCTATTTTTTAAATAAATGAAATGACGAGGCTGGGCGTGGTGGCTCATGCCTGTAATCCTAGCACTTTGGGAGGCAGAGACGGGCGGATCACGAGGTCAAGAGATGCAGACCATCTTCCAACATGGTGAAACCCCGTCTCTACTAAAAATACAAAAATTAGCCGGGCGTGGTGGCTAGCGCCTGTAGTCCCAGCTACTGGGGAGGCTGAGGCAGGAGAAAGGCTTGAACTCGGGAGGTGGAGCTTGCAGTGAGCCGAGATCGCGCCACTACACTCCAGCCTGGGCGACAGAGCGAGCCTCCGTCTCAAAAAAAAAAAAAAAAAAAAAAAAAAAAAAAAAAATACTAAAGTTTTTCTTTCTGAAAAGTAGCAGAAATTGTCAACATTTTATGATTCTGGGTTCATTTATTTTTATGTGTGTTTATTGATTTAGCCAGTTTTTCCTCACAGATTGAGTGAAGCTACCTGATTTTAGGATTCTAAGAATGTGTTAGATTTTAGCACTCTGCAAGAGGATTTTTAACACTCTATCACACAAACTGATGCCAGAGCATGTCTCCGTGATTTATCGGCATCTCTATCTGGAGGTCTAAGGTGCTGTCTTATGTGTGATTGTTGTGGTTTAGCTTATCAGTCAATCAGCTGTGAGTAGCAAACATGGCTTGACATGTTTTTGTTTATGTTTTTTTGGGACGGAGTCTCGTTCTGCCACCAAGGCTGGAGTGCAGTGGCACGGTCTTGACACACTGCAACCTCCGCCTCCTGGGTTTAAGCGATTCTCCTGCCTCAGGCTCCCAAGTAGCTTAGATTAATAGGCGCCCGCCACCGCGCCCAGCTAATTTTTGTATTGTTGGTAGAGACGGGATTTCATGTTGGTGAGGCTGGTTTTGAACTTCTGACTTCAAGTGATCCGCCTGCCGTGGCCTCCTAAAGTGCTGGGATTACAGGCGTGAGCCACCGTGCGCGGCCAGCTTGACATGTTTTTAGAGGTGCTGGGTTGAATGAAAGAGGCATTATTTGGATCACAGATGTTAAAGGTAATGAACAAAAGTGCTCTGAGGTTTGTTTGCAAGGCGCATATATTCTGTTTGGTTTTTATGCAACTCACTTCCTGAAGACCTTCATTAGCCCTGTGCTACTTATCCTTACTATGTCTTTACCTTTGTGGCTTGAATAAACATGTAAAGATATTAAATCCATTTATAAACAATGGAGCTAGGTTACAACTTCTTATAAAACCATTTAAACATTGCAAATGATGCCACGGTTATTGATAGTTGCTATAAAATGAACAGTATAATTTATTCATTAGGGTACCTTTAGTTTTAGTAAAGCAAGTTTTGTCTTTAATATTTGTCTTCAAAAATATTTTAGAAAGTTCACTTTTCATTAATGTTTGCCATAAAAATATAGAATTTGTGAGTACTTAAAACACATAGATGGAAAATTAATGTTTTCCATATTTAAATATTTGATTTGTCATTTTAAAGATTGTAATTTCCTAAAGTGATCAGCCCAGTTCTACTAGTGCTTATTATTACTATCATCAACACATTCTAGGGGAATATTGCATTGACATTGTTTCTGAAAGGCATTAGTTAGAAATGTAAAACATATCAAACCTGTTAATATAATTAGGTCAAATCTATTTTCACTTGTCTTTCTTCATTTCATCCTCTTCTCCAGCAACATATTTTTATTTTCACTCCAAATATAGAACGGCAAGGACACAACAATCAAAAATTGCTAAAATCATAGCTAGGGCTAAGATTTTTTAAAATTGTCATCATGTTTGAAAAAGTGTGTTTTTGTCAACTAATAGAACTTACATTTATGTTTTTAAACTTGTGTATATTTAAAGTTATTTACAGAATTTGTATTTGAAACTACATTAAGACTTAAAAGATTATTAATTTGTGGATTGATCACTGAGTTGGAAGATTTGTTGCCTCATTTAAAAAAAAAAAGGCATTTCTAAAAGTGTTTTTAGTTTCAGAAAGTGAGCTATTCCTGGAGAAATTTTGTCTACTCTGCCGCATAGAACAGGGGGACACTTGGCGCCTTAGTAAGCTGGAGCCTTGTGTTTGCAGTTGTATTCTAGAAACACTATCCTCAGGCTGTAAGCCTGTCAGGATATGTATAATCTTCTCTAGGCTGTGGAAATCTTTATTCTTTTAATACATTAGAGGATCTCTAGACAAGGGACTCATTTTTAGTGGCTCAAACTTAGATGCAGTTATCTTGAACTACTGATATGAGTTCTAAGGTCAGAGGCTGGCAACTTTCATTATCATAAAATAAACATTTCACATAGGTAAATCTTCAGATATGATGACTCAAAACAAAAATTTTTTTTTTCTTTCCCTAACTTCTACCATTCTTTGGTTAACCACATGTGTAAGTGAATTATTGGGAAAATGATGTTGATTTTCTTATAATTTTTCAAAATATTATACAGACATGTCATATTATCACAACTTGATGTGCTTCTTCAGAGCACTCAAATAATGCTCCAATTTGAGAATAGGAGACAATTGAGGTGAATGTTATGACTTACTGGTCTTTTCAGTCATGTTCCTTGAAAAAAAATTATATTTAAAAAATGACTAAGGAAAGACAAGATGGTCTAAAAAGAGTTAAACCACTATATGGTCACTTCATATGTGACAGGATTATAATGAAATCATGTGTGGGAAAGAGTGAACTTTTGAATAAGTGTTTCTTTATATGGGTATCCATATGAGAAAAGCAGAAATTTAATCCTTTCTTCATAACATATATATAAGCCTATTTTATATGGAATAATGATCTCAATAGGAAAGGCAAAAATACTAAATTTCTAGAAGAAAACAGAGGAAAAAAACTTCATAATATTGGGATACATAAGAATCCATTTAAGTACAAGTTATTAAGAATTAAAATACAAGTATTTTTCATCAGGAATAAGAATTGGACAAGTATTTACTGATAAAGAGTTGTTTTTAAGAATGTACAATTTTCTATAATAAAAACTATGAGGATTCTGGTTTAAAATGTCTTTAAAGTAGCAATCCAGATAGAAATCACTTCAAACTTCCTATTAAAATACTGTATAAATTATCAGGAGGGAAAATGAAAACTCATAACAACACAGAAAATTATGGTTAATATGTAACCTTCTGCCAGAATATGAGAGGCATTGAAGTAGTTATAAGCTTCTTAAAAGTTATAAGACTAGCAAAACATATTTTAATACTTCAGATGAGCAAGCCCAAATGCCTCAACAAAGGTGGCACTTACCCTAAATACAGAAGGGAGCTGTGTCATTACCATCAGCTAACTACTCAGAAGCCCAGAGTTGGATCCTAATAGCAACTTCGCAGCTCCCTCTCTACGACAGGATCCTACCTTGAGATGTAGCCACAGAAAAATGATCTCTCTCTCTCACCATGTTTGGAATTGGCACATGGCAAGAATGATGTGGTAGGAAGATATCAAATAAGGATGCCCCATGTAATATTTGAGACACAATTAAACCAAAAAATAAAGAAGCAGAAAATATTTTTCTCTATTTAAATTTTAATTTATTTGTTTGCCATGTATTTTTATTTGCTACATTTGGCAACTCTGGAAGGGAATATACGAGTACTAATATTAATGATTACATATCTATGACAAGGAACAAGGACTTTCAGAATTAAATTACCAACAGGGAGAGGAATAGACTTTAGTGTAATTAATGTTGTTTCCCCTGGACTTTCTTGTTCAGATTGTCAGAGAAATGAATGTCAGAGTAAATTCCGCCTCAGCTATACACTGATAATTAAGCCCAAACCACTACATATCAGTGCAGTCTCCTGCAAACCAAAGAAGGATTTGGAGGCACTGATCAACACATCCTGTTTCAGCAAAATCTACATATTGATAGAGCCCTCTCTATTCCACATAACAAATAAAATAATACAGTAATATATTATACATATTATGTACATATATATATATACATGCTATAATACAACAGTAGCTTTGGACTTGCATTACATGACAGTATGAGGTTAATAGTAGGGAGACCATGCTTTTACTGAAGGGAGAAGGTAACACATTTTTCAAAATAGCTAAACGAAAGAAATAAATATCTTAAAGATTCAGTAGGAGAGATTACCTCTTCATGATCCCTTTCCCTGATATACACATACACAAACAAGCACACATGAATGCCTGGTCTCTTCAATAGATTGTAGGAAATTGTGGTATCTCTAGAAACAGAAGACCATACGGCAAGAAAAAAATAGGGTGAAAATAAAAAGGAGTTTGGAGGGTGTGATAATAGTGCAAATAAAATAAAATGTAGCCACACAAATGTCATTCACACTAAAAATTATCACACAGAGTTTAGTGAAAAATAGTAAATATTGTTTTAAAATTTCAAGGAAATGTTAAAATATAATTCTTGGAAGAGACAGTATTTAACAATAAAGAGAACTATTAAGTTTAAGTGACCCAGGTTTATAAACTCCGATGATATAAATAAATACTTAGAGATCTGAATTTGAGTAAAACCTTAGAAAAATTAAGCAGAGAGTGGAAATTCAAATTTATTAATATTTCCATTTTCAACCAGAAAAATTAAGTTTAAAATATTATTGCCAACCTTAACAACTTGTGAATGTAAAAAGCTTCATGTGTATTTTGAAAATTTCCTGCTACATATAAAGACAAACATATAAAAAGTTTAAAAATAAATGAAAATGATAGAATTATCAAACTTGAAACAAGGTGACCAGAAAAAACAAAAATATAGCAAATGTAATAAGTGTAAATATTTCCAGCTCTAAAAATAATTATCATAATCAGACTTAAAAATTTCTTTGAATGTGCTACTTTTAGCAAAGTTAACTAAGACAAAATTAGACCCAACATAAAAAGTAAAAAGATAATCGATTTTCTTTAATGCCATATATCACTATACAATGAATAGTAAATTATACATAGATCTTCCAGGAGAAATTAAAAAAACATAACTGTCACAAGAAACTTTAATCTGCTATTTTGATTTTTATGGATGAAATAGATCACACACACACACACACACACACACACACAAACCCCAAGTGTAGGGGTGTTAAGAAAAAAGATTATTTAAATATAGAATTTAGTGCAATTGTACTGATATATGGAATTTTGTGCACTAAATATGTAACATACATCTTAAATACGGTCATGCAATGTATACTCAATTTGACTTTATTCTAACCCACAAAGAAAAATTTTAACATAATAAATTAAATATATCCTTATTTTAAAAATTCTCAAAAATCTTAAGAATGCAAATTTAAAACTAGATATTAAGAATACAAATTTAAAGAAATCAATTAAACTGTTTGCTCAGAAAACTGAGAATTCAGTTTTAATAGTACTACATATTGTTTTATTTTCTAAGGATATTCAATACAATAGGAAATTCTTTCATATTCCTTCAAATTTAAGTAAAACAAAACACATAAAAATTTAAAAACATAAAATAGTGCTCTAATTATTTTAGGATGGTCTTACTTTTTTAATATATACAAATGTATACTAAAAAGCCTACAAGTATTCCACCTAAACGTTTGAGGTATCTCTTGTGTAAAGGTTTATAGGTTTTCCCTCTCACTTTTTTGTGATGAGTATGTGTAAATTTTATGATCAGGCAAAATATTAGCTGTTATTAAAAACATTAGGATGAGCTATAATTTATTTGAAAAGTCACTTAAATTATGATATACCAGGGTTATTTAAGCAAAAGTTAAAAATAGAGTTAAAATAATGAAACATACTTTCTCCTTTGAGCCTTAACACTAATTTTTAAAATAATTATAATTAAACATCTTCGTATGTGAAAGACAGACTATAACATACGTCAGAAGTGTTTTGGAATCAAATCTATATGTAGTATATATATATAGAGAGAGAGAGAGAGAGAGCTATAGGGAGAAAGAGAGACTGCAAAACGTGTGTGTGTACGTACATTTATATATATATATTTTATATATATATAGTGCAAAAGTGGTGTTTGTACATATATATCAAACAATATTTAACTTCAATCTCTTTCCCTTTTCCACACTAGAAAAGGGAAAGAGATTGGAATTATTTCTTATTTAAGAAATTAAAAAGAAATTAATACATCTTATTTCTAGTGTATAATAAGCTATTCACAAATATATATATATATATAAGATGTTCAAAAATGTTGGTTAAAAAAATTATACTATATATATATATATACTATTTTACACTATATATATAGGGTAATAGTCTGGTCTATATCTATCTATCAATCCATACTAGAAAAGGAAAAGAGATTGAAATTAAATATTATATTTTCATTATGTAATTAGTGCTTTCATGTTATCTTACTTACTCCTATAAACAGCTGTAATAATTTCCATTTTACATATTCACAAATAAAAACAAGAACATGCTGAACTTTTGTTTGCCCCTCATGTCCCTGAATTTCTCTTTCATGTATATTGCACTAAAATCACCTTCTAACTTAAATTATGAATACATGGAAGACAGAACTTTTTCATCTTTCTGTTTTATTTAATTTTATACACTTTTTCTTTTTATTTCTATCTTTCTATCTGTCTTTAATTTCCTAGAGCAAGCCAGTTGTTCACCCATCAAAGGCACTGGCTTTGCATTTGGATATGCTGGATTTAAAGATCAAGTGCATCCCAATTAAAATATTTCCTCTTGACTATAAGCAAGGAGGCATGTATTCTTTTCTGTCTTTGACAAAAACCAACTGTATTCACTCAGTTTTGTAACTTAATTTCTCAGACCTCAGTCTCCTCATTTGTAAAATTAAGGCTGAACTAGATGTCTGTAGATCCTTTGAGCTATAAAGTTCAATTTTTTGGATATCAAAAGCAAAATGGAAACATCAGAACAAATAGGTTAAAAGCATTAAAACAAAAATGTACTGTGGTTAATTCTTATATCGGCATTTATCTGCAAAAATCACTTACAATTACTTCTTCATAAATAATATCTAAGAATCGCTTATACTTTTATTTGTGTATATTGGAACATAAATTGTGTAATTACTTATCTTTCCCCCACCAATCTAATTTTTTCCTATTTCTTGTATGTTATATTGAAGAAGCTATAGTAAGAAGGAAGCTTTTTACCCTAGTTGGTTGGTTTACTATAAATCACTACACTAACTGTTAACACACTTGGTGCAATGATAAATTAAGAGGAGTATTCTAGGTAGTGATTTTAAATAATCATCAAAACACATTAATAACCAAAATAATTTGAATATATGTGTTCAACAACAATATTGCTATATCTCTAATTTTGAGATTAAACCATATAATACGTTTTAATTTTTGTTATTTAATTATAATTCACAAATGAAATATACAGTTGCCATTGGGAAAATTTCAGCCAGAAATAATATAGAAATATAAATAGTTTAGAAACTATAATCCACTGTCAGAAGAGCCAGTTCTTAATGAGAATTGTGTATAATCGTTACTATAAATTAAAAATATGGCTTTTGTAATAATTAAAACAATTTATAAGTAATAATTTTTAGTTTAATAGTGTATTCATGTTTGTTACTATTATAATGACAAAATAAACAAGATTGCTAGTTAACACAATTATTTACAGAATAGTAAACAACAATTATGATGTTTTGGCATTTAAACAAATACTTTATTTGATTATTTTTCTCTATCTAATCCCATTTTGCCAAGCACTCTAATTCTTCATTTTCATTATCTCTGCGGTCTTCTTCCAAGTGAAATTGCCAGAATTATCAGGCTTGTTCTCTTTTGTTTTCACTCTGCTGGAGCTTTTGAATTGCTAATATGTATTTTTTTAATGGGCACCATCCCAAAAATGTGAAATTGAAAATTAGAGGAAAAAAACTGGGTTTTAGCACTTTGAAGGGTTCCCTGACATTTTTCTTGAGGGTGTGTGTGTGTGTGTGTGTGTGAGTATGTGTTATGCACGTGCGTGTGTGTATGCGTGTGTATACTTAAATCAAATTTAATGAGAAAAAAGTGATTTGCATTATGATGTTTCTCACTAAGTTACAAAAGATTCTAAAATTACATTCATTATGTCCTTTCTGCTTTTATATAAAAATAAAATAGCAATGCTGACAATATTTTTTAATCGAGTTTAAATAAATTAGTCCTAATATTAAGTTATAATATTATCTCTTTCATTTTAATAAGCACTTGTGAATGAAAGTAAAAGATTAGACCCTCATTTTCAAATTGTATTTTAAAGTTAAAGCTGAAATGTGTACTATTTATGGTTTATAATAGATTTTAATTTATCCAATATCCATAATTAGACCAATCTTTATAGAAGTAGCAAGTTTTTTGGTTTTTTGAAATTATGCTGCCTATTTTTTTAATTTCCCCAAAGTAAATTTTTTAACTTCCCCATAATTTTCAATAGGAATTATAATTCCATAATCTGCCTTAGGATATAATAATTTTCCAATAAAATTCAGCCTCTAAAAGAGTCTTACACCAATTAATTGGTAATATTTGTTCATGAACTTGCTTCTCTTACTGACGTGATATGTGATAATATAAAGATGTTAAAACATGTTGGTTGAAAAAAATTACACAAAGGACGTACGTATCTTATTAAATATTCCATTCATTTATTTCTCCAAATTTCCCAGTAAACAAAGGCAATATAAAAAGCCTACTATTTTTGGCCAGGCGCGGTGGCTCACGCCTGTAATCCCAGCACCTTGGGGGGGCCAAGGCAGACAGATCACCAGGTCAGGAATTCGAGACCAGTCTGGCAAATATGGTGAAACCCCGTCTCTGCTACAAATAGATAAATCAGCTGAGCATACTGGTGCGCGCCTGTAAATCCCAGGTACTCAGGAGGCTGAGGCGGGAGAATCGCTTGAACCTGGGAGACAGAGGTTTCAGCGAGCTGAGTTCGAGCCACTGAACTCCAGGCTGGCGACAGAGCAAGACTCTGTCTCAAAAAATAAATAAATAAAAAAATAAATAAAAATAAATAAATAAAAAGCATACTATTTTTATATAAACAAACCTAGGAAATATATTAGTAAGCCATTTTATTTTAAATGTAAAAGCTAATAACTGATTATTGGTATGAAGAAAAGTTCTCTGAAATTTGAGGAAAGAGACTTTATACCAGTGAATGGTTTGTAAACTTGGGAAACAGCCTTTGTACACAAAAGAAGAAAATTGGATTTAAATAAAACACACCCCATTAAAATTCATTCCAGAGAACAAAGGGATTTTTTTTTTTTTTTTTTTTTTTTTTTTTTTTGAGACGGAGTTTTGCTCTTGTTGCCCCGGCAGGAGTGCAATGGCACAATGTCGTCCGGTCACTGCAACCTCCTCCACCTCCTGGGTTCAAACTATTCTCCTGCCTCAGCCTCCCGAGTACCTGGGATTACAGGCATGGGCCACCACCCCCCAGCTAATTTTGTACTTTTAGTAGAGACAGGTTTTCTCAATTTTGGTCAGGCTGGTCTCGAACTCCCAACCTTAGGTAATCTGCCACCCTCAGCCTACCAAAGTGCTGGGATTATAGACGGGAGCCACCTTGCCTGGCTGACTGTTCATGTTTTATAGCAAAGTTCCTGTCCACGTTCCCAATCAGGTCTGTTTATAGAAAGAATGAAGCTTGCTTAATTCAGATTAGTCATTGCAGCTGAGTTCTGATTGTTTGATACAAGTTGGGCCTTGATTGGCCAGGGTAGGTAAGTTCTGATTGGTTGGTTTCCAAGCCCCAAACTAGAAGTCGCTGTCAGATGTTTCCAACTGCTGGTGGTGGGGGATAAACCTCTCAGTTTATCTTGGCAAGGATAACAGACATTGGTTTGGCAAGCCAAATGCGGAAAGGGAGGTCCTGTGATACTTTTACAACATCTTTCTGGGAATGCAGAGTCTGTGACCCACTGCTCCCTCATGCAGGTATGGCTGCCTGGTTCTGTTTCAACTTTGAATACCCCAGTTTGCCAGAGTGTCCATTTTGTTTGCCAGTAGCAGAGATACTTTAAACTAGGGAAAGAGAATGTTTTATACTCTTCAGTTCCTTTTAAAGATTCTCAGAGTTCTTTGAATATTTTCTTTTCTTTTCTTTTCTTTTTTTTTTTTTTGAGACGGAGTCTTGCTCTGTCGCCCAGGCTAGAGTGCCCAGGCACGATCTCGGCTCACTGCAAGCTCCGCCTCCCTGGTTCACGCCATTCTCCTGCCTCAGCCTCCCGAGTAACTGGGATTACAGGCGCCCGCCACAATGCCCGGCTAATTTTTTATATTTTTAGTAGAGACTGAATATTTTCTTTTAGTCAAGATACAGAAGGCTGGACAGGCGCAGTGGCTCACGCCCATAATCCCAGCACTTTGGGAGGCCGAGTGAGGTCAGGAGTTTGATATCATTCTGGCCTATATAGTGAAACCCCATCTCTACTAAAAATACAAAATGTAGACGGGTGCAGTGGCGCACGCCCATAGTCCCAGCTACTTGGGAGGCCGAGGCAGGAGAATCACTTGAACCCGGGAGGCAGAGTTTGCAGCGAGCCGAGATTGTGCCATTGCACTCCAGCCTTGGGCAACAAAAGCGAAACTCCGTCGCCAAAAAAAAAAAAAAAAAAAAAGATACAGAGACTTCCACAATATTTGAAAGTATTTCACTATTTTATTGTTAAGGCACCTATACCTCAAACCCAAAATTACACACACACACACACACACACACACACGCACAGGCATGAAGAAAATACACACAAAGTAACCACACACATTTGAAGAAAATACACACACACACGCACAGGCATGAAGAAAATACACACAAAGTAACCACACACATTTGAAGAAAATACACACACACACGTAATCACACACACACACGTAAGTACCTTACTTGTTTTATTTAAATCCAATTTTCTTAATTTGTCTCGAAAGTATGTTACGTATTTACGTGTGTGTGATTACTTTTTGAGTATTCTCCCTTCATTTACACATAGGTGGAATCTACCTATTCTTTTCTCTTTTGAAATAGTTGAAAAGAGTCAAAGAGAATGGCCTGGGCTTTGCATATCCTTATTGTGATGGACAGTTCCCTGGCTGCTCATTTAAACAGATATTAGTAGCTAACTAATTAAACTACCTCTCTTGTCAGCCAGAAATTAACAAAGGCTTAAAAAATTAGCAAAATCTCTGTTTTGCTGTGGCCTTATTTGCTGACGGTCTTATCTTAAAGACACACACAACTATTTCCCAAAACAGAATAGAAAATTAGATTTAAATAAACATACCTCATTAAAATTCATAAAGTATTTTCTCACGAAATGTAATCTTTCAAAACTTAACCATTATATGAAAGCAAATTTTTAAAATACAACAGTAAGTTTAACACTCATTGGAATACATCTCCATGTTTATCAATTTAAAAAGTAACAGACTATAATCCTTTTTTGCAGTGATCGTTTCAGGATTTAGGGTTTTGTTTTTTTTCCCAAATAAAACAAAAGATTCTAAAGATTGAAAATGACATTAAAATGTATCTACTCAAAGTAATGATCTTTAACTCATGCTTTCTAATTCCCATTTATAGCATAACTGTCAAGTGATCATCTAACCATTCTTTAAATGTTTCAAATTACTGGGAGCAAACCACATTCCAGGGTGTACCTTCTAATCCTATCCCAATTCTATCTCTTCAATGTTTAATCCAATGATAACACTCAGACTTCACATTACTATTCTCTTTTATTGAAGTACTATTAGGGAGAACTAGATTCTCCTACTCTTGAGAGCATTGCATGTGTCCATATCTCATTAAAAATAATAATAAAAACATATTTGACCTATTTGAGAAATCTGTCAATAATTTTCTTTTCTTGAAAATTATACTCAAACATACTGGTTTATTCCAAATATGCACATTTTAAAGGAATAGCTCCTATGTATTCATTTGCATCACTGACAAATATCTTAGCAGAATAATAATAAAAAATATATCCTCAATTAAATAATGAGAAACCTCCAATAATTAGACAAATTTCAACTTTTTGTACAGGTTCAAAGCCCTTTATGGAAATTGCTAAATTCCAAAGCTTTGAAACTGAACCATTTTCTTTTAGCACATTTTGCTTTGAAACCTGTCCTGACTTGGACAGATGTGAGATATAGTTTTTATTTTTGTGTTGAATGCAGATATTCACGTTTTATTGCAAGGATGCTGATGTACTTGATTATATGTTACTGCCTTACATTCCATTGAAAATATTACATAACATACACTGTGTGTTCCTCATTTCCCTCTAAAATATGGAAAACTGAACTCTGAAGCACATTTGACTTCAGGGGCTTCAGATACAGCACTGTGGATCTGTATTAATTTCTAGGTTTTTTTTTTCTAGCTTCTCTATTAGGAGATTATATTTGACCAAGTCAAATGTTGCCATAACATTCAAGTATTTTACAGAATACTGACTGATCTTGTTGCTCTATTAGTTTAGCAGTCCCATCTAAGGAGAAAATAAGTGAATTTCACTATTTGTTTTTTCTTTTAATCTAACTTTTAAAGCCTATAAAAATACAATCTAGGACCCTCCTTTTCTTTTTTGTATATTAGAATTGTATTCTAAAAGATTTCAGTTTTTTATTAGAATTGTTTTCTCATCAGTACTTTGCAAATGTTTACTTAGGTTGTGACTTTGTTGTCCTCATACTTCATTGATAAGTTTTTCAATCTTTTATTTTCCAATTGACTTTTAAGTTAAATCATTTATTTTTGTATTATGTCAGTTTAATCCAGCTCATTTGGACTGGAGAGGCGAAGACAACACATAGTTGGATAGAGTGATAAGTTGACGTTATAGAACTGAGGTTTCATGCTTTTATCGACCATTTACTCTTTGTACAAATGTATAAAATTTTATCAGCCTTCTGTCTTTGAGTCCTCATCTAGTAAATGAAGATGACAGGGAATTCTCTAAGTTTATTTCTCACTATGACATTCCATTATAATTAAGTTTTACTGGTCACCTTTCTGACATAATCTATTTGATAATGTTGATATGTAGGATAACATCACTGTATATAGAAATTAAAAGTTTCTAAATATGCCGTAGAACGGACTGCAGGTTTTATTTCTTTAAGGTCAATACTTAAATTGTTTTGAGTATAGTTTGGTGATTTACATAATTATATTGAATGAACACTGTGGCTTAACATAAAGATATCAAATTTTTCTAATTTCTAAAATTCGTGTGTAATTTTTTTCAAGATAAGTCCTATTTGCTTGTAAAAAGAGAAACGATTTAAATAATGCAAGAGACATGAATAAAACATATCAGATGGTAAAGAAATTTCCATTGTTGGATTTCCTTAGATTATATTTTTAGCAAATCATATGAATGGATTTTCTTTTATTTTACAAAAATTACAAATAGCTGTTTCCTATAATCGAACTTTATACAATCAATGAATACATTTTATACTACATTGTACCTTTCTAAAAATCTGATTTTTGATAACTACTGGAAGAAATACAGTCTGTTATGTTAGCATATCTTATATTAAAGTGGTTATTCAAAGTATTGTTCTGTGAAAACTAATGCACTATGACTAGTTCTTCCCTTTCAGTCAAATCAAAAGAATCAAAATGAGAATTAAAAAAACTTGCCCACGACATGTGAACTTATAGCTTGAGTCCTGTTTTTGCCATTGTATATGAATGCTTTATTATAGGAAATAAAATTTATTATTGACATTATAAGAGGTTAATATAATATTACTTAAAAACTCAAATTTTCTACTTCTATTTCTGGCATCTGTTAAGAATTAGGCTCACATTGCATTCTCTTCCTTGGCACTGTTCACGGTTTCAGCTTTACTGTTTAGGCTTTAGGTTATCTGTCTTCTACTTCTGGCCCCAGTCATGCCCCTTAATTAGATCACCACACAGCTCAACATCTTTCTACCATTAATTCATTCAAACACCCATACACATACACACACACACGTACTCTTACAGACCTTCTTACAAAAATTTGGAATTAGATGCTATTTCTTCTGCCTTGGAGTAAAATTTTGATCTGGTTTTTAAAGACATGACTTATTTGGTTAAATATAAAATAGTCTTATGCCACGCTTTTGTTATTTAACACTTCAAAATTAAAACTGGAGATTCAAACCAAAGTAAGGTACTGAGGTTATATAAAAAAACATTATATTAATTAATTAATATACCCAGTTTCAGTTGAAATACTCTTCATTTTCCCTTTATTCTACTATTCATATGAACATTATGCCTACTTATGAGCAACACTTTTTTCTCTCCTAGGAAGAGTGGAAGATAAGAGTGCAGGGTAAGTTACATTTATTTTTATGTCTGTTGACCTGCATTGTATCAGAGTCAAAAGGGAAGAAACGTACTCACCTACGCCTCTCGCCTTTTGGGTCATCTCCCACATAGACACACAACTCTGAAAATGACATCATTAGACACAATAGATAGAAAGAATAAACTTAAATCAGAAAAGAGCTCTTTAATTTCTACTCTGTCATAGGCAACTGGGGACAAAAATGAAAACAGAGAGGCCTGAAAATACTAGTGGAATATCTTTCTGGGGTCTGAGATTGAATCCTGTGAAAGAGAACAAGTAACTTCCACAATAGAGGTGATATTAACCTATCCTTTACTCTTCCTGTCACAATCTACATTGATAACTGGTAGTGTGTCACTATTATGGCATCTTGAGAGGGAACATTTACTCTTCCTTGGTTAGTGCCTTTCTCCTTATTGTCAAGGGTAACTCTCTGTTCACCTTTGCATTTTTGCTTGACACAGCACATATCTCAAACTAACATGCCATTCACTAATCACCATGGAATTAAATTTAGTGTATATCAAAATTTTCTAAAGGGGGAACCTTTGTGAAAATTATCCAGTGGCTTTAATATTAAGGTGCTTATGTATTTCATATAAAACATCCTCAAAGTCAGCATAAGCTACAAGTCAAGCTTCATGATGGCTTTTTATAGCTACAGTATAAGTTTCCCCAAAGTCAGAGTCAGGAAGTTAATTTTTTTGAAAATGCAATTTTGAAAATTTTGTTAATTGTGTGACCATTATATCATCCTGTTTTACATATATCGAGAGAAGTGATGAGAGATAGAGAGAAAAACTGTTGATAGTGTTATTTTATATCTAAATAAATATAAACCTAAAAATAAT
This sequence comes from Homo sapiens, assembly GCF_000001405.40. NCBI lineage: Eukaryota > Metazoa > Chordata > Mammalia > Primates > Hominidae > Homo > Homo sapiens. The sequence continues at coordinate 190,438,317 of NC_000001.11, read as the reverse complement.
ATTTGAGATTATCTTGTATAATATTTTAGTTATTTTTATAGTTTTTAATTATAGAAATATTTTAGGTATTTTTATAATTATTGTCAAAGCAGCTAAAGGTTACATTTAATATTGTACAATGATTAAAGAATGATTCTATAGTAACTTTTGGGATGGGAAAATATTTTATCCAATTTCAGTTGAAGTACTCTTCATTTCCTCTTTATTCATTATTCCCTATATGGGAAGATATTTTAGAGATTATTAACTTGGAATCTTTTCATTTTACAGTTTTGATTTTATTGTGAAATCTTGAGGAGTGAAGTTATAATTTTTCAAATTACCTATACATAAATATAACCCACTGATATTTGTTTTAGAATTACTTTTGTAATTATACTATATAAATTATAAGGAAAAATTTGTAACAAAATCCCGTAGAACGTTATCTTTTGAAATATTAACTCCTTAACTCCTCTACAATATATGTTATATTTTACAAGTCTCTTAACATAAAAGTAAATGGATTAATTGCATTTCCATGTATTTTTATTTAACAGTTTTTTTAACAGTATTTAACAGTTAAAATATATACCAAGAAGTCATTAAACATTTTCAAAGGTAAGCATAAAAATTACTTAAACAAATAATGAAATTGTTGAATATTTACTTTTCCAAATCACATCAAGACAATCTGTTGATAAGACAAAGCTGATTTTATTCTTACCACTGCACGTGAGTGTATTACCATAACAGAGACTTTAATAGTAGGGCAGAGAGGAGAAGGGAAAATTGAAACATTAATTGAAGTTTTATGTTTTTTAAGTGGATTTATTAATGTGGGCAATGTAAGACTTCATTAGGATTAGATAAGGACCCTGGATATGATAGTTTAGGATTACTGGACAGAGCAAAAGAAGGATTAAGTGAAGTTATTTGAAACTTACCTTCCTAGGCAAGAATTTCCTGGAATGATAAAGTTATGTCGTTTAAGATGTTAATGTAGACAGTAGGTTGTTTGCATGGAGGCTGTTTGTGTCTCACAACTCTGTGGTTTTGTTGGAAATGGAGAAAAGCCCAAAAAGTTAAATAAATTGTCCAAGGTCTTGTATCTGTTGGATAAGAGAACTAGAAACCGGGTATTTTCACAAGTAAAATTTCAAAATATTTCATATTTTGATTTTTTGCTGAAAAAATCCATTGAAGTCATTTACTTTTTAATGAAAACATGGTAATATAAAAACCACCATTTAAAGAAGTAGCCAGTTTAAACAATATTGATTATACAGATTGCTTTGAGCAATACTCAGGTGAATATTTGCCTTCATAAAATGGGCAGATATTGTAAAACTTCTGTAACTTATATTGTAATCGCTTATGTATCTGATAGTATTACCCAAGGCTATATGTTTGTTGAGAGTAAATATAGTATCTTGTTTATTATTATAGTTTCAGGATGTAGCACAAAGACATGTGCATAACATATGCTCAATAAATACAATAATGACACAATAAGAGCTTCCACCAGATGGCACCCAGTGTCTGTAGTTCAGATTAACTTATCTGCTTATTTTCAGCTATGGTCAATTGAGTCAATTGAGTCTCATGATTCTATTTGCTTGATATGATTTTCAACCAGGCATATTTCCTACATTTAATTATTTGTTAAATTGTATGAGATGAATTATTCAGATAATTTTATTTAAGAATAGACATTTTATTTAAGATCATTTTAAAAAAATGATCATAATGCACCGTTATATGACCCACATATTTGCTATTTATAATTCAAAAATTATAAGAGATGCAAATTTGGATCTCCTTTCACTCTTTTTTTGGATCTTATAATTTAGCTTGAATAAGTTTGTCCCATAGGTATGGGTGATTTTTATCTAAGAAGGTCATGGGATGATTGTCCTTTTCTAAGATTGTTGACCACATATATTTTAAGATCCTTGGCTCTGGCGTTGTCCACCTATGGTTTGGTTCATTACACTAATTGCTCCCTCTTTGACCTTTGGTTAATCTACATAAAATCAGAACAGAACAACAACAAAAAATATGCTTCTGATTCAATCGTCCTTTAATTCCCATTTGTCTATATCTAACTAGGCCAAATGATGTCCTCATATTTAAGCATATGTTAAAATATAATTTTAAAAATAGGATATAATTATGACTTTCCTAGAAACATGAAATAAGCAGGGCAAAAATTTTATTTAACTCATTGATGTGGAACCAGTATTATAACTGGATCGAAGGATAATTCAATCAGGAATACTGAAGTGAATTCACAAACAGATGGGTAACTAATTTACTCCATCATGGGGAAAAAATGATTCTCTCCCTACCTTACAAAATCTATTTTGTCTATGGACAAAATCATTTGCATTTTATCAGTTATCTAAAATTCACAGGGTTGTGAAAAGCTCAAAGGCTATGGGAAGTGCAGCCTCCATAAAATAATATAACCAGGGTAGATGTGCTTAGATTATGCCATGTTTCTCGTTTCTCTAACAATAAACTTGTCATGCTACAAGTATGGTACTGGAGGTAAGGTTTTGGTTGTACAATTGATTTTGAACTAAATCCTGGTAAGAAGGAAGACAAATTTTTATTTACCCATACAAATAAGTTTCTTGCTGTGAAAAGTAGAGACAGTAACAGATTTTGAATCCTGGGGTGCCAGTAAGAATTAGATGTCATTTAAAAATGTTACATTTTAGTTTACAAAAACATACATCATGACATTGTTGTGAGTTAGTTTATCTAGAAGATTAAACATTAATATAAAATAAACAATAATTCTAACCAACTAACCATAATAATATTTTCCTAATTTGTTCACTTATTCCTATATAATTATTTTTTGGTCTGCTCGATCTCACGTTATCAATCTCAAGAAGCTCTCTCTGCCTCAAAAAAAAAAATGAGTTCTGGAAATCCTGACACAGTTCAGTAATGTAATCTGAAAGTTGTCTAAGTGATGTCTATTCACAAACTTCTTAGCCAAATGTCTATTTTTTAAAGTGTCAAAAGTTTGAAGTATCTAGCTCAATCTTATTCCACACATTCTGGCTGGTAGTCTATATACCTTTTTCAGGCAAGCATCAGAATAAAACAATATTTGTAGAGGATAGAGATTTAAAATGGCTGTGTTAATGCATTATTGATAACTTTCAAATGTGAGAGGACTGATGCAGTTTCATAGTAGGAACAATTTCATTGATCAGGAAATTTGTTTTTGTTGCATGCAAATAATAAAACCATTCCAAAAAGAAGTTAAACAAACTATACTTTTTTTCTATTTTCTCCATCTAAAATAATCAAGGACATCATGAAGCAGCATGAAGTCTTCATAGAGCACAGAAAACTATACTGTTAAGTCACCAAATCTCTGCTATCTAGGCAGATTAAACAGAAGATTTAGAATTTTTACATTAGGGGCAAAGGCATTAGTTAGTATAGCATGGAAGGAAGCCCATCAAATTGAACAAACTTTGCAAATATTTAACACGTTCATAGTTTTTCAGGCTTGGGTATTATAAATCAAGGCAAATAAAATTAATTTTCCAAGTTTTTACCTTCATGGTGCTTGTTCATATTCCAGGAACTGACACTTTACTGTAGGACAAATCTTGGGGCTTCTGAAAGGTCAAAACTAATTTTATAATAATAGTAAGATGTTATTTATATTAATATGAAATGCATTCCTCTTTGTATGTTTAAGAGAAACAATAAATATATATATATTTAAATTTCTCAGCTTTAATGTCTATAGTGTAATGCCTATCATTATAACCTAAATAGACAGAAGCTCTTTGGGATCCTCAATAAGTCCTGAGAAAGTAAAAGAGTCTTATGGTAAAAAAGATCAACAAAAAAACTTGAAAAAGAACAACAAAGAAACCTAAAGAACCATTATTTTGGGCTGGGAACGGTGGGTCATGCCTGTAATCTTAGCACCTTGGGAAGCCAAGGTGGGCAGATCACCCGAGGTCAGGAATTCGAGACCAGCCTGGCCAAGATGGTGAAACCTTGTGCCTATTAAAAATACAAAAATTAGCCAGGCGTGGTGGTGGGCATCTGTAATCCCAGCTGTTCCGGAGGCTGGTGAGGCAGAATCCAGGAGGCGGAGGCTGCAGTGAGTCGAGATCTGGCCACTGCACTTCAGCCTGGGTGAGGGAACAAGACTTCATCTCAAAATAAATAAATAAATAAAAATAAATAAATAAATAACCATTTCTTTAGGTGAAACTAATGTTTGCTGGTAAAACAAAAAGACATGGTTATTTTACTCTGTCAATATTACTCCTAGTGTGGTCTTTACTACTCATATTAGTTATAATTTTTAACCAAAGTAACTAATTTCGCAGAAAACCGGGGTGGGGATAATAGAGAACTTTCTGTAGCTCATATTTTAGCAGACTAGAAATGCTCAAGAACACATATAATTCAACTTTTTACAGCACACACATCTTTTTCTCACCTTTATAAGTGGCAAAAATTTAACATGTTAATTAGCATGACCAAAACTTATAGCCTTTATATTGTAAACAAAAATTAAAAAGTATATGAAGGAGCAATTACAAGATTGATTTCTACTTTTCAGAAAATTGCAGGTCAGAAGACAATGGAACGAGGTAGATAGGTAGATAGCATAATAATTTCAGATTGTGACCATTGCTGCTAGGGGAATAAGGAGAACTGAAAGGGGAAAACAGAAGGGAAGTAATAGGAATAGAAATGGGTCTAAAAAGGGTTATAGTAAGAGATGGTATCTCTGAAAAGGTGATACTGAACTGAGGCCTGGAATATGAGGTTGGGCCATATAAATGCTGAAAGGGAAGAAAACACATTCCAGGCAAAGAAAATAGCAGAATCACTCATCAGAAAAAGGACTTGGAAGACAAGTAACATGATGTTAGAGGGTGTTAATCTTAGATGAGGTTAATAAGAACCCAGAAAGTAGATCGTAGAGGCTTTCAATGCCACAGTTAAGTTCAGGTATTATTCCAAATGCAGTGGGAGATCATTGAAAGTTTATAATCAGAGTATAATTGATTGATCTGTATACTTCTTAAAAGGTTCCTTGACAGTCTGAAGAGAATGGATTACAGAGCAAATAATAGCAGAAAGAAGAGAGCAGTTGCAATATTTGCAGTGGTCTATGAAAAGTAGGTGAAGATGTGGACAGGGGTCCATAAAACAAAACTAAAAACTTCCACCTTCTTTAATTCTAATTTGGAACAATATTCCGAACTACTCAGTTCGTTAATGATAACTAGGTTAATGAAACAATGTATTCTAAAATAGATTTTTTTGGTCTCTATTTCTTTTCAATAAATTTAACACTATAATTGATATATGTTTATGAAACATCTTATAAACTATGTATTTTTCATAAAAATTAAAAGCAAACATAGACTATGTTTATAATTGATGGATACAGACAACTAATCTTTTGCTACAGTCCCAAATAACATATATGACCATTAAGTGTGAATTTTAGGTAAATTTCAGCTTCTGGATGGTTAATCCTAAACTGTACCAGATCCATTATTTTGTTTGTTCTAATGGCAAATGCACAAATTTCCACAGATGGATTAAATTAGTATTCAGCTGAGAAACATGAAAACAGGATCATGCCTCTATTTAGTCCTGTAGACTCAGAAGCTTTAATTCAGTCCCACCTCTTAACGTGGCAGTAGAACGATAGGCAAAAGCAGAGAGTTCTTATCTTGTTCAAAAAGTATCAGCCCCGAAATGCCATGTTCTTTTATGCTGAAATTATAGACACTAAAACACACATGGTGCCTTAGAGGATGGAAATTTCAGATGGATAGATGGTTAAAGCTTAATAATTTAAAATCATGGATTTCACTTTTGTATTGTGTGATATGGCCTCTGAATATCACCATTCTTTAATGGCTCAAGGGTGAGTGGAAAATTTTGAACAAATAAGTTGCCAGCTGCATGTTATGGCCCTTAAACTAACTTATTTTAGAAATAGAAGAAATATACCTCTAAATGGCAACCAGAAATTGCATTGTTTTCAATTGGAGTAGAATTTCATGACTGCACTGTTGTGTTGAAGATGCAATTTCTGTTTTTTAGGTAAGAAAGCTATATTTACTGGGCCATAATTTGACTCATGTGAATGAAGGCAGTAGTAAAGTATGGATAGAAAGATTATGTTTTATAAAAATTATCAGGGATTTACATATTTGTTTTTTGCAGTTTTGTTTATTTCTAATGCACCATTTTTCCTATTTGTGTATATATATGAACATGTTTGTTAACGGTGTTCTCCTAGTACCTTTAGTATAGTCCTTTTAATAGCATTATTTGGTTCTTATTTTGGAGTGAAATAAATGTACATTAGAGGTCGTAAGTTTAGAAACAATTTTTTCTTATGAATTATTTCAGCATTAGAGATAAGCTTTTGAATAACATTTTCAAATAAAATGCATCATATTGCAGACTAATATTGATATCATTTGCATTATCTGGCAGAAAAACAAATACAGTGACACAGCAGAAAATTCTCTTTAAAAAAACTGTGGTTTACTTCTACGGTTTCTGAGCATGTGTGTGTTCATTTTCCCCAGGGATTTTTTTCATTTGAAGTGAAATCTTCACATTTTTCAGTTTAATAATTTATTAATATGATTATTTTAAAATAAAGAAGGCCAGGCTCACACCTGTAATCCCAGCACTTTGAGAGGCCGAGGCTGGCAGATCACTTGAGGTCAGGAGTTTGACACCAGCCTGGCCATCATAGTAAAACCCCATCTCTACTAAAAATACAAAAATTATCTGGGCATGGAAGTGCACACCTGTAATCCCAGCTACTAGGGAGGATGAGGCAGGAGAACAGCTTCACCCAGGGATGAAGTTTGCAGTGAGCTGAGATTGTGCCACTGCACTCCGGCCTGGGCAGCAGAGAGAGTCGCCGTCTAAAAATATAAGTAAATAAAAATAAATTTAAAAAACAATTAAAATAAACAAGAACACTTACAAAATAAAATTTCTGGATATTTTCTTTTAACCTTGCATACAAATATTTGAGGGTGACCTACACATAGAGAAAATCAAATGCATTTACAATCAATTAATTAAGCAATAGCCATACTAAATGTATTAGTCAAATTTTCATTACATTTCTGGAATTATTTTTATTAAAAATAATGTTATGAGAATTCAGAAATGCACTATGCTTTTGGTCATGGTCCTCAAGCTAACATTCTTTCTAGAGAGCTAATACGTAGTATGTCATAAATTACCTATTTCCTGAGACCTTCCAGTAATTACCACATTATCCTATATTTCTATGAGACATTATATTACTCAACAATAAGCTTGATGAGTAAAAAAAAAACACTTTATACAATTATCATTTGAACAGGATAAACAGATTTAAGTAGTTTACAGCACCATTAATTTGATTTCTTATAAATTATACATTGGGATTGAACTGTTTCAATTTATAGGTTGACTCCAACAGTGAGAAACACAGCAACTGGATTCCTTGCTTCATAAAGCTAAATTATGGTTTTTGTCAATACTTTCAACATTTCACACTGAGAAGAAAATGTAGTATGCCATCACTGCTTTTGAATCTGATGATCTTTGAATGTCTTTGAGAATTGGAAATTATCCCTTATAATAGTTGAAGTTGCACAGCTTAAGTAAGAGAAACTCACGTGTAATACCAAAATATATTTTAATTATACAATTTAGCTATGAGGCTTTGACTTCTTCCCTCTTCCTACATTATTTCTCTACCCAAAATTGGGACTCTGAACTTTACCATCTGGCTTAGGCACACTGAGCCCCTTGTATAAATCTTACCTCAGTGCAAAGAAATGTAGATAAAATTGCCCCACATTGTAGGATTGAATCTTTCCCTCCTATATTTTTCTAATTCACCTTGACTAATCCTTCATTTCTGGTGACCTGTGTTCTATCTAATTTCTAAGAATAAGTAATAAACTGTAAGCAGTATTAGCAATTAGCTCTATGTCATGGTTTTCTCTTTTAATCACATTGTGCACTTTATCTCCCTCTCCCTCTCAAATTTGACTGCTGGCAAAGTGCCTAATGAAGAGCAAAACTGACTGACTTGAGATGTTTGAAAATGTTTTTTCTCTGATTCACCTAACCTCTGGTAAAAGTCAAATTTGAAGTAAACATCTATATTTTGTGATTAATGCTGACGTCTTCATGGGGAAAAACAGATGAGAGTAGGTTAAAGTGAACAAGTTTTTCTTAGACGTGTCCTAACCTTCAAATGTCAAGAAAGTATCTATAGATATAAAATATTTCTAGAATCTCATGTAACAAGATTATGTTTTGTTATGTTCCTTAAGTATATGTTTGAGACTGTAAAAATATATACTAGTAACATAACCCTTTAAAAACCAGGTAGATGTAATTAAAATTTTGGCTGGGCGTTGACTCACATTTGTAATCCCAGCACTTTGGGAGGCCAAGGCGGGCAGGGCAGATGACTTGATGTCGGGAGTTCGAGACCAGTCTGGCCAAGATGGTGAAACTGTCTCGACTAAAAATACAAAAATCAGCCAAGCATGGTGGCAGCTTCCTGTAATCCCAGCTACTTGGGAGTCTGAGGCAGGAGAATCGTTTGAACCCAGGAGATGGAGGTTGCAGTGAGCTGAGATCTCCTCATTGCACTCCAGTCTGGGTGACAGAGCAAGACTCCTTCACAAAAAAAAAAAAAAAGGAAGAAAGAAAGATGTAATTAAAATTTAAAAATCTTTAGATAACTTGATACAATTAGAATAATATTTACAGTAAGTAATGAATATGTCTACTACAAACAAACAGTGCAAAATTATATTTGCTGAAAAGTAAGTTTTCATCTCATTTTGGAACTCAACTCACTGGTTCTCAGTTCTTTATTAGGGGAAACCATGACTTCATTATACAAAAGTCTACCATATTTTTTGTAGTGGTTGCATAGTTTCCAAATTATGTAAAAACCACAATTTATTAAAAACATTTTTCTAGTGCTATACATTTAAATTCTTTCCAGTCTATGCTGAAATGAGTATCTTTGCACATATGCCTTTGTCCACAGGCACTGACATATCTGTAGAACAAGTGTTTATAAAGACAAAAAATTATATGCATTCTCAATTTTAATATTGCTTCCAATGGCTTTATAAAGTGACAGCTTCTTTAAATTTGTGTATCTTTATTGTGAGCTGAGTTCACAAATCTTATATTTTCTTCATATATGTTGACTGAATGAGTAAATGTAAAGTAGCTAAAGCAGCATCTGATTTATAGCAAGTATTCAACATTTTCCTCCATTATTTTCAGCAATAGTTTAAAAAGGTTATTTTGAACATATTTTTGTGATCTTAAACCTAAGGCCTTTAAGCTTTGATTTTAACAAACATGTATTGAGAATCCAATTAAATGCTTTAAATTGTATTTCAAAAAATTTACTTGGAAAATATTATTGCAATAAGTTTAATATGCATTTGTTTTATTAGTATTATTTTAGTTGACCCATAATCATTGTACATATTTATGGAATACCATGTGATATTTTAATACATATATACAATGTATAAAGATCAAATCAAGGTAAGTAGGATATGTATCATCTCAAATGTTTATGATTGCTTTGTGTTGGAAACATTCAAAATAATATGCATTTTATTAAATTAAAGAATGAATAACTGGGAAATAGCTGATGGAAGTAATTGAAAGAATAATTTTTGGTGGGTGTTAAAGATAGAATCTTGATTGCACAATGTTTTAAATGAACACAAACAAGATAGAAATTTCAGACGACCTCTGTAGTGTCAACAGGTAGAGAATAAGACAAGGTAAATACTTTTTTTCATTAGAAAAAAATACGAGTTTTTTTGGGGGGGGATTATGAGGTATTGATAATAAAGAAAAAGAGATAGAACTAGAAGGCATCCTTTTCCTGAATAAAAACTAAAATAATTTTTATTCATAGTATATTTTAGTATCAATAGACAAATTAGTTTTCTATTGTTGCTGTTAACAAATTACTACAAACTTAATGGCTTAAAACAACGCAATTTAGAGATTGTGTTAATGAAAATTCTTGTTTTTGTTTTTTGTTTTTTTATTCAGGAAAAGCATACCTTCTAGTTCAATCTCTTCCTCTTTATTGCCAATATCTCATAACCAAAAAACTATTCTTATGTTTTTTCCTACTGAGGAAAAAAAAATATTTGCCTTGTCTTAATCTCTTTGCTTCTTGGCACTGCAGAGATTGTCTGAAAGGATCTGGAGGCCATTATCCTTGGCAAAGTCACATAGGAACAGAAAACCAAATATCACATATTCTCACTTATAACTGGGAGCTAAATGACAAGAACACATGGACACATAGAGAGGAAGAGCACACACTGTGGTCTTTTGGGGCATGGGGGATGGGAGGAAGGAGAAAATGAAAAAAAAAAAAAACCTAATGCATACTAGGCTTAATACCTGGCTGATAAAATAATTGGTACAACAAATCCCCATGACACAAGTTTACCTGTGTAAGAAACTGGCACCTGTACCTCTGAACTTAAAATAAAAGTTAAAATAAAAATCTGCAATTTATTATTTTACTGTTTTGAAGACCAGGCATCTAAATAGGTCAGAAGGCTGCACTCCTTCTTGAGGCTCTAAGGGATTTTTCTTTGCTACCCAAACCCTCATTTTTAAAAATGTTGTTAGCAAATATTTTACATACTCATTAATTAATAAACAATTATTACCTTTAACAGTGAGTCACAAGTGAATCATTTAAAAAGGAGATTTCCCTGTGCATTTCAAATAAAAACTTGTTTCAGAAATGTGATTTACATTCAACTATTTTATAAGTATCACACAGAGTGGTTATTGTTGAAAGGGTGTACAAAATTGATTTTACCTGTATGACTTATTTCTTTATTTTTACATGTAGTTCTTTAATAAGGCCTATATTTAGTACTCACTTTAATACTAAGTGAGTGCACACAGAGTATTTTAAAAGAGTTTAAAATTCACAAGAATTTATTTAAATAAGATGTTAGAGTCATGTTCTTTATTCTATTTACAATCAAAAGACACAAGCACCCTGGCCAAATAGTAGAGAACACAATTTTACATACGCTATTTATAAATATGTCTAGTTTTTCATACCCATAGAAATTAGATAAATATAAGTGTTTTCAAATCTCATCTGAGAATTTTATTCTATGTAATACACAAAGTCTTTGATGTCAAAGGTATAACACTTTAACACTAGAAAGAATAGTATACAAATACATACCTGAAGTGTAAAGATAAGAGAGTTAACCTTAAAAAATTTCAACATCTGTGGAGATTACTCTGATGTTACAGGCAGAACTGGCTATTTTATATTCATTGTATCTTTTAATTCTCATACTAATCTCTGAAATAACTATCATTTGGACTCCCCAAGAGATATAAAAGAAAGTTAAGTAACTTGCTTACAAAATAATGTTCCGTTAATCCAGAATTCAAAATTATAATACTCATAACACAACTGTCTAATTTTTAATTAATTAATTAAATAATTGGTATTCATAGGCATAATTGTAAACTAATGAAAACTATGAGGAAACAAAATTATTTGGAACATGGCTTTGTATAAATATTTAAATTGTAATAATTTGATAACCCTACCACCAGAGACAACCAAATTTGTTTTGTTGTATTTCCTTCTACAGACTGAGCATCCTAATTGAAAAATCTGAAATCCCAAATGCTCTACAATCTAAAAATGTTTGTTTGAGTGCCAACATGCCAATCAAAAGAAATGCTCATTGGAGCATTTTGGATTTGGAATTTTTGGATTAGGGACGCTCAATTAGCATAATGCAAACATTCCTAAAGCCAAAAAACACCAATATCTGAAATATCTCTGGTCCCAGGCATTTTGGGTAAGAAACCCTCAACCTGTCTTATTATCTTCTGGGCGTAGTACATGCAGTGTAGATTACAGTTGTCTCTTGTTATCTGTGGGTATTTGTTTCAGGACTCCACAAATACCAAGATCCAGAGATGCTCAAGTCTCATATAAAATGGCATAGTATTTGCATGTAGTCTACATAAAGGTGAGACTGGGAAAATTTTACTTCTTCACTTAGAAACAATCCTCGAAATTATACTCTGCCTTTGGATATATATTTTTTCATTACACGTTTCCAAAATAAAGGATATATATGAACTTTTACAATCCTCAGATTTTATTATAATATTGAAGATATGAATGTTTCATTTTTCAAGCAGCATGTTATTCATATCAAAATATAATTGCAGAACTTTTTTTGCAATACTGACATTGTATATGCCAATGCATTTAAATTTTTGCTGATTAAAAATAAAATGCTGGGCTTTTTGTTAGTTATTGGCTTTTCATGAGAGTCAGATTTATTGGCTTCCTGTTGAAAGGAATACCGTTAGAGAGGAAGATTTTATTGCAATGATTTTGTTTAAGCCATTTACCTTTCAGAAAGGCACAAATCAACATTGTTTGGGTCTAATGGTTATTGATTTGGAAATAATTCTAACAAGTATACTTATTTAAGGTCAAACAAAGGTTTTGCCAACTTAGCTGTTGTGCAACATTGTACGTGGCTAAGCCTCTTTTCATTTTACTTTAATTTGGCTTACAGATCATGTTTCTAGTAAAAGGGGTGAACTGGAAGTCTTTTCCATAATATGCAATATTTCCTTGTTAAATATGTTGATACAGACCCATAGTAGAAGGAATTGCCATTCTTTCCAAGTTAAAAATTCACACTTCTTTGAAACAAGTGAATTGGCACTTTCTTAGTTCTAGCATACTGTGAGCTTTCTCCATTGTTGAAATAAATTGGCCACTAGAGATTGATTGAGAATATGAAAACGCTGTTCATTTATTAGGAGGTATGCTATGCTTATGTTGAGACAAAATCTATGTGCTTGCCAGCATCAGTCTACTGAGTTTTTAAGTAATTGGTATTGCTTTGAAATTGTTAAATCATTTCAATGTACAAGTATAGATCTCTTTTCAACTCATATGTCTTTTAAATCTAACTTTATCAATTATTTTATATCTATGTAAACTGTTATATAACACTTTTAGTTCATAGGTTTCATATCCTTCTTCTGTTCTCCAAAATATCACCTTCAAACTATCACCTATATTGTCTGTCATTATTTTAAACTTTGTTATTTTCTTTTGCATTCTGAGATTTTCAATATTTTCCTTTATCTCTTGCTATTTGAAGTGTCAGTTCTCTTTGTGTTTGCATTCAATCTGATTTTTATTTTATTGCTGCAGTTCTGGTTTCCTTTAAATTTTTCCTCTTATTCATCTTCCCTTTAATTGGATCCTGTTTTCTTTCTCTGACTCTCCTCACCTCCCAGGGTGTGCTGTTTCAAACAGGCCATGTCATCATACTTACTTCTTTGCATACTATTGATACAATATAGGCATTTCCTTCTGTTAGAAAGGAAAATGCTTTCTAAAGTTGACTTTCTAAAGGTAATATTTCAGAGACTTCTAGATTTAGTTTGCCATGATCTGTGGTATTTTTTAGAGCTTCTCTATAATTGTTTTTATATGATCTAATCTTTAAACGCTAAAATTCTCAGTTATTACAAAAATATATTTCTACTACTCTTACTGTTCACTGTTTCTTTCTTATATGTACAGCAGGAAGGTAGTCTACCAGTTAGAGTTTCTAGAACAAATTTCTATAAGACATTTCTTACTGGGGCAAAGTTGGGATGTTATACTAAGCCACTACCAGCTGCTTGACAATCTGAATTAAAGGAATGTATAAACCTTTAAAGTCCCTATGACAGTATCTTACTAACAATGTTCGTTCTCCACTTTTCCTCACTGTATTTCCCTTTGTACAAAGACTCTACCTCCAATTTTAAAATGCTCCTCTGTCAACATCAGGTTGTTTTCTGAGACTTGACATCTCTTAATGGGCCTAGAGGGGCAACAAAGGGGCAATACTTATGATTATGAATGATTGGAAAGCTGTAACCATTTGTATATTTTATGCCGCCCTCAATAATTTGACTATATAACAACACATTCCAGAAAATACTGAAGTAATATCCACAGTAGAATTAGAATGAAGGTTAGAACTCACAACATAGGAAGTTTTCTTTTGTAGAAAGAGGCAGGAGAATTAAGTTCTTAATCTATATTCAAAAATATAGATATTTTTGACTATATATATTTTTGACTATATATATTTTGGACTATATTTAAAAATAAAATACATATATACCAACAAAAAAAGTCCCATGTGTGGAACTCCCATCAACTAGGAAGTGAAATGTAATGTAATATTTAAGAATGTGAAGTCAATAAAAGAACAGGTTATGAGCAAGTCTGAAACTAGGTTAACATAAACTTGCTTCGCATTGCTTAAAATTGGATTACAGTGATACAAAATTATAAAATCCCTATAAGAGAAAAATAATGTAATGTAAAACAAAAACTGTCATAATGATAAAAATAAAATCCTTACATCTAGCACCAGTGCCAGGAGTTGTGTGTATATGTATGATAGTTTAGGGTAGGGGGTGGAGGAGTTGGGAGAAATACGTAAAGTCAACAGTTTGAGAAATTCACTTGTGAATAGAAAAATTTGAATAAATAGTTCATTCTTTCATAACACTTTATTCTTTATAATGTCTTGATTATGCTATATTGAATGTATAAAGTATAAGTCAAAAATTAAAGTAATTCGCAACATTTTTCTTGTCAAATTGCCAAATAAGTAAAGGTAAAATAATGTTTGGCATTGTATGCTGCCAGTGCCATAGTATTATGGAAGGAAAATTCTACGCTATCCTGTGAACATATTTAAATATTTATAATGTTTATTTAATACTTTCTCACTGACTTTATGTTATGTAAATAAACAGAAAACTCAAGTCAAAATTGTGGACTGGGGGCTGCCTTAGACTCTGTTCCATTCCTAAATACTAAAATGTGTGGTGATTTTTTTAAATAAATTGAACTCTATAACAGTGAAAAAGAAATTTTCAGCTGTCATAAAGTAAGAGGTAAAACCCCATAGAAGAATGTAGGAGTCATAGGAGTCATAGGGCCCTTAATGACTATTTGGTGCTTTAATGCCTTCCTGGGGAGCAGAATACATGTCTCGAATGCCTCCCCACAAATAACTGGAATACACGTAAACATAAAGTATTGCTCATCTTAGAAAGTAGCATGAAGGGTCTGGGGTCTAGCAAAAATCCCTCCCTTATTTTCTACTGAGAAGGATCAATGGAAGCTTACTGCCTGCCTAGGCTGCAAGTGGACATCTGTTACTTCAAAAATCAGATGAGAAAAACTAGTTTTTCAAGGATTCTTAAAAATATACACAATGATAATTTGAAATATAGTAATAATATCTAGCATTTTAACTTCTGTAGAAGTTACCAGCTTTGTAAGTCATATATGTCAAAAGAAGATTGTAATATGGAAAAACTATTTTAATTCAGCCATAAATTACAAACATAAAACAAATGCTTAAATCTAAAAATATTCAAATACTCTAGTTTTCGAATGAGGTTTAGACTTTAAATTCCCTTCTTGCCCTAGTCTCACGCTTCAAAAAGCGAACTTCAGCTCTCTTTTTCTGGAAAGTGGCCTTTTGTGATAAACCAGTATGTGCTACTTACAGATGAAAAATCATCCCTTATAAATTCTAGAAATCCTGCAGCTACTCTGGTGATTGGTATGTTTCTAGTTACCTAGCACATCAGGGAACATTTCTGATGAATTTTCAGCATATGTCCTAAATGTGTCATCTTTCATGTTGACTTCCCTAGAGCAGGTGTCAGTTTTCATCAAGAGTTGCTTTGATGGTTTCTGAAAGTTTAAATAATCCAATAATACAGGATTGAATTTTCTGATGTCTTTTCTGAGGTTCATAGAGAATCTGAGCAATATGATCTTCTCAGTTCTAGATTTGTTAATATATTCAAAATATGTCAACCATCTCTATGCTGAAAATGACTAATCGACCACATTCTAAGGCAAGCAAGAGTATGTATTCATTAATATCATTGGTCACATTTAATGGACGCAGGCACACTTTTAAATGCTTCGTGTCATGCATTGTCTTATTATACCTTGAATTAACCACGAGTTAAGTACCACTATGATTTGCACTATATAGATTAGAAGGCTGAGATGTAAAAAAAATGTTAAAGAATTATCCTCAGGTCAATTATTAAGAGGCAGAACTGGCACATAAATTCAGTCATCTGATGAAATACCAGTGTCACTCTGGGAAACTTGGACAGGAAAGCTATACTTCTTAGAAATGGGTGCTAGATGGAGACTTATTAAGTAGCCAGCAAAAAGATAAGGAGTAAAGTGGTCTCTAAAATAGCAAAGAAGAAGAAAAGAATGCAAGGAATGTCCACAAAATAAATATAAATAAGTAATAAAAGTAGTAACTGGAAGTCTGATGATTTAACATTATGTTAAACATTTCATAATCATGACCACTTTGATTTTCTCAAAAACTATAGCTAGTAAACTTTTTCAGATGAAGAAATGAACTCGTGAAGTTAAAAAATTTGATTTGTCTAATGGCACAGAACTAGTGAGTGGTGGTGCCTGGATTCAAATCTATCTATCACATAGCAACTACATGTCTATATTTATTATATGGTCACATAAGTGACATGTGATATTTATTATATGGTCACATTAATGACTCATTCCAAGAAATGATGCCGATATTCATAACATAGGGAATCAATTACTTTCATAAAACATCTCATTACCTTGTTTTATTATGGTCATAGTTATATATAGTTATAAATTTCTATAGAGATTAAATAAAATAACATGTAGATCCATTTTTAGTATGACTTTTAAAACATTGCATCTTCAACAGTTTATCAGTGGCCTAAGTAGTCTGCCAAAACCCAGAGTTACCCAAAAATCCTAGTTGCCCTTTATGCTACCTCAACTGGCAATAATAATAATAATAATAATAATAATAATAATAATGAGAATCTTGTTCAAATGTCCTTCACTATTATCTGTGAATAGGCTACTTGTTATTGTAACATTTCAATGGCAGCTAGTACACAAAACATTTGTCTTAAGAAATTGGACAATTGTTGTGAATACATATGGAGAATTTAGTGATTAGCAATTTATTGGATTATAACAGGAATCATTTTTTTTCTAGTTACAATTAGTATTGGGTTAAATATTTGTGCCGTTGTGAGTAGAATAGTTAGTACCAAGGTGATATATGTGTCATTCTTTTCATACTAAGTGAGAATCATGCAATTCTTATATTTGCTAAAGTCATAGGGTCAAGAAACTGATACCTCTGGACTCAAGAGTTTTCACCCAACAAGCTTGTTCTGACCTCTTTCTGGTAACTGAAATAGAAACCTTTAGATTATGGAAGAGCCGAAATCTCCCTGGAAACATTGTCTTTTTCTAACATTCTCCTTTATGCATGGCAGTCTATAAAATTTAAGCTGTTTTTGTCATTCCCTTAAATGAGATAGCTGATGATACCTGGATAAGTGACAGAATTTGTGATGCTTCAATTTTCAAGTATAAGATTTTGCTGAGGATGATAGTTTGAAGACTACATGATAGTTTGAAGACTACAATTTTCTACAATTGGAGCATGAAAGTTGCCATTTCTCCAAACGGAAAGTTTTCAAAACTTAACACTTTACTAAAGTTATATGGACAATTCAGACATTAATTAGAAATGATGTAGTCCTGAAATAGTGGACATTTTTTGTGAAATGTGAAATCTTCTTTTAGAGGGTAATGAATGGATCACTTTGGTTAACTTAGGGTTACAAAGTGATTGTTTGACATTTGATTTTGGCCTACTCTGATGATGGTGGAAAGTCTATCAAACTGCATTTACTTCCTGAACCAAATCTTTTCTTCTCCCCTGTGAATAATCAGTTATTGCATTCTTCCAAGCTCTGACAATCTACAACTTTTTGCACACATGCTATATATTCTTGTTAAAGGTGTACATTCAGGGATGGTAACACAGACTGTTTAGTGAGTGTGATATATTGGGACAATTGAAAACTTAATTGTGGCCAAAGATTGACAGAATATATCAACTCAGTGGAATAGAAAATTCTTAGAGCAGCTGTTTGTGTCCATCCTTGCTTCAAGACACTAATACACGCTCCTTCTTGAATAGCTTTAGTTTTTAAGACATGACCACCTGCAAAACCATCTGTTTGCTTATTTAATCTTATTTAAGTTTCATATATAGATTTGTTATAAATATGAATCTACTTTGGTCCCCAAATTTGGCTTGCTTGCAAACATATTATACCAACACAGCTGATATTTGTATAACCTCTCAAGAAAAACAAATGCCAACCCCATTTGAAACCAGTCTTTGGTTTCATTGTCATATTGACCTGGGAGTATTTTTTTTTTCTAATCAGGGATTCTTTTTTTCTTCTAGTTAACATGGTTTGATACACCAGTATTTTGCTTTAACATTCTGTGTATTTGTGACTATTGTTTCATTACTAGTTTCTTAGAAAGTTAATGTGTGTTGTGTGTTTCTTAGAAAGCTAACGTGTGTGTGTGTGTGTGTGTGTGTGTGTATAAATGTATATGTGAATATAACGTTTTAAAACTAGGAACTGAACAGAGAAAATGTATGAGAAACTGGATGAAGGAGGTAAGGTTTTCTGTCTTTGTTCACTTGGTGTCAGCTATCACAAGTTGGTATAAGCTACTTCCTCAGTTTAGTTTTATTTCAAATATCTATTCATTATACAATATACAATAAAAATACGATATTTTTAGAACCAAGTTTAGGTATATTAGGTGCTTATTACTCAGCTTCAAACTCAATTATAAATTACTAAAATGATTTTTATTTGATAAATGTGACCAATAATTTAAACTTAAAATTCATATACATTTTATGTTTTATAGCCATAGAACCAAAATAATAAAAAGAGACATGCTGTATTTACTGATTTCTTAACTCTTAATTCAATCATAAATTGGTGTCTTGCAATGACAGAAATTTTTTTGAAAATTAGCTTCAGTTTTTAGATTAATTTTTCTAAATGTAATGCTTTTGAAACATTCATTTTTTATTTCCCCTTTTGATATGAAAAGAATGCATGCAATCAGAATTTTCTAATATTGGAAGTTTAACTAAAGAGAGAATATTAATTTTAAGATTTGCTTGCTTTGTTAGACAAGTTAAATGACCTCCAGCTTATAAATGGTATCTTACATAGAAAATATAGAATAATTCAGATTTTGTATGAAAATCATTTAGTATCAGAAACACAAATACTTTAGGAAGCATGATATGGATAGTAAAAATCATATAATTTAGTATTCTTAGTAAATATAAAAGCTCAGAGGAATATTTTTAATAAAAATCCATCGTACATTAGTTTGGGCTTGAAAACAATACAATGAGTGTGCCGAGGTGCTTTTTCTTTTTTAAATTATAGCTGGGTTATGAAGCCAGAGTATGAGGAGGATCACAATATTCCCTTCATACCTTACGTAACTCCTCATACACTGATTCCAGACAATAATATACACAGGATTCTGTAACCAAAACTCAAGCTCAGTTTTTTGCTATGTTGTTTTTCTGTTTTGCAGATTTTCACATAAAAAATATATATCTAATTTCAGGACAAATTATACCTAAAAGGATTTATTTCACATTTTAAAATTGGCCAGTTTTATTTATTTTGGGTGGTTTTTATCATGATCAGAGTAGAATATCTACGATGTGTTCAGATACGTGTAATGAGAAGGAAAATTTAAACATTTACCAAGAATGAAGAGCAAATTGCAAAATTGTAAGATATGGAAAGGAGAGTTTTAAACAATAGAATAGAAAATATTTGGAATACGGGGTCACAAACGTAATGTGACATTGACTAACATTTTAATTCATAAAAAGAATAAGAAGGCTGGGCAGTGGCTCATACCTGTAGTCCCAGCAGTTTGGGAGGCTGAGGCGGACAAAATGCTTGAGCTCAGGAGTCCGAGACCAGCCTGGGCAAGTGATGAAACCCTGTCTCTACAAAAAATACGAAAATTAGCCAGGCATGGTGGGGGGCTAAATATTCTAGTGAGAAAAGAGGGAGAAACTACAGCCCTGAGACTTTTAGCTAGGATGTTAAAGGCATTGGTAGGTCAAGACTAATCAGGCAAGTCACTGTGCTGAAATCTCTCAGGAATTAGGTATACTTAACCTCAGAACTAGATGCCCAGCAGAGGGATTGATTGTAAATCTGTTTTATTCCAAATCTGCACTTAATAACTAATTATCTAAATTCATAGAGGAAACTTCTGTCTTTATATCATGTGTTATCTGGCTGCCTTTAAATTGATCAGAATCGAGTTGAATAATAGCTATCAATCATCTTGCTTTCCAAAAGGAAACAACTATTTTTGTAAGTTATTAAAAATGGCACACAGCTTCCAATATTTCTTTCTTCCCTCTCATCATCTTCATATCAGCAAATATATAATTTGTTTTAGTTTAGGAGAAGAAAGTACCTTATATCATATTAAAATAGTCTTTGCATTTATAACAAGTTTTTTAAAAGTCTATATTTTTATATTGTTTGCTATTCAAGCCCATCTATTTTAACTT
Source organism: Homo sapiens (assembly GCF_000001405.40). Taxonomy (NCBI): domain Eukaryota; kingdom Metazoa; phylum Chordata; class Mammalia; order Primates; family Hominidae; genus Homo; species Homo sapiens. The sequence continues at coordinate 190,417,657 of NC_000001.11, read as the reverse complement.
TAGAGATGGGCCAATTATTTAGCATTAAAAACATATGCTACAGTAAGTGCCAAGTATGTTTGTATCAAGTATGTTGGTATCAAATATCAAAATAACAAAGACATATTTAATTTTTTGACAAATAACTTCCTGGGAAGTATTAAAACAACAGCAAAAATATTGTATCAGTAATGCATAGCTTAAATATGTAAATATATGTTATTGAATAAAGGCTGTACAATAAATATTAATAGATAATAGGTATATTGTATTGATCGATACAAGAAGAATTCTGCCAAATATTTACTGTAAAATTAGAGCAATACAAATGCACAAAATATGTATTTCTGTATTTGATCTTTCTTCAAGGAGAATGAAGTCCAATGATATAATTTTATTTCTCTGCCTTCTTTTATGGCAAAATGATTTTTTTTTTGTTAAGAGCCAGATAGGTTTTATATTTTTTTTCTCAAAAATCACCTCTTAAACGAGTTTTATTTACCTTAGTTTGTGATTTCATTTTAGTAGATTTTTACTGTATTTCAGAAAATTGTTTTTGTTCTCCATTTGAATCTAGGGCATTCTACACAATTCTGAGGTGTAAGTTCCTTAGCAACAGGAAACATGGGGAGCATCTTAAAACTAATTTTAGTTTCTGAAGTAAGCATATCAAATAAACCATGTATTTAATCCTTTACATATAACTCCTCTGGTTTAGGTACAGTGATGAATCCAGAGAAACAGATAATCCCAAATTGCTTGGATCTGGAGGAAAACTTCCGGTGTCTCTACTTACTGAGGTATTTCCTGTTAACAGGCACAGGTTATCACTGCAGCTAAAGACTCCGGTTCTGGAGTAATACTGTCAATAGCTGCAAAACCTGGGATTAAAATAATTTATGGTCTCTAAGCCTTTGTTTACTTATTTGCAAGTAGTAGATTATGATAGTATTATTTAGATAATATGGGATAATATGTGTAAGGCACTTCACGGTGACTAGGGTATATTTATGCTGAATAAATGCTTACATCATTATTACTTATCTCATTTATGTTAGAGACATAAATTCTTAGAAGTATAGGTTGTTATGAAAGTCTGTGGACACCTACTACACTATAAAAGCCTTTCATGCTATGCTAATGAGTCTATGTTCTATTTCTGTTTTTGAAGTGTAGTTTAACCGCTGAAGTTCATGGTTATTTCTTGAGCACACACAATGTGCTAGCAACTCCTCTAGGGGCAGCAGTTATGCCTAGTGTAAATCACATTTTTTCTCTCATGGGGCTCTTGGGCAAGTGGTGGCAAGGGGGTCATATAAGCACTATTACCATCTAGTGGATGTTTATTAGTCAGTCAACAGATTGAAAACTTGGCAACTTAAAAATATAGAAAAAGCAATTTGTGCATAATCCAAGCAGAGCTAAGAATTCTGTCTTATATAATGATTAATATTTACCTAATATGGGTGTGGAGGAGAAATAAGCAAAAATAATTTAATGACATGAACCTTTGAAGGTGTTTATAGTTATTGAGACAACCTAATGGATTTGTGTATTAAGGTAATCATCACTTAATTAAGATTTCATGTGGTGTGCCATATGTCAACTTAAAAGGCATTCAAGGGGGACCAAAATGTATTTTAACTTAGGAACATATTGAATGTGGCTGAGACACAGTAGAAGAAAACCTGTAAAATAAACATAGACAATGTGTATATCATGGAACATTGTTAAAAATATATATGCAAATATATGTATGTATATTAATTTAAGAAACGAGTTCTTACTCTGTCACCCAGCTTGGCGGACAGTGGTGGTGTTATAGTTCACTCACTGCATTCTCAAACTCTTTAGCTCAAGTGATCCTCCCACCTCAGCCTCCTGAGTAGCTGGTATTGCAAGTGCATGCCACCATACCTGGCTGATTATTAAAAAATGTTTTTCTATAAGGGGTCTTGCTATATTGCTCAGTCTGGTCTCAAACTCCTGGCCTCACATAATCCTCCCACCTCAGCATCCCTATTTGAGTTTACAGACAGGAGCCACTGTGCCCAGCTGAAGATTTTTTAAAATCTGAATTATATTATATCTAGATTTTCATTTATACAGTGCTCATATACATATGTTTAGTAATCCTTTAAAAAGTAACAATTATATTTAGATAAAAGTTGTTCCCTGATGTGTTTGTTTAATATTTATTTGGGCTTTTTTGGTTTTATTTTGCTATTCATGCTTAATTAGAATTGAAGCCATTAAATATTTATCATTAATCCATATAATTTATATGTTGAAGGCTTGCAAATTAGTGGAATTCAGTTACACAATATTTATCCTTGTTTTATCATGCTTCTTCAACATATAGTCACTTATGTAGAGATCATGTTATGAATTCATATCCTGATTGGTAGTAATTCAGGTAGGCGTGTGCTTCACCAAGATTTACTTAACAAACTTTATTTACTTAACAAACTTGCAGATGCTATGTTAGAGGAGAACTGCTCAGCCAGTTGATGCAAAAGAAAGATGCTGTGTCCTATATAGATGTTGGGAGGCAGGGTTCTCTTTATCACAAATTCAACATGAATTTTGATTAAAAGTTTTACATGTAGGTCCAATTCTCTGCAATTTATGTATATAAATCAAATTGAATACATTTTTAACTAAGCACTTAAAATAGTTAATTAATCTATTTATAGTCTATAGTGGGTAAAGAATAGAAACAGACCGAGTCTGTCTTTAGTCTCAAGACAGAGAAATCTTACCAAATATTTATGATTACTAGAGGTATAAGATTGGCAACAAATGTCATGACAGCAGCTCCTCTTCTATCTTGATTTGAATGCTTCTCAGAGCTATCTTTAGTTGTTAGTTCCATGAGTATGGGAGAGACTGTCATTTTTCAAACCAGTATTAATCTCCCTCTGCCTTAGTAACATTGCTGTCACTCGTAAGACTGTATTTGTTGCCTTGCTGCAGATTGGGTTGCCCAGTGAGATGTAAATGGATATTGGTGGATGCAACTCTTTAAAAGAGCAAAGACTCAACTGGGAGTATATTCCCATTTGCCTCTTTCTATTTTCCTAGAATATTGGCCCAACAGATACCTTATGCTAATCTAATGCCCTTGTTAGTGAAACCATGAAACAAGAATGGCAGAATACAAAGACAGAAAACAGTTGTTTCCTTGGTGACCTCTAGAGTGGCTATACCAGCCCTTTATGTCCTGTTTTCAAATTAATTTTACACAAAAATAAACCTATAACATATGGAAGTCACTAAGCTTGGATCTCTTACATTAGCAGGCAAATGTAATTTCTAACTGATAAACAACAAAAAAAAAACACAGTGATTTATTCAACCTCAAATATTATTAATTATGAAAATTTAAAAAAAACTGCACCAGAGTACACATGGCACTTCACTGGGCTCAATACCCTCAGAAAACTCTGACTATGCCACTTTAGTCTAGATGATTAGACATAGGAATATTTTGCTGTCTATAGTAAAAAATATTATTTTTTGTTTAAAATGAAAATAGCATGATTTTTACCAGAAAAATAAAACATGGTCATCGTAAAGATTAAAATAAATCAGGCCAGGTAGGGTGGCTCATGCCTGAGCCCAGGACTTCAAGACTGCTGTAACCTATGATCACACCACTGCACTCCAGCCTGGGCAGCAAAGCAACACCTGGTCTCTAAAAATAAAATAAAATATTTTTTAAATTTAAATTATCCATAATCTTAATATTTATGTGTAATTCCTGTTAACATTTTTTTTCAGTGGTTTTATAAGTATTTTTGAACATAAATTATTTATAAATTGACTTTTAAAATTAACAATATAACATAGGCATTTTTCTTTGTCAATGAATATAGATGGTATGTTAGTTTCTCTCAGCTGCTGTAACATAGTACGAAAATCTTGGTGGCTTAAAATAATAGAAATATATTCTGTCACAGTACCGAAGGCCACATGTCTAAAGTCTGTTACACTAGATTGAAATCAAGGGTTGACAGAACTGTGCTCCCTGTGAAGACTCTAGGAGACAATCCATTCCTTGCTTAGTCCAGTTACTGGTGGCTGCTAGCATTACATGGATGGTGGCCACATCCCTCCAATCTCTGTCTCCTTGATAACATTGCCTTCTCTTCTGTCTGGCTGTCTAAGTATATGGTGATTTGATTTATAGCCCACCTTGATAATTCAGAATAATATCTTCATTTAAAGATATTTTACTTAATTATATCTGCAAAGACACTTTTTCCTTTTAAAGAAATATTTACAAGTTAAAAGGATTAGGGCCTGATATCATTGAGCAGCCTTTATAGGTGACATCATCATTTTAAGTAGTTGTATGATATTTTGCACATGCATATAGAATGCCTAATTATATCAGTCCCCTAGGATAGTTCTTTAAGAAACTTTTAATTTTTAGTTAATATACACAAAACACACGCACAGGTGCACATACACACACACACGCACATGCACGTGCACACACAGACACACACATGCACACCTTCCTTTCTGTTAAGTTCCCAGAAATAGATTTGGTTTATAAAAGGATTTGAATATTTACAATGCCAAAACACAGTGTCCAAAAGTTCTTTTAAAAAGTTATTACTGCACATTCAGCGGTGTGCTGACATAAAGAGATTTTTAAAAATTTTATTAATGTGATGAAGCAAAATATTTCATTTAATTTTTATCAGTAAAATTGAATATGCTTGCCTGCCTTCCTTCCTATTTTCTTTCTCTCTCTCCCTTTCTTCTTTCTTTTTGTAAATTACTTTTATTTTTTAAATTACTACTACCATGCACTTTTAACCCACATTATGCATTTTTTACCAAAATTTTTTTAACATTTTTACCAAAAATGTATAGTGTGGTTTAAAAAATGCATACTAGTAGTAATTAAAGTACTACATACTCACGCCTGTAATCCCAGCACTTTGGGAGGCCGAGGCGGGCGGATCACGAGGTCAGGAGATCGAGACCATCCCGGCTAAAACGGTGAAACCCCGTCTCTACTAAAAATACAAAAAATTAGCCGGGCGTAGTGGCGGGCACCTGTAGTCCCAGCTACTTGGGAGGCTGAGGCAGGAGAATGGCGTGAACCCGGGAGGCGGAGCTTGCAGTGAGCCGAGATCCCACCACTGCACTCCAGCCTGGGCGACAGAGCGAGACTCCGTCTCAAAAAAAAAAAAAACAAAAAAAAACAAAACAAAACAAAAAAAGTACTACATAGTAAAAAAAAGTGTATATATATATATATATATAATATATATATATCTTTTCTTTGTTGTTTGACATTTTTATCCATGCTATTATTTACAGTATATGATTTTTAAATTTCCTTCATCACAAGATTGTAGAAATAATAATCTATATTTTACATGACAATTAAAATCTCACATATTTAGATGTTTTATTACCAAGTAATACCATTAACTTCATCCAGTCCCACAGCCCTTCCCCAATACTTATTAACCTTTCCTATTACTCTTTTTCTGTTAGGTACTTTTTTTTTTATTGAGTTCTGCTATTTTAGGTATTGCAAAGTTAGGAAGCTTGTCAGTGCTATTTCTTCCAATATTCAATCCCAGATTTCATGGCTTAAGTAGGCTATGGGAGAAGCATGTCAAACATAGGTTACAGTAAGTAGTGGCCTGAGGCTGTGTGGTAGGAAAGGAGGATGCTGGGGTCTGACAGCTCTATTAACAGAATTTCAGTCGTCGATTTTTTTCCTAGCTCCACTCCTCATATCTGTTCCTTCTGTGAACAAATTGACTTGCTGTTCCTACATCCATCTTTTCAAGCTCTTAGGATTTAGCTTTCTTTCACTTCTCTAAACTGGTTTTCAATATATCTGCATTCCAGATTTCAAAATGTGTTTTTATATTTATCAGGTATCCTGTTATTTCACTCTACCTTTTTTATTCCACCTTGTAAAACACATAACTTTTTAAAATTCTTACAGTCATTTTAGTGAAATGTTAGGAGGGAGAAAAATAGACCTTAGTTATATAGACCATATTTCCTCAAAGCCTTCATCTTTAGTTATCATTTCAATTAGTCTTTTATTATTTCAAATTTAAAAAAATTCAATTTACTAGATATAAAATTACACAAACTGTTACAAACATTTCTAAGTGTTGCCTACTGTTCACACAAAGTTTACAGAGTAAGACAATTAGGAGAATCACTGTTTGCATTGTGGCCTATTATTTTCTTTCTTTTCCCTTGTAGACTCTAGTGTATTGCTTTTTCCTTGTCTTGTTTAAGAAATGTTTCATGATCCTAAGGTTATAAATATATTCTGCCCTATTATCTTCTAAAAGCTTTACTTTTATTTTCACATTCAAGTATTAAGTATACCTGATTTCTATGGGGTGAGGTAGGTATTCAGTTTCCTTCTTTTTTCTTCCTAATAAATATCCCGTTGTCCTCTATCAATTGATAAGACCATCCTTTTCCTGTTGCTTCCGGGTACCACCTCTGTCATATAGAAAGGGTTCATTAATGTATGGTATGTTTCTGGACTCTATTTCCTGTGTTTCTGATTTGTGTATCTATCCTTAAACCAATAAAATGCCTACTTAATTACTAAAAGGAGTCTGGGTATGTGGTAAGGAATATCTTCCTACCTTGCTTCTTTATCAGGAGTCGTCTTGGTTTTTTTTGACCCTTTGCCTTTCTAGGAAATATTAAAATGAGCTTTCAAGTTTCTTTTAAAAAACTGTTGGGATTTTAATTGGAATTGCATTAAATCCATAAACTGACATCTTTGCGATATTGAGTTTTTCAGTCTAAGTATTTTAGTTGGACTTTTGCCTCAATTACTTTACTGAAATAACTCTTGTTAGAGTCATCAGCATATTTTCTCTTACTGTATTCAATGTCCTCTCCCTACTTTACCTTTAGCTGCATTGCACTTTGTTAATAAATACCCTTTCTGGAAACATTGCTTCACTTGTTTTTTAAAACAACATATTTTATTAGTTTTTCTTCTAAAACGATTTAGTCTTCTTTTCTTATTCTATGTGTTGTTCCTGATCTTTAAGCCTTTAGATGTTCTATTTTTTTACATTCCTATATTCTCTATAGGTTTAAATACTACCTTTCTGTTTCTATAATTTTAATATTACCTCGTTGTGTCTATACACTGATGACATCCAAATTTATAACCTGACCTCAGACTGTCTTCTAATATCCAAATATTTTTTATCTCTTTCTTTACATTTGTAATGAAACCTTTATTTTATATATTTACAGTATAACACTTAATTTCCTCTACCAAAGAAAAAATAAAAAACAAAAACACCTTTCCCCCCAGTCTCCATATCTTAATGACAGGCAATAATATTCATCTAGTTGATCAGGCCAAAAATATCAGAGGCATACCCTCCCATAACTCTCACATCTAATTGACTAGCAAAGGAGTATGGGCTTAATATTTGTACTACACGCATGGTTTAACTTCTTTTTCCCTCCATTTCCCCCACTAGTAACCTAGTCCTGGTCAATATCATTTCTTACATCTTTAATCTGTTCTCTCTGAACAGCTACAGAAATCTGAAGGAAACTATTAAAGAGCAAAGGATAAATAAAGAAAGAAGTAAAATAGGAAAGAAGGAAGGGAAATAAAAGAAGAGGGAAGGAGAAAGAGGAAAAAGAAATAAAAAAAGAGAGAGAAACCAATTCTTGCCATTTTCTTGCTTAAAACAGTCTAATGGTTTCCCTTACCTTGCTCATCATGCCTTAGGTGATTTTGTCCTCTCTCTGCCTCCTTTGTCTTATTTTTCTCTGCCTCTCTCATTCATTACTCTTTACCCATAAAGAGTCAAATATTTTTATCAGGATATGGCCCAATTATTCTTCCTTATGCTTTATAGAAGCATTTCCCTCTTTATTTCTTCAGTTCTTCTTATGGTCTGCTCCTTCCCATCATTCTGGAAAGCAACAGGTGCCCAATAAATATGTATTGCACAAATGACATTCTTTGTAATCCTCAGTTTCTATTCTCCCAAAGTGAGATATTCACATCATTTTTTAAAAAGAAAATGCTTAAAGGGAAATTGCTTGAAACCTCCTCCATCAAGAATGATCAGCTTGTAAAACAGAATGCCAGTATCACTTTTAAAAGAGTGTACTCTGTTTTTTAAATTTGTTAGATGTGTAAAATAACCTTTACAAGGTCCAGAAAAAAGAAGGGAAAATATTAGACTGTGATTTTGAAGGAGATCCAGTTCTAGAAATTCAAAGACAATGAGATTCTTTTTTTGTGTGTTTTTCTAAACTATGCTGTGTCCATAGTAATATTTTTTAACCTACAGGCATTTATATTTATCTTTAAAGGCAGTATACTAAATAAAATAATGCTGTTTCCTTCTATTAGATAGTTTTTTGATTATTTATTTATTTACTATTATTATTTTTAGAGACAGGGTCTTACTGTGTTGCCCAGGATAGTCTCGAACTCCAGGACTCAAGCAATACTCCAGTGTTGGCCTCCCAAAGTGCTGGGATTACAGGCGAGAGCCACCACACCTGGCTGGATAGAAGGTTTTTAAACCTCAGCACTACAACATTGATAATATGGGCCAGATAATTCTTCAGTGTGGATGGCTGTCCTATGCATTATCACATGCATTGCTGGTCTCTACCTGCCAGATGCTACTAGCAACAACTCCCCCCACTTCCAGGTTGTTACAACAAAAAATTTCTTTAGACAAGGCCAAATGTCCCTTGGAGATGAGATCCTCATAACATCCTTTACCACTGATTTAGTGTGAGTGATTTCTTCAGGCCTCCCCCAGTATTGATATTGTACCATTCCAACTAAGATGGTTAACATCTGGAGGTTGACAGCTTAATACTTGGTGGTTGATAGCCTATTCAATGCCCATGTGACAAACAAAATTCTCCATAAACACCACTTATTCTCTGGAAGGCAAAATTGTTCTCAGTTGAAAACTAATTGTATAATGTATGTGATAGAAAAAAGAGTTTAATACATTTAAAAATATAGAAAAGTAAAAAAGTATACAAACCATCCTCACTGACCCATGTGTTTTAAATTAATCAGCTGAATTGTCCTTATTCTAATGTTTACTATGTTAAGATCTTCAAAAGGAGCTTTTTAGAGCTGAAAGGGACCTTACAAAGAGTATAGTTCAATTCTCCTATTTTATAGGCCAAGAATTGAAAACAACAACAATAAAATGTTTTGTATATTATTCATAATTACATGGAAAATCGTTTTGAAAAAAAATAATTTAAATCCAATGTGATTGAAACAAGACCATTTTATTTATAAAATGACAAATGTAGGCCGGATGCGGTGGCTCACGCCTGTAATCCCAGCACTTTGAGAGGCCGAGGTGGGCGGATCTCAAGGTCAGGAGATCGAGACCATCCTGGCTAACACGGTGAAACCCCGTCTCTACTAAAAATACAAAAAAAAAAAAAATAAATAAATAAATAATTAGCCAGGCGTGGTGGCGGGCGCCTGTAGTCCCAGCTACTCCGGAGGTTGAGGCAGGAGAATGGCGTGAACCCGGGAGGCGGAGCTTGCAGTGAGCCGAGATCGTGCCACTGCACTCCAGCCTGGGCAACAGAGCGAGACTCCATCTCAAAAAAAAAAAAAAAAAAAAGACAAATGTAGAAAAGAAAGTACATCAAATGTAGAAAAGAAAGTACATCGTCATGGAATATAAAAGACATTCCAATGAGGAGGATATGGTATGTCAAGGGGTAAAATAATTGTGTGATCCACCTTTCAAATTAGTTTGGAAATTCTTCTCAGCCAACGTAATAAATTTGTATATAATACAGGGCTTTAGGTGTTCATGTGATATTGACTTTTTGTTTATTATGGATATATTCCAAGATAAATTTGTTACAGGTTTCAACTTTTATTTTAAGTTATTAGGTACAATATTTGCTTTAAATGAAAACCAAAGGCATAAAATTTAAAACATTACATACATTATTAAGAGGTTAAGTTAATGTTAATATATTTCTTTTCCTGATGTTAAATGTTATATAAATTAGGGTTTACATGTTTGAATAAATAAATTTAATGGTACATTGTTTTTTCTTGAATGTTGATTCTTTCTTTCATAATTTACTAAATAAAAGGATAACAACAGTGCCTTAAAGCGTATACTCTCTGGAGAGAGGTTGGAGTGTCAGTATCATTGACTGACTGTATAAGGATTTAGTGTTTTTGATGCCATGTATACTGAGGTGGAGTTGATGATCTATTATGTAAGGTGGTAAACTGGAATGGCATTCATGTCCAATTGGGAGGACACTCATCTCCTGTAGGTGTACCCTGCTCCCCCCAGACTTATATGGCAGAAATAATCCAGGATGCATATTTTTCATCAATAAATTGCTTTGCTGATTCTATGAAATTTATTCTATAATGATCAAAGAGATTCTGATCAAGGAATCTGGCTAATATATGACACAAATCACATTATACTACTATTTCTACTAAGCCTGTGTTTTCATACCATGTCAAGAGTCAGATCTGTAAGAGTCTCCTGATAGACCAGATTTCAATTTCAACTGCTATAAAATTGAGTGCTTTTTAGTTTGGTTTTTCCCTTACTTATTTTTCAATAACTTAATACACTTTTAGATGAACTGGCATACATTCTGTCCTGCTGTGACATACATCCACTTAATATGTTACACAGAAATATCGTAAGATCAGTTGTAATATGGCATCTAGCTTGACCAAAAAAGAGCTTCAATTATATTCAAGTGAAACTTTACATTTTATACTGATCTCACTTTACTTTTAATCTTTTAAATGAAGTGAATTAGTTATAAAAGGTAACTAAATTCATTATTAAATAATCTTATAATTATTTATTTGAAATTCAGAAAACATCTGTTAGGTCAATTATTTGGGCTTTATTAGAGTTTACATGTAACACTTATTTTTTCCTGCTTAACAGAAATTAGACAAGAGCATCTTTAGCTGTTTTGGAAGAAACTCCTTGTCCACAATGATAAAACTGCGTTCTCAGCATACAAATGCTTGCCTATTTTAAATTAACTGGTATATGTCACAGCAGGACAGAATGTATCTCAGTTCATCTAAAAGCTGTATCAAGTTCTTAAGAAATAAGTAGATGAAAAGTCAAACTAAAATGTACTCTATTTTATATCACTTGAGATTGAAATCTGATCTGTCAGGAGATTCATCTAGATAGTTCTGACACTTGCAGCAGTACGAAAATATAGGCTCTAGAAATAGTAGTATAATGTGATTTGTGTTAAGCTTATGAAATATGGTCCATAGAATATTAAAATATGATGGTAGATAAATGATTATTGTGAAGCTTCTTAAATTATTCTTTGCTGATTTCTCAGTGAGATGACTGAAAGTAGCCAGTGGAGTATTGTGTCTAAGAATTAGTAGCACAAAGAATCAGTGGTAGAGCTGAGATAGCCTGTATATCCATTATCCTGTAACAATCACTACATTTACACTGCTGTAACTGTACATAATGTAACATGAGCAATTTTACTGTACTTAATGGATCATACTTTACCAAACCGGCTCCAATCTAATCTGGCTAGACTGAAGAAATGCATGACTCTTTCTAATGCAGATAATAATTTGGAAGTCATATTTTAAGTATACAAATGAAGAAATGGCAAAGTCAGGCTGCTTCAACATCATAAATCACCAGGAATTTGTTGAATATTACTAAGCATTCTGTACCATTCTGCTCAGTTAACATGATGAAAATAACACATTGATGTGGCTGACTAATCTTCAGTCTTATTACCTGAATATATTTGGATTAATTTTGTTACTTGTCTGTTCTTACACAGTTGCTGTAGCATGTCTGGCGTGGTAAAGGGTGATTGCTAATGAAATCCCTAAATCCACATCCAGAATCCCGAAAGATTACATTGGATAATAGAACAATATTATTGTGTGTTTTTGCTTTATTTCAGAATAGTGTATCTAGCAATTGCTTTCCTTTAGTTTGAATTCGTTTCTCTGCCTGTGTCTTGCGTCCTAATGTGATACTGCACTAATTTATATGGTAAGCCTCCAAGCTCCATTCTCTGTGATCTTGCAGCATCAACAGAGCTCAAAACTACTCATCATTATTCATGCTACAAAATGATATGTCACGCTTCTGATTCTGGTTTTTTTTTTTTTTTTTTTTTTTTTTTTTTTTTTTTTTTTTTGAGACGGAGTCTCGCTCTGTCGCCCAGGCTGGAGTGCAGTGGCATTATCTCAGCTCACCGCAAGCTCCGCCTCCCGGGTTCACGCCATTCTCCTGCCTCAGCCTCCCGAGTAGCTGGGACTACAGGCGCCCGCCACCACGCCTGGCTAATTTTTTGCATTTTTAGTAGAGACAGGGTTTCACCGTCTTAGCCAGGATGGTCTCGATCTGCTGACCTCGTGATCCGCCCGCCTCGGCCTCCCAAAGTGCTGGGATTACAGGCGTGAGCCACTGTGCCCGGCCACGTTTCTGATTCTTTAAAAATATTTTTTATTACTACAAAATAAGAAAATGTGGAATAATTAATCCTAAGATTCAGAAAATGTGGATGAAGGACATGGATGTACTTTCTAACCACTTCCATAAATTAAAGAACAGTCGCTTTCTTTTTGGTTCATTTTTTAATATATTTGGTTCTATGTATTAGAAATATACTATTTTATGTGAAGGACTTTTAACAGCCTTTACAGAGAATTATATTATGATAACCGTTCACTTTTGATTTTGAAATTAAAGCCAGTTGACAAACTGGGAACAGTTAATAAAACTCAATCTCATAGAGTAAAATCACTGCTGTTCAGAGAGAGAAAGCAGAAAATCCAGAAAGAAAGTTGACTTTAATAATACATAAATGACACTATAAAACTATGTGTATTATTCGGCAAGATACTTAATCTTTCTGAGCCTTAACTTGATCACCTGTGAAATTTGTTAATAATTTATATTCTCTGGCAAACTCACAGGGTTTTGAAGGGCCAAATGACATAATGCGTATGAAAGAGCCTAGAAAACTTTAAAGTGCTTTGCAAATGTAAGGTAATGATATCAACTGCTTTTACTTAAGATCATGTTTTCTTACATTGGTTAATGTTATTCTGTCTTCGTTGCTGTGAAAATATTAAAACACTTTTAGGAGTTCATCTTTAAGCAAAGTAAACAATAAATAACACGTCGTGAGCATAACATCAAGTCGTGAGCATATGTAACTTTATTAAGAAACAATAATTACATAATTTTGGCCAGGTTCTTTTTGTCCATCAATACAAAATTATTATATAAAGTATATATTTTTATTGCATATCAGCCCTGCATCCCAGAATTTCTTTAATGAATTCATTTTTCTTCCTTCAATATAAACTATTCAAATATGTCAGATTTTGCTAAGGTGTACTGATAGTATGAGTTATTATTTGCTACATACTGAAATGTTTTCATTAGAATTACTATTTGTAAATAACAAAACTATAGAGGATGCAAAATAACCAGTGATTTGACTTAAAGAGCATGATTTTCACATAATTTAGGGTTCAAATAGTATTTATAACTTTCCTCCTGCTCAGGTTTGGTCATCTGTAACATTACCTGAGCTCTCTTAGAACTTTTTCTGAAGATTGAATGAGATAAGGTGGGTACATTATCTGGCATATTGTAAATTCCAAATAAATTCACATACAGTTCATACAGTCTCTTAAGAAACTCTCCTTAAAATACACATTGCTATCTGAGCCAAGGATTTATTTCCATAATTTTCACTTTGACTTGAAAACATTTGTCCAATTGTTTGAAGGAATGAAAAGTTATTCGAAATCAGTGTGTGTGTAGTGATGAGAAGGGTTAAAGGGAATTATAGTCAAATATCCAGAGAATTTGAAGAGAACTCTGAAACTAGAAGAAGCTCAAAATATTCAATACTTTACAATTTATCTACAAAGTCGCTCTTTCATTTTCTCAGTTTTCTCTAGAAAGTTTATTTCCTATTCACATTCTAATACACTGATGTGTTGACTCATTCCTCATGCGATCATTAAACCATTCATCTACTCAGGGACAAGCTCTACATTCCCTGTTCTGTGCTACGTAGTGAAGATAGAATAAAACCATTTGGCTTCCATATCTTTATTTTATCTAAGATAATGCTATTTTGGCACCTCTTTTTCAATACATAATGTTGCCAGGCATTTTGATGCATTCATTTTGTATTCACCCTGTTAGAAAATGGGAACTAAATCTGAGGCTATGCAAACTGCTTCAGTGTGGACATGAGAATTCAAGTGATTCACCCAGTAGAATGGAATGGGTTAATGTAATGCAAATTTAATAAATGTTTTCTATTTAAGCCAGAATTTCTTAATTTGACACATATCAAGTTATATTATAGGTTGTTCACTTCATTTCTTTATGCTTATATGTCTCTAGGCAAATACAATATTAAATAAGTTTCCATTTTCTTTTTGGTGTATTCGTTGGTTCAGAAGATTATGTTTTCAGGACAAAAGAATGTTTTGATAATAGAGAAAAGTATCCAATCATTTAAGACAATTAAATATAAGCACACTTTTGGAGAACTTTGTGAATGTAGTGCCTTTTTTAAACCAGAAGTTTTGCCGGACAAGATAGGTAGCTCATTCCTGTAATCCCAGCACGTTGGGAGGCCGAGGTGGGCAGGTAGCTTGAACTCAGCAGTTGGAGACCAGCCTGGGCAACATAGCAAAACACCGTGTCTACCAAAAATTCAAAAATTACCTGGGCATGCTGGCTTGTGCCTCCTAGCTCCTCAGGAGGCTGAAGTGGGAGAATTGCTTGAGCCTGGGAGGTTGAGGCTGCAGGGAGCCATGATGGCACCATGGCACTCCAGCCTGGGGGACAGAATGAGACCTGTCTCAAATAAATAGATAAATGAATAAATAAATGAAGAACAAATAAATAAAGTACATGTGTCAAAATTTTTATTTTGGCCAGTTTTATGGAATGTTCAAACTAAAACATTGAACTCTATATATTTTTTATTGAATATAAAGCTTAATATTCATTCCCTAAGTTCAGCACCAGTGTATGAACCTAGGACTTTTTCATCTGTTCTGTGAATCGACACGGTGGTTTTAATGGCAAAGCAGACTACATTGAAGATACCTTGTAAGAGATTTTAACAGACAGCCTGATAGAATGATTTCTGTAAGTAAATTGGATTTCTAAAACCGATAGTTACTATTAAGTATAAAGATGATGTAACTAATTTTAATTTACAATAAGGAGTTATTACACACCATTAATATTTTAATGTTCATATATGAATATATTAATTGCATATATTTCTATAATTTTGAAGATGTCCTATACTTTCACAGAGAAAACTAGAATCAACTGTGTAATGTTTTAAATATAAAAATATATTACTTCAATTTCTGTAAATTCCATTTTGAGGAAAAAATAGCAGGCAAATTAAACTTTATTGTTATACACGCCTACATCTACGACATCAGTGATCTTTTATCAATGTTTTCTGTGGATTTATTTTCAAGAGTAAAAGATTATTCTTCTAGTGATAAGTATGATTATGTATTTTTACTGTTAACTGTCTGGTTTAGATTATGCATATTACACTAATAAACAAATTTTCCTAGTGTAATGAAATATATATATAGTTGTTCATATCAAGTATCAAGTATATATATAGTTGTTCATATCAAATATATATATATATAGTTGCTAATTGAAGAATAGGAAATGTTTTTGAATGGAAGGCATGGTTGGGTAATGTAACTTCAAATTCTGATTTCAAAAAGTACATTATAATTAATATAAGTGAGTAAAAATTTATTTAAAAATAACATTATTGGACAACTACATGTGTATGTATAACTGGTTCACTTGGTTTGATAAAAATAATTGTTTTCTTTTATTAATTTGGGTTCATTTACAGTAATTAACAGAAATCTTCACTTAAATAGGCTCACATCAATGCTTCTCACACTTTGATGGACTTGAGAAAGTCCTGGAGATCTTGTTCATCCCACATGTGTCACAGGCATTACTCAGATTTCCGATTCCATAGGTCTGCAATGTGGCAAGAATTTGCATTTTTATTAAGCTCCTGGTGATGCTCTCCTTACTAGCTCATGTATCACACTTTAGAAGCTCTGGCTTAAACAAAAAAACATATTAAACAGTCTGAAGTTTGGGCATGCTTCAAAACACAATGAAACCCTAGCTTTTTGATTGTTTGCTTTTCTTTTCCTTTTTTTTTTTTTTTTTTTTTGTTTTGAGATGGGGACTGGTGCCTGGTGCCTGGTTCTGTTGCCCAGGCTGGAGAGCAGTGGCTTCATCTTGGCTCACTGCAACCTCCACCTCCTGGGTTCAAGTGATTCTCCTGCCTCATCCTCCCAAGTAGCTGGGATTACAGGCGCCCAACACGATGCCCAGCTAATTTTCATGTTTTTGGTAAATACGGGGTTTCACAATGTTGGCCAGCCTGGTCTCGAACTACTGACCTCAAGTGATTTGCCTGCCTCGGCACCCACAAAGTGCTGGGATTACAGGGGTGAGCCACTTCTCTGTGCTACACCAGGCATATATGGTATTTGTCCTCAGCTAGGCTTTCTTCAAGGCCACAATATGCCTGCAAGCAGGCAAAAAGTTTGGTTGTTTATATTCAGCAAAAGAGAGAAAAATCCTCTTCCTATAGCTGACATATGAGGTGTTTTCTTAGGTCTGATTAGACCAAAATAGGTATTACACTTAAATCTCAACAAATAATAGTTGTTAGGGAATTGCACTATATGTTTATCTAAAACCAGTGTTTCTGAATCAATGTCACCACAAGGGAATTAAGATTACCTTCACTGGTTTATACTAGTCAGTATTTACTTATGAAACTGGTAAGATCAGCATTTTCTAAATGTTTTAGGGTTCCCTGGATAGAGTAGACAAATGAACAAAATTAGTGTTTTGTTATGGAGATATGAGAAGAATGGTGCTTATAGGTGACAAATCCACTTTCAAATATTGGATGAGATTGCATACAAACTAATCTATAAAATCATGGAAGAAAACAGATGTAACCAATCACATGTAAGTGATTAAAACCTCACGCTGAAACCTCACGCTGACTAAAAGCATTGGATAGTTTTTTGAAACAACCGGAATTTTCCTAGAATTAAACTTTCTCTTTGTATCATAACTATTTTGTGTAATACACATCACCCAGTAACTTTTTTTCTTTACTACATTAATCAGTAGAGTTGATTTTGCCTAACTCGACAATTTTTGAAAACCTAAAATACTTTGACATTGTCTTATACTATTTCAATATTGTTTTGTGACTTATTTATTCCGAATTCAACTCATAAGTTATAGCTTACAATTCTGTCTGTTAATCTTAATCCCTTCCTGATCCCAAATTATGGGAATATCCAATGTATGACAGACCTCCAGTTTGAGGTTTGTTATAAATTCAGATACGCAAAACGTTCATTTCAGCTTTCATTTCTATGTCATATCAGGTGTTTTCAGTCACATCTTCACATGGTTTTGAGATATCTTCATTTAGTTGTATCTTCCATATCAACCTTTCTTATGTAGAATGTCAGTGTGATGGGTGGTCAACAAATGCTAATTGACTTAAATAATGACTTTTTGAAAAAGTATGAAAATAGAGAGTGTGATGGTTTAAGGAGCAATGGGTTGAAAGTGATCAAACTACTATTCTTAGTTATATAAATTTAAGATCTCCACTTAAATAGATTGGAGCTTCAGTATATTCATCTCTAAGACCAGGAGTAGCTAAATTTAGATGCCCTAGACATGCTTTACAGTTCTAAAAGTGAATGATCCTAATTATGGCTTATGTGTCTTATCTCAGAAATTGTAATAGACTAAATTTCAGATTAGGTAAACAGACCATAACAAGGAGGCCATTTACAGTAAGAGAGACTTTTAAAATCTTATATTTAGGTAAAAGATAGTCTGTATGCTAGTTTCAGTACATGGTGGTCGACACAAGGAAACATTATGTAATATATTTCTCTTGCAGCTTCACTTGTATCTGCATTTACCAAGAGACTGGCTATGAACAGGAGAGTACTACATACACATTTTAACTTTTTAGCTATTAAAAACCCCTGAGAAATTCTAAATGAGAGCTATTTATGTACATTATAAAAATATACTTCAGTTTCATGCTCGCGAAGTGTCACTTTCATTTTTAGTTTGAAGCCATTGTAATTTGATGAAAGGGCACAAAGGATCACAAATTAGCTCCCCTGGGTAGATTTTCTATTTTTAGTCAGCTACTTTAGTAACTAAGGAAACCTATTAGAAGTTTTTGAAAACGTTTTATTTCTTTTCAAAGTATACTACTGTTGTTTTGTTTATTATTTGTTTGGGGGAGGTGGATATTTGTTTTTCATTTGAGGGTGTGTTTTTAATTAAAAACATTAAGTGACATTTCTATTCACCTATACCTAGCATGTATTAAGAGTGTTATAGAATTTAGTTTATATTGTTTTATGTTCATTTATGAAGTGTTCTGTCTGTTAAGCACAAAAATACATCAATGAGGTAAATTAATAGTAATTTCTGCGCACAAAGTAATCATAATCTCTGGAGCAAACACATAAAAATAGATATTAGCCATGAAACCTGACCAATGATGGACATATGACCACTCTTTAATAAAGTCATAATGGAAGACGGGTATCTCAGGGGAGGTACTGGGAAGAGATGGATCAAAAAAGCTTCTTAAAATTGTTTTAAAGGTGAAGAAAATTTTTAACTAAGTAAAAAGGGTGGAAGATTTGGCAGCAGAGGCACATCAAGGAAGAGGGAACAACATTCCATTTATTTGATTATCCCAATTTCCTCACTTGCTATTACAATATTAATAATACCTACCTCTTAGGAATTACAAAATTAAAATAAAATGTAAACATAAAACACTATGCTTAGCATATCATAGATGCCCAGTAAATTTGAGCTATGTTATAGTTTTATACTATGTTTCAGGAGATTTTTAGAGAAAATTTTCTTTAAAATAAAACTATTTTGCTTATTTAGCCTATTTGCTAGCAATCATAAGGATAATATGATAGAAATTATACTATCTAGATTCACTTGATACAGACCTATAGAATGCGTATACTCATTTGTTCAGCGTTATACTTAGTACATGAGACACAAATTCATCTGTAAGAAGTAAATCCCCTATAAAATTAGGTTACCTTTTTTGTTATTCAGAATTTTACATCATCCCTCCTATGAATTCAAATATTCAGTGTAAGCTATATTTAGATATATAGTCGGCTTCCTGTTAATCAGATATGGATTATCAGAGAAGGTTTTAAAACTTAGAGTTTATCCCCTTTTAAATATACTTATGATCTTTCACACTCTTCATCCCCAAAGCAAATTGTACAACTCCTTTTTACTCAAGAAACATGAACTAATGTTCATGTTAAGTGGAGCATTAATGATAGGATCATTTAGCTACCCTCTAAAATCATATAATGAATCACAAAGTAAAATTAAATCACTTTTGGGTTGTGGTTGTGTGCTTTTATATGTTATTTTTAAAGCTGCAGCTTGTGGCTTAAAAGAACACATACTTCCTTTAACATATGCTCCAGGTACATATATGGTCCAAAAATAAAGTCTTCACTGAACACGATATTAATTCTATGGTATCATTTTAACAAAATTTGACAGTTTCACATATATATTTTCTGGGAAAAAGATTAGGGAATTTTTTCACAGAGTAAAATAATTACTCAGAAAAATGTCAACTATTTTTTATTATTATTCAAACATTAAAATTCTTTATGATTTTTGATGAGATAATTTTCTTAATAAATTGTAAGGAGATTTTTAATAATTAAAATTATTTAATTTAATTATTCACATGCATAATCAAATATGCCCTTAATTCACCTCCTGTATTCAAACTCCAAAAGGATATTCAGTTGTGTTTCTTGGTCAACAAGACAGGTGATATCTAAATTTCACATTTTAAACTTTCTGATTCAGGGAATGCAAAATTTAGAATATAATTATATTAAGGAGTTTCAAGGCATTCTCAGTGTAGAGAGAATTAGAACATAATATGAAAGAAATCTAAGGTACACAACTGATTGTTTTCAGACCAAGGAGTAAAGGATAATTAAGGGTGGGTAGATAAAATAAGTCAAGTGCCTGAGTCCAAATATATAGGGAGGTCTGGGAGAAAGAGAGCTAGAAATGCAGAGACAGGTATGGGAAATGCAGAACAGGAGCCATAGCGACACACTTCACTGGTTACTTAGGGAGCCTGCAAGCCTGTCAAAGAATATTCATCTATGAACAATTCCGATGTGACATGGAGGCTTGGTGATAGTAGAACATGAAACTGGTATTTTTCTTGATTCTTCATGGCTTGCAAATGGTATGCAAAAGGCCAGAAGTCCCCACTTGCTAAGTAGGTAAGAGAGGCTGCAAAGGGGTAAGAAGGTGACTGGCAGAAGTTCAGAATCAAATGAAGAAACCAAAATCTATCTAAATTTTGAGTCCAGAGGTAGTCACAGGACCAATTAATTCTTAGTCCACAGTGGCAAACACAACATCCATTGCATTTTGACTCATCACCTAACTTCCACCTCCTAGTGGTTATGGAAGTCATACATCCCCTTTGTCTTGAAGAGACATTTTAAAAATGGAGAAATGTGAAGCTTTATGCATACTGAGTTGGGAGATGTATGTAAAGGGAAATGTTTTAGGTACTGAAAAGGACTATGTTTACCTGACTGTACATCAATTTGGTTGTCCTTTTCTTCCCCATTTGCACCCTCTCCCCATATCCAGCTTAGCAGATGGGAAGATTTAAGAAGACATGATCAGTTAGTAATAATATAGAAATCTGTTAGTTACATATATATATATATATATATATATATCATTAAATTAGGAATGCATAGTGCGTTTGTTTGTGTATACATATGCATCTCTGTTTGATGCTCTGTTTTATGTTTTCAAAATTTATTTTCCAATATACTTGAAAGCAGAATGCAAAAGAGAATGCCACTTGTTTAGAAAATAATTGATGGCCACTTTAGAACTGGTTGGATGGGTTTCTGTAGTTGATGGCTGGTAAGTTGGTCGTTTTAATGTAATCAATAGATTCCTAGTTTTTGAAGACTTACAAAGAAGGAAATATTCAAACCTACTCTGGCTGGTCAAGATTTAATGAAAAGATGAGGAATTGAGCCAAGATCTACACCCCTGGCTACAGTTACTGAGGATGATAGTGTTTTGCTTTCTTTGTATACATATGTACTGTAAACTGTATAACTTTCTTATTACAACATTAGAGTTTAATTTAAACGGAACTAAAAGCTGGTAATTCTTACTTGGTGGAAGACATAACTTCCTTTAGAAGTGAAGTTGCCTGTGGATTTCAATTCCAGCATTACTCATTTACTAGCCGTGTGACATTAAATAACTTATTTAACTTTATTATCTCCTGGGTTTCCCATCTACACAATGGCAATAATATTCTCTGCCTTCAAATTTTGTTAGGAGGATGACATAATTAATATTCAGAACCCTGTGTCACACCTGGTGCATTATCAGCACAACAAAAATCCTTTCCTTTTCCCTCCTTCCTTCCTTCCTTGCTTCCTTCCTTCCTTCCTTCTTTCCTTCTGCTCTTTTCTTTCATTATTTTTCTTATATTGTAATGAAAGAGAATCTGTGAAGGTGTTAGAAGGGACATACTGTGGCTTTGAAAAGTACTAAGAAGGAAAACAAATGGTGTTCCTTTCTTTATTACCAAAAACTTAAAGAGCATCGATGGACTCTTCAAGGGTTCAAGAGAGGAAGTTCCTACAACTGAATAAAACTTAGTTAAGAATCGTTGATAACAAAATTATTTGGAGAGTGCAGGAAGCATCTTTCTTTAGAGGCAAAGACTGAAGTTGAATGAAGGTAGGTTTTTTGTAATCAAATACACAGTTATCAATAGCTCTAGAGAGATAATTAAATTAAAAGATTTATGTTTCTTAATTTAGTCATATATATAACCCAATCATATATTATAAAATCATATACTTCTCAATATTTCTTGTGTTAATTTGACAGATATTTGTTATTTACTGGGTTCAAAGACCACTGAAGATGAAGCAATGGTTTGTTTCATTGAAATACATTAGAAAATCTGGAGAAGTCATTTAACAATTTTAATAAATAATTGAATTGCATACAAAGTGCAGTTAAATAGAAAGTTTTTTCCTGTTAAAATTCTAGATTTTTCTTCTTTTAGCTGTACTTATGGAGGTTTTGCTATTTTCAACACATAATGCATGAAAATACATGTTTTTCATTACATTAAGCAATTGAATTTAGACAAAACTATGCATAAAGTCAGATCTTCTCTTCCTCTCTTCCTTGTTATTACCTAGTAAAATAATGTATTAAGAAGAGCAATTCAAAATATGCTTCTGATTAAGTTTTACTTGTGGCAGCCTGAGTAAACAATAACCACAGGCAAAAATGATATGAGAAATAAATAGCTGCCTGAATGTAAGCCATTGATACACAAGATATATTCTTACCACAAATATCACAATCTACTTTAATTTTATAAACTTTTGTGTATTAAAAGTGCAATGTACAAGACTTCCTTAGTGGATTTACTAAATCTTTACTTGAAAAATGACATTCTCTTCACACTATAAAAATACCTCCGAAATGGTGCAATTCCACATGCATTCAACAGTCTTTCCCTTTCCAGAGGGCAAATGGTCTTTTTTTCCGGTAGGCACTGTGTACTCCCCAGAGTTAATTCTAAAATTCAGGTTATATCCATAGAGTATATTTTGTAAGAATATGAATTTTTGTATAAAATAAATATTTCAATAATTATAATTTATATAGAAATGGTAAGCATTAACAGTGAACACAGTATATTTAGAAAAAACGTATAGATAGCAGAATGCAGTTTGTGTTTACCTTTAAATTTTGTATCTTTATCTTTTTTGCTATGCTTTAATTTTAATATCTCTCTTTCTAGTAATAGATATGTGATATTTTAAGGGTCTTATCTGAGAGAAGATTAGGATCCATGAAACTACTATTTGAAGTAGGTTGACTGAAGAAACAGCATAGTCATAGTTTGAAATAATACAAATTTAGAGGTTTTCCTTTTTTGGCATATGTGCATTCATATTCTCTAAAGAACAGATAATTAGTAATTTGAAAAACAGTGCAAGAAACCCATTACAAGCTGAAATCAGAATTACTGGAAATAATGACATTTTAATTGTGCTATCTTTAATAATTCCATTTTTATTAAAAAAGGGAATTATATTTTGTTCTAAGGACTCATTAAATACTCCATAGTAAGGGAGACTAAATAATCATAAGTGAAAAGAGAGAGAAGTATTTTAAAGTATTATAAATTGTTACAGTAGTGAACAGCTTGACACTTTTAAAAATAATGTAAAGCTTTCCTGGTTTAACTTGGACTTTGAATCAAGCTCCATACTAATTAAGATGAACAATTTACCTACAATACTTCCCATACCTAACTGATAAGAAATTAAAAATTCAATATAGTTGACATTATATATTTTCTATGGATTAAAGTTGAGTATAAAATAATGAAATACTTGGAAGTTTGTAATTTCTCAAGTTAAATAGTTTTCAGGCAAAGGGAAATTTTAAAATAAAATACTTAAACCATGTTTCCTCTATATATTTCTTACTTTCTTGGCTTAGCTTTAGGGCAGGCATGTGGATACATTAAAACACTTTTTAAAACTGAAATTCTGCGGTGAGTGCACAAAACTAGCCATAACATCCATTTTAGCATAATCAAATGCAAATTTTAGCAACCATTTTGAGAGTAATACATGCACTCCAGGTTTTTCAGCATGCTATTAGATTTAGTAGTCTGAGATGAGAGCTATATGTAAGAAAATAAATCAAAAATATATTTTGAGTTTCTCTTTTTAAATACATGATTTTACTAGCCAATTAAAAATGAGTATGGAATGTTGAAATTTTATGTCTAAAGTTTTCTAATGTTTATCAGTTCATTAAAAATAAATGCATATAAAAAATCTGCTGATTTCCATTCACCGTTGTTATATGTATCACAGAAATAGATTCTGAATATACTTTATATTACAGGTTCTGTTCATGTGTATGATGAAAAGCTTATTGATTTATGTTTCTCCTTCCCCATGGAGTTCTCTTTTCCCCTTTAGACCTGGTCCCACGTTAGCATCTCTTTTAGAATTGCACCGAAGGCAGAAGGCCATTATCAATCAATCAATAAGTTGGGTTAGCATAGTAATACCCGATTCCTCTCACGATCTTAAGAAAATTTTTAAATCATCCCAGCTCCACTTATTGATCCCTTGTCTGACACTATGTACATGAATATGTATTTAAATACATGCATGCATATGCATACATGTAAATGTGTGCTTAATATATGTTATGCATATGTAATGTTTGCCAGAGTCCTTCAGTTATCATTCAAGCAAATATTAGAAATACAACAAAATTGAAATAATGTACTAGATACATGCCCTTAATATTATAATATATAATGGTTCTAGATATTCATGGGTATATTTTGGTCCTTGGCAAAATACTCTTCACAGCTTTTTATTCAGACATGTTTTATCCCCAATAATTTGATTCAAGTCTGGCCATAACTACAAAGTATAGTAACTGTGAACATATCAAGCAACTTAAATTAAGATTTAAACAAGTATTTCATTTTACTAATAGCATTTTAAAAGACTATGTAAAAAAGAGAATGCTAATTACTGTTTTAAGCCTCAAATTATTTATTAATTGAATTGAGAATAAAGATTTTTTTCCCCTTACAGTGTACTCAGGTGTTTATAGAATGCCAGTGGAACTACAAGGGCCCTACTGTACATGGAGGTTTTAAATTTTTCATCCTTACCTTTACTGACAAAATATAAAAAATGTGAAAGTGAAAAAGAAATGTGAACTATTACAAGTTGGGAGTATCTTTCTTTTTTAAAAAATAACTTTTATATTGGAAAGGATCAAAAGTGACCTTTTTAGAAAATCCCTTTAAACATGTTCCACCCTATCGAAACTGCAGTACAATGTATCATATAAGAGATGCAGACTGTTTGAGATTTCCAGTTGCACTATGTCTGAGCTGAGTAACCAAGTCAAGTTACCTCACTTTTCTTACTCTCAGGGTTTTTTCTTTCATCAGTAAAGTAGAAGTAGTAATATTATCTACATCACAGAAATGTTATGAGAATTAAATGAAAGAAGCTCGTAATATACAACTCAATTCCCAGTCTGTATAAGAGAACTAAAAATTTTAGATGATATTATCTATATTATTGACATTATTAAGGCAACAACCGTCCAGTTTGACATTATTTATAAGGTATTTTATTACTTTAGTTGAATGTTTATATTATGATATGGAGCATTGAGATCACAACATAATTTTAAAGCCTATTTTTAAAGGGAGTATTAATCATCAGACACACAGATATTTTTTGAAGCTATTCTCCAGAAGAGTCTTTCAATTAAATCATTTTTTTTTTTTGGCCAAGCTAAACCCTTGTTCCGTTTTTAACATCATACTGTCTGCTGTACTAACCAGGGTATGATGATGGTAAAGCATCAAAAATTAGGGTTATGCACACATTAACATTCTCAGTAAAATATCGTGGAACCAAAAATGATGGCTTTTGCAAACTAATTAGTAGTATCTGTCTCCCTTCGGGTATTGAATGCACAGTGATAAAGTTACCTATCTTTAATGCTGGAAGAATTGAGGAAGACAGGCATGTTTTGGTCTCTAGCACTGACACTAATAATCTGGTAAGCCTCGTTTTGTAACATCGGTCGATTCAGTATAATTTACAGTGTAGGCATCACTCATACATTTCCTACATTTAGATCACCACAGGAAGCCCTTGTTCCTGGAGAAAAAGTGACTGAAAAGAACATGTCTATATCTAACACTCCCTAAGGAACCTATACAAATTTTTTAAATGTCAGTTTGATTTTTACGAGTATCTCTTTAAAAAGAGCTATTGTAAAATCTTGTTCTATAGGAAATATAATTTTTGTTTGTTTTATAATAGTTAATTTAAGACTGGACATCTATCATGATGACAAGTTGCTATTGATAGTACTGTCGACATAAATGATCTTTCCAATTAAAATGCTAATGATACTAAGTATAGACTAGCAATTATATAACAGCAAATGGAATTCAACATATATTTTATCAGTTACTGACTATGAGGCACTGTAATGTTTTATAAATGAGTAACCCATATTCTCTTCATTCTAAAAGCTTATTCTCCATAATACTGTCCCTTGTCTGATTTCCACACATTCAGAAGTAGGAAATAAGCAGAGGGAGGTCATAGAGTTCCTGATGACCAAGAGGGTAACAAGGGAGCCCCAAAGTGTCCATGCTCCAGATAAAATAATCTCCCCCAGATCCCACAGATCCATTACCAGGAATAAGGAGGGATCAGGAAACTCCTTCTGCTCCAAATCAGACCAATTCTCCCCATAACTGGCATGAAGGAGGGGGTCCCTGAATCCTGCAAATCTCATGCCTCCTGCTCAGCAATTATAGATTTGCCACAGCCATACTCTTTGAGAACTTCAGAATTACTCTAAAGGATTACATTTATTTTCTCTTATTATCATATTAACTAATACAAAAAGCCGGGGACTCCCAAGTCACTCATATGCTAAACATTAATCTCCCAGTCTGACCCTAACTGCCAAGTCTTTTTGCACTGAGACTGTAGGACTCCAGGTCACTTAGCATAATTTCTCTATACTCATTCTTTTATCTATGTATTGCATTTAGCTTCTTGCACTGAAATATGCTCTGCTTCCATGACACTGCGTCTCCTGTGGCCTTCACCATTGTGATTGTTTTCTCTTTCCAAAACTTAATACTAATACAACAGGGCCAGAAGGTGAGCCCTTTTTCTCTTCCTCCTGTGTGAAACTCCCTCAGATTTAAATATCATTATTATTAGAGTTCACACCCTCTACCATGCATCCCACCTGTTCCTTGAGGGTTTTAGCTGCCCTTCACTGCCAATTTCTGCAACGTTTTGTTTCTGTCATAATCCTTGGACATTTATGTATTCATAGGGAAGATTCTTCTAATACCCCGACCTCTCATTGTGTTGACTTCTCCAATAACCCAGAGGGGAAGGTTGCCCTCTTTTCTATCTAAGCATTCACACCATGGTCATGTCTTAGACATTGTCATTACCAATATCTATAATTGCTTCATAATTTTTAATTTCAGCCATCCCACCTTTAATCTGGAAATTTAATCTTTCCAGATTCGAGAATCTAGCACCCTCTCTTTCCTCCAACCTCTGATGCCTCCCATCCCACCCTCTTTCCTTTTTTATATGATGAATGTAGCATTATTTTAGAGTAGGAAATGAAGCAATTACAAGATATTTCCCCCAAGATTTACCTGCTGTAATTGTTCACTGGTTCTCACCCCCTCTCACCTTCTGAGAGTTACTGCTCTAGTAGTTGTCCTCTGTCTCTATCAAAGAGGTTTGTTTTTCCATCTTTACAGGAAAAGTCTCATCAGTTTACAAAAATGTGTTTATTGTTCCCATAAATTAACCACTGTAACAAGAGAAGATTCTTTTGAGCCATTACTGCCAATTTCTCTGGACTTTTGGACAGTAAACCTTATCAAAATCCATTTTTGTCCATTTTATTTCACTTCTTCCACTTTTCTCTTGTGTCTACCCTAATCAGAATTTCGGCTCAACCTACCCAAACCATTTATCCTGTTCTTACAAGGATTAGCAAGAATTTTCATGTTGCTAAAACCCATGGTCAGTTGGTTTGTTTCCGTTCCAATAGTAATATCCATTTGCATTTATTGAGGACTTATTAATGTTTCAAAGTAAAATAAATTATTAAATGTGCCAAATGATGTGCCTTAAGCTTATCATTTGATTTTCCAATATCACCCAGCAGACAGAAAATATCTTTCCCAGTGCATGAAATATAGCTACTCACTTCAATGTTACGGGCCAAATTAGGTCCAATGTGTTTCCCTTTATAGTGGTTCTTTGGACATATTATTTACCACAAGTTAATGAGACTAAATTTTAGTTCCTAAACCAATTATTTGTAAGGGAATACAATGATTTTGTTTTATCACAATCTATTATTGGAAGTAGGAAAGTATTCTTTTGTTTTATTACATTTTTCTTCATTTTTTCTTGAGATTCACATGCCACATGGTATATAATTGGATATTTGATCCAAATTAGGATTCTACTAAGAGGAAGAAATGGGGGAATGGAGGGAATAGATTGGATGGTAGGGAAAGAGATCACAGGATGTTAGATCATGTACAAACATCAAATTTTGGTGACTTATAAATTTTATAACTGGTAAACAATATAATGCAATATTTATTCTAGTACTAACATTTTTATTATATGTGTTTAATATTTTTTCTTTATTTTTTGCTAAATAAAATTTGTCCTGGTAAATAATGCTTTTCTCTGTCTAGAATGTTCCTCTAATCTTAGTTACCTTATAGGTACTTCATACTTTACCTTTATTCAGCATTAATTCAAGTAATTGCTAAATATCTACTCTTGTGCCTAGTACTCTATTAAGCTCAGTAAATAAGTGAGAACCTGACTAGTGCCTCATTTCAGGGACATCTTTCCTATCTACTTGGATATAATATCAAGCATTCTGTATTTACATCTTCATAAGTGTTGCATGATTTTGATTATTCACTTATTTATAATCACATCTTTGATGAATTTTCCCACTAGACTCTAAAGATAGCCATTCTGACAATTAACCACTCAGTCATGAATACCTGGTTATATTAATTTCTTAGAGATGTTGTAATAAATTATCACAAACTGGGTGGCATAAAACAACATAAATTTATTGTCTCATGTTTCTGGAGTCTGGAAGTCCAAAATCAAGTAGTCTGTGGGGCCACATTCTCTCTGAAGGACATGGAGGAGGATACTTCTCTACCTCTTCACAGCTTTAGAAGGTTGCCAAAAATCTTTGTCAAATTCCCTGGCTTATGGATCTATTACTCCAATCTTTTCCTCTGTCATAACATGGCATTCACTCTCTGTGTCTCTGTGTCCAAATTTTCCTATTTTTATAATTATACTTGTTATTGGATTACTGCCCACACTAATTCAGTGTGACCTTTGTTCTAAATACTCTATTTTCATATTAGGTCACAGTCATAGGTACTGGGCTTGACAGAATTCAACCCAGTACCTTGTAGTGTCTGGAACACAGTAGGAGCTCAAAAATATTATTGATTAACAGATTGACTGATTGCTTTTTCTCTACAGATGCTGCAGGCATAGAGTAACTTTTCACTTTGCCTGAAATATTATAATTTCATAAATGGAACATAATTTCCATTCAGTTTTAAGGGTAACTCACTCAGAGAAGGAATTCCTTCATCATTTATGCTAAGTTATGTTTACTCAGCCTCTACTCGCACATATATGATGAAGGAGAATTTACCTGGGGAATGGCTTATATTTATTTGTTGCTCTTAATATTATAATTATTAATTAATGTACATATACATGTAGAAGAAGAATACATAAATGTAGAAGAAGGCTTTTTATAAAATATTGCTCTGACCACAATAGTTTAATTTTGGATTTATTAATTTTAAAATTTATTAGAATTCAAAGGAGAAATACCCAGAAATTGGTTAGATATTCAAGAATAAAATTCAGTGAAGAAATCTAGAGTGAAGATATAAATTTGTGAGTCATAATCATAAAGATGACATTTAAAGCCACGAAGCTGGAGGAGGTCATCAAGAAAGTTAGTGTTATCAAAGTAAAAAGAGAGGTTAAGACTGAGCATTGCTACACTTCAAAGCTTAGAAAACAAATGAGCAAGCAAACAAATGAGACATAGGAAAAGCAACCGGAAAAATAGAATAATCAGGACAACATGTTGTCCTGGAACCCATGCTCACCTGAACATCCATACTACCTTCAAGATTTCTCATACAGCTCCAACTACAGACCTGTCCTCACCTTTCACCTTCTCATAATGGTCTCTAGTTTTCATTGCCTTCCTGAAATTTTAGTATGCAAAATTAAACAGTGACCCAAATTCATTTTGACAGAGCAGAGTACAATGCGGCTATCAGTTCCCATGATAAACACACTATAACTCTATTAATGCTGCCTAGGATTAAATTAGCTTCTGCTAGCTTGTCATATTAGTTTCTTTGGTTAACTGAAATTCTTGAGATCTTTTGCACATGAACTGTTTTCAAGCCAAGTTTCCTCCATCCTCTAACTTTTGTTATTAATTTCTAGCAATTATATCCAAAAATTTTCATTTATCCTTATTAAATGTCATAATTTGGCTTCAGCTGATTTAGCCTTTAAAATTTATTGTGAATTTTGATTCAGCAATAAGATATAATAGTGATGGTTCTGACTAGATGTCTGCCAAATGCAAACCAGAAAAGCATGCATTAATTGCCCTTTCCAATTCATCAATAACAATGATCAGAAGAGATGAAGATTAGAAACCTCTACCCAGAATAACACTGATTAACACTAAGAGGTGACATTTTTTGGTGGTGTGGTGGTGCAAACGTTGGCAAATAATTTTAAAAATCAAAAAGATAAGTCCTGATTTTTTCTCACTTTAAAATAATGTTTATGATAGTAAAATTAGAGAACAAAAGAAAATATAATAAACAAATTTTTACCCTATGGCATAGCTAAGAAATAGCTAGCAATATGAGTTGTAAGCCCTTTATTTGTATAGTCATTTAATTCTTAATGTAATTCCATGAACTATATATTATTCACATTTTTATTTTACAGAAGAGTAAGTGCAAGCTTAGGGAAGTTAGTGAAGAGACTCCAATTACCCATCCAAGCTCAAAAGATGAAGTTGATGGATCACCTCAGGCATCTGACTCCAGAGCTGGTGTACTTATTCAGTAGGCAATATTGATTCCTTACAAAATTAGTTTGTCTATGGAATTCAGTGCAAAGTTAAATCTATAAGTAATCTCACTAACAGAGATTTAAAGAGAATTACTATAAATATTTTCAATGATATATTTAACATTTTAAATATACTTATTTGTTTAGACATTTAAAATAATAAAACTTAATTATTAATATATACATTTTTTTAAAATCTGGTATTTATTTCCTTTATTCCCTTATACTTAAAAACAGATGAAAAACAGTCCCATGTCACAAGTACAGACCTGCAGCATTGATTTTAGTTGCCCCATATCTTTGACTTAAAGGATGAGTCATTATTTTTTTTTGTAGTTTATTTTTATTATTTTTTTTTTAAGTTTTTTTTTCTTTTATTATTATACTTTAAGTTTTAGGGTACATGTGCACATTGTGCAGGTTAGTTACATATGTATACATGTGCCATGCTGGTGCGCTGCAACCACTAACTCGTCATCTAGCATTATGTATATCTCCCAATGCTATCCCTCCCCCCTCCCCCACCCCACAACAGTCCCCAGAGTGTGATGTTCCCCTTCCTGTGTCCATGTGATCTCATTGTTCAATTCCCACCTATAAGTGAGAATATGCGGTGTTTGGTTTTTTGTTCTTGCGATAGTTTACTGAGAATGATGATTTCCAATTTCATCCATGTCCCTACAAAGGACATGAACTCATCATTTTTTATGGCTGCATAGTATTCCATGGTGTATATGTGCCACATTTTCTTAATCCAGTCTATCATTGTTGGACATTTGGGTTGGTTCCAAGTCTTTGCTATTGTGAATAATGCCACAATAAACATATGTGTGCATGTGTCTTTATACCAGCATGATTTATAGTTCTTTGGGTATATACCTAGTAATGGGATGGCTGGGTCAAATGGTATTTCTAGTTCTAGATCCCTGAGGAATCGCCACACTGACTTCCACAATGGTTGAACTAGTTTACAGTCCCACCAACAGTGTAAAAGTATTCCTATTTCTTCACATCCTCTCCAGCACCTGTTGTTTCCTGACTTTTTAATGATTGCCATTCTAACTGGTGTGAGATGGTATCTCATTGTGGTTTTGATTTGCATTTCTCTGATGGCCAGTGATGATGAGCATTTTTTCATGTGTTTTTTGGCTGCATAAATGTCTTCTTTTGAGAAGTGTCTGTTCATGTCCTTTGCCCACTTTTTGATGGGGTTGTTTGTTTATTTCTTGTAAATTTGTTTGAGTTCATTGTAGATTCTGGATATTAGCCCTTTGTCAGATGAGTAGGTTGCGAAAATTTTCTCCCATTTTGTAGGCTGTCTGTTCACTCTGATGGTAGTTTCTTTTGCTGTGCAGAAGCTCTTTAGTTTAATTAGATCCTATTTGTCAATTTTGTCTTTTGTTGCCATTGCTTTTGGTGTTTTAGACATGAAGTCCTTGCCCATGCCTATGTTCTGAATGGTAATGCCTAGGTTTTCTTCTAGGGTTTTTATGGTTTTAGGTCTAACGTTTAAGTTAGACCTAAAAAATCAATCCATCTTGAATTGATTTTTGTATAAGGTGTAAGGAAGGGATCCAGTTTCAGCTTTCTACATATGGCTAGCCAGTTTTCCCAGCACCATTTATTAAATAGGGAATCCTTTCCCCATTCCTTGTTTTTGTCAGGTTTGTCAAAGATCAGATAGTTGTAGATATGTGGCATTATTTCTGAGGGCTCTGTTCATTATTTTTATCAATATTCTATCATCTAATTTTGTTTCTTATATGATAAATCTGAGAAAATAATCTATTACAATATAATAGTAATTATAATATAGTGGTTTGGAATTGCCTTGTTTAAATTTTGTTCAGGGTGCTTCATGAAGCAGTGATATAATTTTGAGTGAATTAATTTGATTCTCTAAATTTCAGATTGCTTACTTATAAAGGATGTGATAACAGTATTAGCTTCACAGAGTTGAGGTACAAATAAAGTAAGACTGTATCAGAAAAAGACTTGGAGTAGTGCTTGGCAACAGTAAGAACTATTATTTTTATTTTTATAAATTATCTCAATATTTCTATAGACTAAGCTCCTGAACGTAAAATTTTGGGAATTTATTAATATTTATAGTTTTCTACATTTTGATATATATGTGATATTTATCTCCAGCAATATTTTACAGATTCTATTAAAACTCTGCAAAAGCAAAACATACCTAAATCCATTGATATAGATCAGTTTTCATTACTTAAAATAATGAATTAATTACAGTTTGATTTTCCTAGAAGCAAAATGTATGTCTTAGATTTCTTTCTGTGAAAATGAAATTATCTTCACCCTATTTTGTATAAAACATAAAATAATAGATTTTCTTTAGATCCACTTTTGATGACTACATATTCATGACACTATACTAACAAAATTCTCAAAAATAAAACCTGAAGAAAAAGGAAGGCAATGATAAGGCAATGAAAAAAAAAACATTTGTGGCCAATATTATCTCATTATTAAAATAATGTTAAATTATATGATATATATGAAACCATATGACAAAAGAGAAGATTCCTTAGATTGGAATCTTGGCCACATTATTAATGTGTGTTTTATGATGTTACTTAACTTCTCTGTGTCTCAATGTTTTCATCTGTAAAACTGGGATAACTATAATAACTACTTCATGAGGTTATTGTAGTGTTTGAATGGGTTAATTCATGTAAAGTGCTTAGAATAAGAAGCAACACTTAATAAGCACTTAATAATCAATAACATTTATTATTTTATAAGCCTGTCTGTGAAAACACTTCCTTGTGATTATCAATGATATTTAATATCTGTATAATGTTTATAAATTCAGAAGTGTTTTTTCACAAACATTATTACATCATATAATCCTCTGAAATTAGTGTTATTCTGACTATCTATGCTAAGAAAAATAGAGCTGGGAAATACTGAGTAACTTTACCAGGTAAAATGGATTGCAAAGTGGCAAATAGGACTCCTTTCTAGGGTTTCTTATTTGAAATTTATTTCACTACTCATGTTTCATTTCGCATATTAGCACAAAATGATATACTCTCTAACACTATGGCATACATACACTAACAGAAATGAATCTCATATGAGTAACTTATAGTTTATATGTTCTGGAAATTTTTAGGGAACAAGGGTAAAATATCCAGAATTTAGATAGTAGTTCTTGCTAGGTAGGAAATAGCTACACTGATTGCATTCTCTTACGAGGGAAATGTATTGTTACAATGTCATTGTGATGAGTTCTCACTTCTGTATGTGCTCATAATTACCAAATGCCATAATATTGCAACCTAAAGGTGGCAAATAATGACTTCCATGAATAATAAATCAGGCTTTATTGCTATCTTAATACTGTAACAAGAAAATTAAGTTCTTCTGAATCTAATGGCTCAATAAAAAATTTAAAAACAAGAGGCATTACTTTGTTAACGATCTCATACAAAGCACCCAGTTAGATACTTTCCTGATCAAAATGAGTTGAATAGGGAGGAAAAAAAATATATCAGGAATGGAAGAGTGCCAATATACTAATTTCAAGGGCCTCCTTTCATATACCAGTTCCACCTGCACCACTGTGAAGACACAAATCAATACTGTATCTATTCTGAGCTGTCAATTTGCCAAACCAAAGTGGTGAAAGCACTTGAGGAAATTTTGAATGGGGCTGGATCTACATGGTCACAGTGAATTGAAGGAACTGTGGCATTTGCTCTTCCCGGATTGGTTTGGTGTGGTTCATTTACAGGGCTTGAACTTCTAGGCTCGTAACTAGGCACATTCACTTGGATCTTATAAACTGCAAAGACCTACTGGAACTGGGCTTTGGCAAATTCAGTGGCTGCTAATTTTGTGAAAGAAAGTATACAATGATAATTTTTTTAAATATTTGAAAGCAGTTGAAGTTCATTAGAAGGGCATTTGAATTGTCAGATAAAGGACAGCTTTGAATGGCATATTCTGGAAGGAGAAAACATTTAATAAATATGTACCTTGCCTCGGCATTTGCCCAAGGTAGATTGTCTTTTCCTCGGGAAGATTAAGGAATGAGTGTCCGTTTTCCTCACCTTTAAATAAATCAAATCTTTGCTCATTGTGATCTTTTGCAAAAATTTATACTTCGGATTTTTTTTAAACTTCTTGCACTACTAAGTTGAAGTATGAATTTGCTAAGACTCATTAAATGAGTCCACATTTCTAATTTTCTTAGCAGCTATTGAATATGCAGTTGGAACCAGAAACAGTGTTTTCATTTGTGATGGTGTATTAGGAGAGGAATGTAAATCCCAGTTGTGTGACAAAGAAGGATGTGACAGGATTTCTAAGTGTGAAGTAATTAGGAAAAGTTGAGAGAATTAAAAAACAAAAATCTTAAGTCTCTTTGGAAGTAGATACATGCATCTAGATTTTTTTTTTCTGATTTTGTATTTCATGTCATGGAAGAGCACAAATAGAAATGGAAGTTTCACTGTGATACAAATTTTCAGACTTCCAGAAGTAGAAAAATATATTTTAAAGCAAAAGTGTTACTAATAGTATAGCCACACGTTTGCTCCAAGGAATAAATGGTCGTATGCAATATGTGTATCTGTTTCGTACATGCACATATTGTTTTTGGCCACTGATTATTTGTGCCTTTGTAGCTATAATTTTATGTGTCTTAAGCTTTATCCAGAGGATTTAGGCTTAATTCTGACAAATACATTACCATATAAAATATGAAGAAGTTAATTTCCACAAGTAATCTGTATGAAAAAGAAAAGAATATTAAAATAGTCTTGGAAATAAGTACTGATCCATATGCCTAGGACCTACAAGTCATCCGTGTGTGTTAAATGAAATTGGCCTATAACATGAATGAGAATTAGCTGATGGATTTAATGAAAAATGTGCTAATCACTGCCATTCATTTACATTATTATTATTTGATATTTAATGAATCTTTGGCAGAAGTTTATGAATATTTTTATGATTTGGGCTAAAAAGAAAAAATGGCTAAGGGGAAAACTTAAGGTCATTGAGATGACCAATTAAAATATTAAAGCTATAGTAAAGTTAGACATATTAATTTCTGAAAATGGAAACAAGACACAAATACATGCATACATTTTCTTCATTTTATGTCCCTTTACAATAGTGAATGAGAATTATACCTCATTATAAAAATATGAATACTACTCCTGAAGCTCAGGGCTGGCTTGGTACATAATTGTTAGTGAGGCCAAATAATTTGTGCTCACTGAAAGTCTGTGCTGCCACAAATGCTAAGAATTTTGCACAGATCGTCGGTGTTTTTTTGTTTTGTTTCGTTTTGTTTTGTTTTGTTTTGGTGGAGGGAAAGGTCAAGGAAGCAAAATATTGACATAGTGAGAAACTAGGACAACACACGTAAATTTTAAAAAACAATTTAAGAAAACAGACAAGAATATAAAGCTGCTTTTATAATGGGTGCATGAATAGTCAGGCAACATGATATCATGGGGTATAGGGAGAGATGAGGCTCCTGCAGGAGTTTAGACTTCAGCACTTCAGCTCTAGCCCTTAATCTATCACTTATCAGTGTAACCTTGAAGAAGTCATCTAGTATTTTTGAGGCTCATATTTCTCAATGGTAAAAAATATGCATAACTGGACTTCCTAGTTTTAGAGATTTGTAAATATCATAATGAGGAGGGATAAAATGTGTTATTTATGAAAGATGAGTGGTGTGATAGAAATGAGCCTAGGCATTAATCCCCACTAATTTATTTGCTAATTTTGTAAGCTCGAACAAATTGTGTTTTTTTTTAGAAGTTCTGCTATCTGTAAAATGAAGAAATAATAACACCTAATATTAAGTGTTGTCATTATTATTGATATGGTGAATCTAAAAACCCTGAAGTATACTCTGCCTGTAGATTTACTCATATATTAATACAATTTTTCTTAATTCAGTTTGACTTTGGGATACTTTTACTGATCATAATGGATCTAATGTCCTTCATTTCAATGTTTCCTTGCCTTAAATCTCAGTCCTAGGATGTCTTTTCTGAAACCTAAATGTCTATCTCCAGAATCTCATTGAGTCCCATAGTGTTAAATGCAACTATTTTCTGAGGTAGATGTAGAAAATTTGTTTCTCCTATACAGATCTCCCTTCAGACGTCCATTCCAATATCCATCTACTTTGTTGACATCTTCCTTTAGATATTAAATGACTACCTTAAAATTAATACATTGAAAATGGAGCTTTTGACATTCTTCCAAAAATTCTACCACTTTCTCTATTCCCTCACCATGACTCAGTGACTTCCGCACTTTTAAAGCCTGCAGATCATTCCTGGTATCCCCACTTTCCCTCATTAACCACATTGAATCCATTAAAAAACCCTTTTAAGTCTCCAGTCCATACATTTTGCTCCGTCCTCATATCCCAAACTTAGTTTAAGATATCATCATATTTGACCTGGACTATTGTTACAGGCATCCAACAAGGCTGAGTAAATTCAACTCAGAGCAGCAAAGGTGATTTCTTAGGAATGTAAGTTAGATCACATCTGTATCTTAAATAAAAATATTCTTTTTTTTTTTCTTTTTTCTTTTTTCTTTTTTTTTTTTTTTGAGGTGGAGTCTCTCCCTGTTGCCCAGGCGGGAGTGCAATGGCACGATCTCAGCTCACTGCAACCTCCGCCACTGGGTTCAAGCAATTCTCCTGCCTCAGCCTCCTGAGTAGCTGGAATTACAGGTGCACACCACCACACCCAGGTAATTTTTTGTATCTTTAGTAGAGATGGGGTTTCACCATGTTGGCCAGGCTGGTCTCGGACTCCTGACCTCATGATCCGCCTGCCTCGGTCTCCCAAAGTGCTGGGATTACAGGCATGAACCACCGCGCCCAGCCCTAAATCTCTTATTAACCTACAGATTTCTTTATTAATTGTCTCTTTCCATCTCTGCAAATTTTGCTTACACCATTCTTCTCTCCCCTGCTATCCCCTAGCTACCTTGATCTTCAGGCCCTGTTCCCAGGCTTTTTCATTTGTTTATTTAATCCAGAATATGTTTTCCTGGCTTTTCTCATGATAGTCTCATTCCCACCTTTTAGGTCAGCCCTCAAATGTCAGCATTTCTTGACTGTTGTATCCAAAATAGAATCTCCTACTTTTTAAGTTATTTTTTTTCTTCCTCCATAGCAATAATCTCAAGCTGTAATTACTTTGTGATCATATATTTTCATTGGTTATTGTTTGTACCTTTTCTTCCTCAGTAGAATGTAAATCCTGCCAGGGGAATATCTCAATGTGCCTTTTATACAGCAATATTCATTACAGTTGCCAAGAATACTGGTACTTCCTCAATAAACACATATTTAATTCATAAATGTCTGAATAAAAATGTAGTTTTTTTGTTTTGTTTTTTAAATCATGTAATAAAAATCTGGTGGTAGATAATCCAATTTTGGTACAGTGGCTCTGTACATTTCCATCTTTTGTATATTGTTTTCAGCAGGTCAGCTTTTGTACTTAAAGTTATTTTTATCGAGAACTGTGAAAGGTTTGAGATTTTGCTCTGTTTGTAATTTAAGTAATTAACCTGTCACAGGTTCATAAATGCTGAAGGAAGACGTGAGATTTCTGGGTCAGGTATAAAATACTTTGTGATTCATGGCATAGCAGGCAGCATGAACTTCATGTTTGCATTGGTTCCCCTTGCCAAGCAAGTCCTACTGGGGTCATGTGAACAGCTCAGATAGATGCCGCACACACTCAATTAGTGTCACAACTGAGGAACCCCAAGCCAGGAAATACCAGATCTTATAATGGGACTGCTAGCAAACTTGACTCACTGTTGCATTGGAGGGGACCATTATTCTGGTTCTAGCCAGACCACTTAATTTGCAAAAAAATTTACTGGATAGAACTGCTCTAGAGCATGCCTGGATATTTGTCTCTGCCTTTCTTTATCTTCATGTCTAAAAAGAGAAAATGATTTTAAAAGCAAAAACAAACACAAACATTAACCTTTAAAAAGATAAATTATTTTACTAATGTAGCAACACACATATGTTATTCTGGTCTGAAAACGAATCTGCTCTCATCCCAAAGGAATACACTATTTCTAGGTTTCAAGACTATTTGCCATGCAAGCATCCTTCAAAAGACAACCCAGGGCAAAAGTCTTTATAGGAGGAATAGATAACCCCATGGAGAATTGCCTACAATGGTCTGATGTTGCAAAGGGGCTACTGTAGCTCCAAAATGAAGTCTTCACACAACTCTGTTCAGACAAAAAGAACAGAGCAATGTAAAAGAAACATTTTTTCCTACAGCATTTTTGTTTTTTTTCTGTTAGTGATGGAAGTCTTTCAGAGAGGTGCCAGGAGACTTTCTGTTGAGACTCTGGCCAGAATTGGATCACATGTTTACGTCTAGACAAACAATACTGTCAAATACTGTCTAGAAGGAGGTAATTTCCATGTTTGGTTTAACTTTGAAGTAGGTTTTGAGGTCAAGAAGTGTGAGACCACCAACTTTGTTTCCTTCTTTTAAGATTGCTTCAGTATTCCGTCCCCTGAGATTCCATATTAATTTTAGGATGAGTTTTCATATGTTTGCAAAAATGCTGTGGGTATTTGATATGGATATATTGAATCAATATATTGTTTAGAGTAGTAGTGTTATCTTAACAAGACTACATCTTCCAATCAATGAATATGGAATGTCTTTTCAATTATTTAGAAATTTAAAAAATTTAATTTCTTTCGGCAATATTTTGTACTTTTCAGTGTAGCTTCCTTGGCTAAATTTATTTCTAAGTAATTTATTTCTGATGCTGTTGTAGGTAGAATAGTTTTCTTAATTTCATTTTCAGATTTTTCATTGCTACTGTATAAAGACACAATTGTTGTGAGGGTTGATTTTGAGTCCTTCACTTGGTTGAATTTATTAGCTCTAACACTTTGTGTGTGTGTATGTGTGTACTTGTGTGTGTGTGTGTTCTTTCAGGTTTTATATATATTATATATGTATATATATAAATAGCAACAGATTACATATATATATATATATATTATTTCCTCTGCAAGTAG
This sequence comes from Homo sapiens, assembly GCF_000001405.40. Lineage (NCBI taxonomy): Eukaryota > Metazoa > Chordata > Mammalia > Primates > Hominidae > Homo > Homo sapiens. The sequence goes on along the minus strand of NC_000001.11, from coordinate 190,377,530 downwards.
AGATAGTTTCACTTCTTCTTTTCAGTTTGGATGTAATTTCTTTTTTAAACCTAAGTGGTCTGGCTAGAACTTCCAATATTATGGTGGATAGAAGTGGTGAATGCAGACATCCTTGTCTTATTTCTGATATGAGGGAGAAGGCTTTCAGTCATTCACCATTAAGTATTGTGTTTGTTGATTTGATTTTTAAAGGTTAGTTTTATTGCCGTCTGGAAAACGGTCTAAAGGGATTAAAAGCAGGTGTTCCAGTTAGAAAACACTTACAGTGTTTGTTGCTCAGTGGTTTGAGAAATGGAAAAAATAAGCAGACAGATTAGAGATATATGTGGATGTAGGATGACAGTATTTCTAGCATGTACAGGGGTGGTTAGGCATGTGCTTTAGAGGTGCACTTTATAATATAGCAACCATTAGCTATAGGTGGATATTGAAAATTAAAAATAATCAAAATAAAATTATATTAAAAATTTAGAACTTAATTAAAATTTTCTTATTTGTTCTAGTCACTTTTCATGCATTCAGTACCAACATATGGTTAATGACCATCAAATTGGAGGATAGAGATATAAAACAATTTCATAATTGCAAAAAAATTTACTGGATAGCACTGCTCTAGACCATGCGTGGATATTTGTCTCTGCCTTTCTTTATCTTCATGGCTAAAAATAGAAAATGAGTTTAAAAACAAACACAAACATTAACCTTTAAAAAGATAAATTATTTTACTAATGTAGCAACACACATATATCAATTAACATCGGCAGAACTTAGAAGGATTTGATTATGTCAAAGGTTCAACGAAATAGATTCACTATCAATTAATATTCATAACAGTATTTTTTGGAAGAAAGTAATGTTTGATGTTTAAGAAATTATAATATGATATCAAACTTTGTATTTGTTTTCTAGTTCAAAACAAATTAACAATTACTTGTAATTCTCTGTTTCTTCATAAATACAATGGGGATATGGTAATTTTGAGTACCTGCCTGGATTTTTATGAGAATAAAACAAAGCTTACAGCAGCGTCTTCCACATTTAAAATGCATACTAAGTCACAACACAAACAGATATCTGTTAAAACCAGTTATAAATAAGTAGGCAGACAGATGATAGCCTGATTTCATTTAACAGCACTGATTTATTTATGCCTGCATCAAAATCTGAGTTAAGTTTACAGCTTTAATATTGAATTTTTTAAATGTGCATTCCTTTGACTGCATTGAACGTTCTAGATATGATGCAATTTCTAGAAAGCATTTAGTCAAAACAGTGAATGACTGAAACAGCCTCAGAACACCCAAAGGTAATCAGCTATTTAACCTGTTTAGGTCTTGTTTCTCAGACAGCTGCTACTATATTAAAAAAAAAAGCTATGTTCATAAATTATGCCTACTAAACCCTGAAGAGGCAGAATTAGTTCTGTAGTTACACTGTTCTGTGGTCTTGGCAACTGTGAGTGCCTTAAAATTTAAAGATGTCCACAGTCATTAGAAGGATTCTGTTTGGTTAAATTTTAAATATACTTTTGCTGTCAGAAAAGCCTATAATATATATGCCTGATGATTTTTTAATTTTTATTATGATGGAGATTACATTTTCATTTAAATCTAAAAATGTCCTGAAAGGGAATTAAAATTATCCTTATAGAAAATGGAAAAACAAAATCACTAACATATTTATTTTTATGTCCTCAAAATAGTGAAAACCAGTAATGTTTCCAGATGTCAAATATATCAGAGGGCCTTTTTGAAATTATTCTGTCATTATTACGAGAATAAAAGATGAAAGTATTTTAAAATTGAATTTCCATACATGTGTATGAACAACTGTAATTAGGTTAGCAGCCAAGATTGTTTCTTCAGAATCCAGTTATATGAGGTGATGAACTTGTGACTCAATTTATATAACTGCCTGTTCATATGTGTTGCCTATTTTCTGTTGGGTTGGTCTCTTTCCTATTAAAATATAGAGATTTTTATAAATTAGATATGCTAGGCTTTTTATCTGTAGTACGAACTGCTTTTATTCAGTTTGTTATGCCTTTTGCTTTTGAATACATTAATTGGGGATAAACATATATTTTTATTTCTATAAAGTAAAAATCAATATTTTCTTTTATGATTTTTACATTTTGAAGCATAGTTAGAGTGCTCTTTTCCAGTACATGGTCATAAGTGACATGGCCTTGTCTTTTACACTATTATTGAATATACACACATACACACATATATTTATATGTATACATATACACATTTACATATACAAATATATACAAACATGTATGATTTGTATGTGTGTGTATATATATGTTAAACCATTTGCGTTTCTTAGTGTGAGATGAGTTATTGACCCAACTCCTTTATTTCCTAAATTACTACCTTGTTGTATTTTCCCAAATTACTACAAAAAATACCTTTTATTTAAAATTCCATTATACCTGATTTATTTGAAATGCTACCTTTATGATATAGCAAATTTCTCTACATATTTGGGTCTATTTCTGAAAAATTAGTTTACTCTATTTGTCTGTTTATCCAGATGCTATTAACCCATTTTTTAAATTATTGAGTACTTAAATTATTGTTTGTTCTAATGGACTTAATGTCCCTTGTTGACCTTGTTTCCAAAATTTTCCTGGATATTCATACCTGTGTATTTTTCCATATATCCTGTTCATGACAGCTTTAAGAGGCTGTTTCTAACTTTTTCTATTATTTTCATTTGTCTCATTCTGCTTTTGTGATTGTTAAAAATGTTTTAAATTTTTCCTCAAATGAATGTTTTTCATTTTTCATTATTTTCATGCTTTTTGTTCTTATTATTGTTATTTATATTATAAATAAGTTGTCTCTCACATTATGTCTTCTATGGGTCTTTGTGTCTATACATGAAGGTTATTGATTTCTGTGTTTTAATTTCACACCCCACTACCTTACTGAATTCTTTGATTGTTTGTATAAGTTTTTCAGTTTACTCTAGTGAAATTGCCAAGTTTAAATCATATTATTCACAAATATTGATATTTTTGATGCCTCCTTTTTAGTGTTTACACTTCTAATTTCTCTTTTGACGAATTAAATTGGTAAAAACATCTAGTACTGTGTTGGATAATAATGGTGATTATAATACTTCCATGTTCTTGACTTAGCAATAAAGCTTCCAGTATTAGCCCATGTCATCTATATGATTTTTGGGTTGAAACATAGATAGATAGACAGATAGTCAGAGAGACAGACAGACAGATAGATTTCTTTTCACAAAATGTGTGTGTGTTATGTACAATTGATTCTTATTATGTTATGTCCTATAAACTTCACAAATAGAGATTTAGCAAATACTGAACCATTGTTCCTAGTATAATTTGTGCATATGTATGTGTACATACACATCTCACATAGATTATAATCTTGAACCCTAAAACAATTCTTCCAGGTAAATTATATTTGCTTTATTTTTTAAAAGAGAAAATGAGGTTCAGAAGTGTTAAGTGACTTGCTTAAGACCATGCCCCTAAGTGTACCCACTTTAGGATTCAAACCCTGTGCAATTGGCTCCAGAGCAGTAATAGCTTCTTGGGCTACGCTACACTACACTGCCTCCTACTGTCTCTGCTCATACAAATATAGACAGTAGGAGGCAGTGTAGCATAGTCCAAGAGGCTGTTAGGTTGGTGCAAAAGTAATCACAGTTTTTGCCATTACTTTTAATTGTTTTACTTTTGCACGAACCACAATTACTTCTGCAGCAAACTAATACTACTGCTCCTCCACCTGTCTCACCCCCTGTATAAGAGCTGAAGCAAAAAGACAGAGAAATGCCTTGTTAGGCCTCAACTGGGAATGTTGACATCAAAAACTCAAAGTGTTTTTGCTCTGCTGTGGATGTTCTTTGAATGACTGACAAAAGGCTGCCATTATTAGTTTTGGAGTTAGAAATATATTCTATCCATTCTATCCAGCAAGCAAAATCACAAATGTAGAATTTGCAAATAATGAAGATCATTGGTATAAATATGTGTGTGTGTATATATATACACATATACACACACATATATACATATATATGTACACACACACACACACACACACACACATATATATATATAATTAAGGAATTATCTACTTTATTTTATTTTTTTTAGACAAAGTATCACTCTGTTGCCCAGGCTGGAGTGAAATGGCGCTATCTCGGCTCACTGCAACCTTCGCCTCCTGGGTTCAAGAGATTCTCCTGCCTAAGCCTCCCGAGTAGCTGGGATTACAGGCATGCACCACCACGCCTGGCTAATTTTTGTATTTTTAGTAGAAACGGGGTTTCGCCATGTTAGCCAGGCTGATCTGGAACTCCTGACCTCAGGCGATCAACCCACCATGGCCTCCCAAATATCTATTTTAATTTTATTCAGTGTTTTTTAGACCAATAATTATTGTTGAATTTTAACATATTATATTCAGTGGCCAGGGAGGATATCATTCTAATTTTCTTCTCAGCTATTTAATGTCTTGGGGATATTTAATGTCTTAGATATGTAATGTTTACAAACATTCTGCTATCTTAGAATATACCCCTGTTAGTCAATATTCTTTAAATGAGGTCCTGGAATTTATTCTCTAATATTTTATTTAGATTTTTTGTTGATATTACTACAGAGCTTTGTCTGTGAACTATTTGTTTAACATTTGTTACTTTTGTCCATTTATTTAAACTTGTGTGATAAAAAAGAATTTAGATGAAAATATATACTCTCAAATTGTTTTACTATTATCTGTTCTTTACAACTGTCTGTTTTAGTGTAATTCCTGAACTGAACTGAAATTGCCTTAGAAACGATTAGAAGAGAGGGGAATTATGACAAGGTAATATGGTAGTCACATGGTTCAGGCACAATCTTTTCTGCACACCTAGGGTATAAGCCACTAAATAACAATTGCTGAAGGGAAAGTACATTAACACAGACCTGCAGTCACCTCTTGTTACAGAGGCACTTTCTTATTTATTTCCAGCTTATGCATGTCTTGATCTTGTGACAGTCAGAACCTTTCTGGAACTATATGGGGTTGTAACCTGAGCATCACAAAGCTGCTGTTTCTGTCTATAATCACCCAGCTGATGTGTACTATCTCAGCAGTCAGTAAACACCCTCAGTAAGCAAAGAAGGACTTTCTGACAGGATGGTTCATTGCAGGATACAGTGAAATATCTGTGTTAGTGGAGCATCTGTATCAGTGAGGTATCCACCCATGGAAATGGTCACTCGCTTTGAGCTTGGTTCAACAGGTTGCAGAGGCAATGCAGGCAGAATGCAAGGCAACAGAATGAAGGACGTCTGAGGTCCCTTCCAGCCTTGCAGGTTCAATGAATTCTTAATGTCTGTGAGGTCTGGATTACTGTTGTGTCCTCTCTTAGCCTGTCAGGCCTGCAGTCTTTCACCTCTTCCCACTGTGCCCTGGAGAAGTGGTTTCTGAAGCTAAAGACTACTCTAAAATGCTCGTATTCACTGTGAAAAACCAGTAGCTATTTTTCAAGCAGCTAAGTTTTCATCCTGTGCCATTTTAACATTGATGAGGTTATGAGGAAGCCCCTGAAGCTTATGTCACCGTGAATGTCGGACATGGGGTAATAGTACTGGTTGTACAGACCTCATATTCCAAGGTGGAGATGTGATAGGGGTCGGAGACTCTCTGAATGTCTTCAGGAGCTGTGCCCCCTATGCCAGATGCCCCTGGATTAAAATAATTGATATCGTTAAATTTAACAATATCCATACTACTCAACATGATTTATAGATTCAATGCAATCCTTATCAAAATTCTTAGAACATTTCTCAAGGGACTAGAAAAACTTAATCCTAAAATTAATATGGAACCATAAAAGACACTAGTCAAAACTATTGAGCAAAAAGAATACCCCTGTAGCCGTCACACTACCTGACTTCAAAATATACTGCAAAGCTATAGTAATCAAAGCATCATGATAATGGCATAAAAACAGAAGCAGTGGCCAATGGAAAGGCAATGAAAATCCAGAAAGAAACCTACAAATATACAGTCAATTGATTTTTCACAAAGGTGCCAAGAACATATAATGGGGAAAGGACAGTGTCTTCACTAATGATATTGGTAAAACTAGATATCCACATGCAGCAGAATAAAATTAGAACCTTTTATCACACCATCTATGGGAATCAACTCAAAATGGATTAAAAACTTGTACATAACAATTGAAATTTTAAAACTACTAGAAGAAAACTTAGAGGAAAGCCTCCGCAACATTGATCTGGGCAATTACTTTTTGGAAATTATGCCAAAACACAGGCAACAAATACAAAAATACATAAAGGGGATTGCATCAAACTAAATGTTTTTGCACAGCAAAGGAAAGAAGAAACAGAGTGAGTAGTCTACCTACAAATTTGGATAAAATATTTGCAAACCAAAGATGTGATAAGAGGCTAGTATTGAAAATATATAAGGAATTCAATTCAATAGCAATTGAACAAATAGTTCAATAATAATATGGGCAAATAACTTGAATAGACATTTCTCAAAGGAAGACAACCAGATGACCAACAGGTATTTGATAAAATGATCATGAGACATTATTAATCATCAAATTAAAATTATTAAATTAAAATTATTTAATTAAAATACAAATTAAAACTACAATGATATGTTACCTCACACCTCTTAGACAGTCTATTGTCAAAAAGATGAAAAATATCTAGCGATAGTGAGAATGTAGAGAAAAGTGAACACTCTAGGCTTGGCTCTTACTCTCAGGATCAGAGTAGCTGCAAAGGTCAGTGGCAGGTTCTAGTTCTGTGGCAGGAGGCACAGGCTTCGCCATGAAGGCCCTGCCTTACCTTAGCCAAGCCAGCCTCTCCCACTGCCGCCAAATATCCTCTAACCTACTTTTCGCATAAGTCTGGTTATTTTTAAATACAATTTTGATTTGTGGTGCCTTTATAAAGATTCAAATGTAGAGACTTCTGTATTGGATAGTAATTTCTTCTGAATCCACTGTTATATATTTTTTTGATGATAGATTCCTCCCCTCCCAAATTTTTCTGCTTACTCTACTTAATGGTTTGTTGAGAATTATATCATCTCCAGGACACAGTTTTGATGAATTAATTCTTTCTTTTCTGGAAAATTATCCATTTATCTAGGTTTTCAAATTTATTTCTATAGACTTGTTAAATTGGTTTCTTAAATATTTTACAAATATCTTCTGTTTCTATAATAATTTCCTTCTTAGACTTTCTCTATTTTTCTTGATTAGGTTAACAATGTTTTATCTAATTGACTTATTTATTCTTAAAGAACCAGCTTACAAAATTGTGCTTGTGTATGTGTGTATGCATTCATGGATTAATTTGACAATTGTGAAAATGTTACGGGGATGAAAACTATTTAGAATCATTCTTGCAGTATCTTCCTTTCTTTGTTTGTACTTCTTCAATTTCTTCACTGAGATGGTCAAAGTGTGTGGTTCATTCTGGCAGGCTGAGGAGTATGATACTAGAAATAAATGAAGCCAAGGAGTCTTCAGTGACCAACTCCATAATGAGTTTAAAATATTTAATAAATCAGATTATTTGCAAAAGTGCAAATGTATATTTATTCAGGTTCCTTTTTATTAATAATTAGTGGCTATTAATTATTAGTTTAAACATTATTTTAAAAACATAATATATTTAACATTATGAAGCATTACATTGAAATTTAGATCTGACCATTATGTCACATATTCGGGTCAGTAAGTTCATAGTCGTTATAAAACTTGTCCTGGACTTAAATTTTCCTAGCAAGCTAGTCACAGAAAGTACATAAATACTCTATCTATTAAAAAAACACAAGAACATACTTTTTTTTAAGTCTATGCAAATTAGTGTGGCTGATTTTATAGTATTTTAGAAAACACATTGTCTTTTTGTCAAAATGTTTTGTCATTATATACTCAGAGATTGTACATTTAATATTAATGTGAATACCTTTTCAATATTCTAAAATTTTTCACATATTGATTTATGAAAGATTTTTCTAAAATTTTGAAGACTACCTTTTTTAATTCAAATAATTATTTGAATTGTACAACCTGATTACCTCCTTTAATTTAAAGCTTAATTATATTAATTCTGGTTTTAAAATGAAATTTGGAATGTTAAGTAGATTTATTTGAAAATGTTTCAACTATTATCTCATAGTTGACAAAGCTACTTTAATCATGAGAATAATATATTATCACTAATTCTATCACAACTCTAGAGATTACCTATTCGCACTGAAATATGATGTTGGAGTCCCGATTATAATAACAACAAAAGATATTTAATCTCAGTATATTAAACACTTATCTCAGATATATATACCTTCTTTATTAATATTACAGATATTAAATAAGAATACTTACCTGGATGATATGGTTTAGCTGTGTCCTCACCCAAATCTCATTTTGAATTGTAGTTCCTGTAATCCCCAAGTATTGTGGAAGTATTCCCAGACCAAACTGAGGGCTGGGCTGCTATTTCTCACAGTCTAATAACAAGATTCAGATGAACTAGGGAGGAAAAGAGTTTTTATTTTCTGTAACCAGTTACAGGGAGAAGGCCTGAAAATTAATGCCAGACCAAGTCAAAATTACGAAGTTTTCCAGAGCTTATAAACCTTCTAATCTATATGTCTATGCATTAAGTGTACATTCATCTAAAGACGTAAGTGATTAACTTCCTTTAATCTATAACTAAGGTCTGATTCCTGAAGACCTTCCTCTGGAGCCCGAGGAAATTTACTTAATCTAAATGGGTCCACGTGCTGGGGTGATTACCCTTATCTTGTCTCCTGATAAATCACAGAGGTTTCAGGAGTTCCTTCAGACCCTCAATAAACTTGTTTGTGGAAGCCTGGGGAGTCTCTTCAGACCCAAAATAAAACTTGTTTAATCTTAAATGGGCCCTGTTAAGAATTCTTTCATTATTTTGTCATGCTTTAAGGCCCAGGAAAGTCCTAGGCAAAACTCTTGATGGGCTTTTGTTACATCCTAGCCTTTGTATAAGGGCACGGGCTTTTAATATTTAACTTAACCACTCAGTCACTACTGAAACAGTTGTTATGGAGGCCTGCAATAGTGAGACATGGCCTGCCGCAGGAGAGACCCAGCGGGAGGTAATTTAATCATGTGGGTGGTGACCCTCATGATATTCCTGTGATAGTGAGTCGTTTCTCATGAGATTTGATGATTTTATAAGGAGTCTTTCCCCCTTTGCTTGGCACTTCTCCTTGCTGCCACCATGTGAAGAAGGACATGTTTACTTCCCCTTCCACCATTATTGTAAGTTTCCTGAGGCCTCCCCAGTTATGCGGAACTTTGCATTAATTAAACCCCTTTCCTTTATTAGTCACCCAGTCTCAGGTATGTCTTTATTAGCAGTGTAAGAATGGACAAATACAGTACATCGGTGCTGGGTAGTGGGGTGCTGCTCTGAAGATACCCCAAAATGTAGAAGTAACTTTGGAACTGGATGACAGGCAGAGGTTGAAACAGTTTGGAGGGCTCAGAAGAAGATAGGAAAATGTGGGAATACTTGGAATGTCCCAGAGACATGGAGGCTCAGAAGACAGGAAGATGTGGGAAAGTTTGGAACTTCCTAGAGATTGTTGAATGGCTTTGACCAAAATGCTGCTAGTGATATGGATGATGAAGTCCAGGCTGATGTGATATTAGATGTTGATGAGGAACTTGGGAACTTGAGTAAAGGTCACTCTTGCTATGCAAAGAGACTGGTGGCATTTTGCCCCTGCCTTAGATATCTGTGGAACTTTGAACTAGAGAGAAATGATTTAGGGTATTTGGTGGAAGAAATTTCTAAGTGGCAAAGCATTCAATAGGAGGCATAGCATAAAAGTTTGGAACATTTGTAGCCTGATGATGTGATAGAAAAGAAAAACCCATTTTCTGGAACAAAATTCAAGCCAGCTGCAGAAATTTGCGTAAGTAACACGGAGCTGAATGTTAAACACTAAGACAATGGGGAAAATGTCCCCAGGGCATGTCAGAGACCTTTGCAGCAGCACCTCCTATCACAGGCCTGGAGGCCTAGGAGGGAAAAATGGTTTTGTGGGCGAGGCCCAGGGTCCCCTCTGATTTGTGCAGCCTCGGGACATGGTGTCCTGCATCCCAGCTGCTTTAGCTCCAGCCATGGCTACAAGGGGTCAAGGTACAGGTAGGGCCATTGCTTCAGACAGCTTTCACATTATACTGGGCCTGTGGGTCCACAGAAGTAAATAATTGATGTTGAGGAACCTCTGCCTAGATTTCAGAGAATGTGTGGAAATGCCTGCATGTCTAGGCAGAAGTGTTCTACATGGGTGGAATGCTCACGGAGAACCTCTGCCAGGGCAATGAAAAAGAGAAATGTGAGGTTGGAGCCCCCGCACAGAGTCCACACTGGGGCACTACCCAGTGGAGCTGTGAGAAGAGGGCCATTATCCTCCAGATGCCAGAATGGTAGCTCCACTGACAGCTTGCACCGTGTACCTGTGTACCTAGAAAGGCCACATACACTCAATGCCAGCCCATGAAACTAGCTGGGAGGAGGGCTATACTCTGCAAAGCCACAGGGATGGAGCTGCCCAAGGCTGTTGGAGCCTAACTCTTGCATCAGTGTGCCCTGGATGTGAGACACAGAGTCAAAGGAAATCATTTTGGAAATTTAATGTTTAATGACTGCACTATTATATTTTGGACTTGCATGGGGACTGTAGCCCCTTTGTTTTGGCCAATTGCTTGCATTTCGAATGGGTGTATTTACCCAATGACTGTACCCCCCATTGTATCTAGGAAGTAACTAATTTGCTTTTGATTTTATAGTCTCATAGGTGGAAAGAACTTGCCTTGTCTCAGATGAGACTTTGGCATAGGACTTTCGAGTTAATGGTGGAAGAAGTTAAGACTTTGGGGGGCTGTTGAAAGATGACTGTGTTTTGAAATGTGAGAATATGAGATTTGGGAGAGGCCAAAGGTGGAATGATATAATTTGGCTGTGTCCTCACCCAAATCTCATCTTGAATTGTAGTTCCCATAATCCCCACATGTCATGGGAGGGACCCAGTGGGAAGTAATTCAATCATGGGGGCAGTTACCCTCATGCTGTTTTTGTGCTAGTGAGTGAGTTCTCAGGAAATCTGATTATTTTCTAAGGGGCTTTTCCCCCTTTGCTCAGCACTTCTCTTTGCTGCCACCTTGTGAAGAAAGACATGCTTGCTTCATCTTCTGCCATGACAGTTTCCTGAGGCCTCCTCAGCCCTGCAGAACTGTGATTCAATTAAACTTCTTTCGTTTATAAATTACTCAGTCTCAGGCAGCTCTTTATAGAAGCATGAGAACAGACTAATACACTGAGACAAAGTAACAACAGAGAAAAATTTCCAATTATTCGATCTGATCCTTTCTCATCTTACCTTTCTAAGTTTCTAAGGAGAAGCTATTTTTGTGTCTAGGTGTTGCAAGATACAGTGGCCATGATTCTTTATGCCTCAGGGGAAGGTTTGTGTTATTTCTTTGGAAAGCCATTATTTCTCTTTTTCCAGTTACCTTCCTTCTATTTCTTACAGGTCCACCTGTATTTCTTAAAGATATTTTTTCTTATCTCTCAAATTTTGACAGGATATATACATTATATATGTGTGTGTGTATATATATATATATATATATATATATATACACTTGCTCTCTCATTGTACTCTTCGCAGCATTTATATTTTAATATACATTTTAGTTTTATAATGTTATAATATTCATTTAATATTATAGCACTATTATAATATAATATTATATTGTGTATTATATTGTATTATATTAATTATAATATATTTTTACTATATCATTATATTACAATTATAAAATATATTAATATATTTTAATATAATTGTTATAATATTAAATTAATATCATAACAAAACTAAAATATAATTATATTGTAATTAAATGTACATCACATTATAATTATAATATAATTATCATATTAATCATATAACATTATAATTAATATTATAATATTTGTTTAATACCTATCTCCCATGAAGAAATGTAAGCTTGATGACAGCTGGGATTCTGTCTAGTTTGTTCAGAATTGCAGGTTTAGCACCCAGCAGATTAAAGGCATAGAATGTAGTAAAATCAATGCTTATATGAATGTGCATACAACGGAATGGATGGATGACTGGATGACTGAACACAATGCCTCTTTTACACAATTTCCAAAACTTCATTCACAGTGGTCATCTCTGCTGGGGAGGAGTCTCAGTTTCTGTTGTGCTGTGGTCCCACTTCATGTTCAGGAGTCAGGCAGGATTCTGATTTGTTTGAGAACTTTTTATAAATTATATTTACTAAAGATGATAATGCAATCAGAAATGATTTTGTAGTTAGTATCTTTTAATGTCTTAATATTTCACAAGGCATATTTGATTTTAGGGATAAAAACAACCTGCCCTCCCATGTCATCTTTGATTTTAGGGAGGTCAAACTCTTGCCAGTTAACTGATTCCAGGCCAAATTTGATTCTTATCAGTCCATAGAGTCTTGAGTTAATTCCTTTTTGGAAATTCTATACAGAGGCGAATTAATTCTCTACATAGTCTCTTTGTCACTCAGTAACTTGTTCCATTCTCTCCTTCAAATTATATCTTTAGACTTAGCTAGTTTGGTAGTCCAATTCCAGTTTTTAAGCTTTATTATAAATGTTATTAGCAAAGACAGTTTTGCAAGCATTATTAAAATTTATTTTATGGTTCAACTATATTTTATTGAAATTTGTTTAAGATTACTCAAGATGTCTTAGAATTATCCAACCTTTACTGGAAGAGCAATTTGTTAGATTACTATGATTTATTATAATTTTACATAAAATATATATTTAATATAGCTTGTTATAATTTACCATTATAACTGTTCCAAAGTGTAACCATTACACTTTGATCCATATTTTCATAGGGCAAGACTGTTTGATGTTCTTCTGCTCCTTAGCTTTTGATTGCCAAGTTCCTGTCTCTTTCCTGGGCTCCACGTTGTTTATTGCATAGTCTGATACTGATATCAGATATAGAGACTGAAAATACCAACTTCTTACCAGAAATATTTATTTATATTATCTGAAGTAAAATTTTCAGAACATTTAGATAAGACCACACATTCAAGTATCATTTCAATCTTGATACAAGGGTAGATTCCTGATACAGACCAGTTCCAACTTATGCTTACTAGAGATATCTCTGGAAAAAAACATTATAAAATACTTATACAAAACTCAAAAAATACCCCACAAATCTTACATTATTAAACTATTGACTGACAGCAGGGTGGGAAGGGGATTACTTTCCCAGAATCAGTCTGAATATTATTAAAAGTTTAAAAATTTCTTTTGAAATATCTTGAAAATTTTATCAGAGATACTACTTTTTTTTTTCTAAGAAGGAGATTGTGAATTGCATTTCACATAAAAGTGTACTCTAATATTTGGGATATCATTTTTCTTCATATTTTGTTCTATAGATACTCCAAACACTGCATTTCCAAAATTTAATTTGTTTTCTCTCACCCATCAATTCAAATCTGTACCTCCTCCTGCATTCCCATTGAAAGTTGCAGCCCATCATTCGGGACATCCAAAGTAGAAATCTGGGAGTCATTCAGACGTTTATTTTCTGTCATCTTCCACATGCAAATAATCTCCACACCAGTGAATTTATCTCCTAATTTTATTTAATGCATTCATTTTTACTCCATTCCTACTACGATTACTCTAGCCCAGACTCTCCATTGCTATCTCCCAGATGATCCCAGTAGCCTCTTACATGATCAATAGCAACATTGTCGTATTTGTCCTCTAAAATGCAGTCAGGGCAATCTTGAGCACGTGAAATCTTGAAATCTCACCTGTTATGCCCCTCCTTATAGTCACTCTAGGATTCCCATCCCTCACATAAAAATTCCAAGTTTCTTATAAAAAATCAGACGATTCATGAAAATTCAATCTTTCTCGTTCATATCTTGCCTCTCTTGGTTATATATTTTATGATCTCTAATAATGTATTCAGTTTCTATTGTCGTCTACCAATGAACATCAAGTTATTTGCCTAAAACAACAAACACTATTTCTGCGTGTCAGGAGTTTGGGCAGGGGTGAACTGTGTCCTCTGCTCAGAGTAACACAAGGCTAGCATCAAGGTGTTGACTAGATTCCTCTCTGAATCTCAGGGTCCTCTTTCAAGCTTACATTGTAGACAGTACTTAATTTCTTGCAGTTGCGGTTTCCATTTTGTTGTTGGCTGTTGGCCAGGGTCTGCTCTTAGCTCCTCCAGGGCCACTCGTAGTTCCCTGCCATGTGACTATCCCAATAGGCCCTCTCAAACATCAGTCATTCTTCCTTTAGGCAGGGCCCAGATTTTTCCCAAGGGATTCCCTGGTTAGGTTGGGTTCACTCAGATATTATCATTATATTTAACTCAAAGTCAAGTGATTAATAACCTATTTATAGAAATAATATCCTATCATGATCACAGTTCTTTCTGGAATCAAGATTTTATTTTAAAATTAAAAAAATAGAGGTTGTATTAGTCCATTGTCATGCTGCTGATAAAGACATACCCATCACTGGGTAATTTATAAATAAAAAGAGATTTAATGGACTCACAGTTCCACGTGGCTGGGTAGTCCTCACAATCATAGTGGAAGCCTAAAGGCATGTCTTACATGGCAGCAGACAAGACAGAATGAGAGGAAAGCAAAAGGGGTTTTCCCTTATACAATCATCAGATTTTGTGAGACTTAACCCACTACTGTGAGAACACTATGGGGGAATCAACCTCCATGACTTAATTATCTCCCACCGGGTTCCTCCCACAACATGTTGGAATTATGGGAGGTACAATTCAAGATGAGATTTGAGTGGGGACCCAGCCAAACCACATTAGAGGCCATCTTAGAATTTTGCCTATCACAGATATCAGCCAGTTTGGGTTTGCTGTGAATAGTGATGCTTTTGCTTACATTATTTCTTCTGACAAGAAATTCCTAACATTTTGCTCCTGGTGAATTCTTACCATTTAAGATATAGCTTAGGCATAATATCCTACAAAACACATGTTTTCTTTTTATTCCCAAAATCGGCTAAGCTTTTCTCTGCTCTGCTGTTAGAGTATGCTATGTCTGTAGGTCCCCTAGCATGAGTCATATTAACTTAAGACCGTGCTTATTAGTTTATATTTTAAAGGTAGTGTATTAGTTAGCTCACATTGCCATAACAAAATGTGACAGACTAGGTGGCTTAAACAATAGACTTTTGTTTCTTTGAAGTTCTTCAGAAATCTGGAAGTCTGAGATTAGGGTACCAGCATGGTCAGTTTCTGGTGATGCTTCTGTTTCTGGCTTACAGGCTGCTGCCATCTCACTGTATGCCCTCATAACCTATGTGTGGGCAGAAAAGAAAGAGAGTGACCAAGTTATCTGGTATCTTTTTTAATAAGAGTTCTAATTTCATCATGAAGACCATAAGCTCATGATCTCATCTAACCCTAATTACTTCTATAAAGGCCTTATCTCCAAATACAGACACATTGAAGGTTACACCTTCAACATACGAATTTTGGGAGAACTCAAACATTTACCACCACCTGTCAAAAATAGAAGAAATGCATAAATTCTACAGTGCCTACTTTGTGGATGATGAAGTTTGCATGTAGCCGCCTTGTACATAATATGCCTAATGGAAGTCTTCAGAATATTATTGACTGTATTCAGAATATTATTATTATAAAAACTGGGTCTTGGCCAGGCATGGTGGCTCACGCCTGTAATTCCAGCACTTTGGGAGGCCAAGGTGGGCGGATCACGAGGTCAAGAGATTGAGACCATCCTGGCAAACATGGTGAAAACCCTGTCTCCACCAAAAATACAAAAATTAGCTGGGCGTGGTGATGTGTGTCTGTAGTCCCAGCTACTCAGGAGGCTAAGGCAGGAGAATCAGTTGAACCCTGGAGGCGGGGGTTGCAGTGAACTGAAATAGTGCCACTGCACTCCAGCCTGGTGACAGAGCAAGACTTCATCAAAAACAAAAAAACAAAAAACAAAAACAAAAACAAAAACTGGTCTTATATTTTCCTAAATTACATATTCATTCTCTATTTCTTATATGATCTACACCATGGGGTTCCTGGCTCCTGATATCTCTAATCTCTTCGGAAATTATGTTAGAGTTATTTCATCAAAAACCTACTTGATTAATATCTCCTGACTTTAAAGTCTTCAATGGTTCCTCTGAGCCTTAATGCCCTCATAAACTGACCCCAGTCTCTTTCTTACAGCCCTCCTTGCCTCTTATTCCTGCTTGTCCCTGTCAAACCACCATGGTATCTATGCTTGAGTCAAATGTATCTGCTCACTATTCTCTGAGCAAGTTCAACCACCTCCCCACCCCGACTTTTAAAGGTTTCACATATTTTCTCATCCTTGAAATATTTGTTATCTCTTCCCACATACTGAACAAATACATTTCAAGTGTTTGGTGACACTTTCCCTGACTACTCTTCCAGAGTTAGATATGTCTTTATTGATGCCCCTTTAATATTGTGTAGATGTATAACTTTTGCCACATTAAATTATAATGATTTGTTTTCTTCCTTGTATCTTTCTCTAGATTGCAAGTTCCCTGAGAAAACTGCAGATTATTTTTCTTTATAACTGCTGTGCTCAACACACCGCCTAGTTGTTTTTGAGAACAGGAAAAACACAGCTGGGAATAGATTGAAATACAAGTCACATGTTTTCCACCAAGGCAACGATAAAGCCTGGTTAAAAAAAAAATCAATGCCATTGACTTCCCCAGTTAAAATTGTCATATGGTATTACATTCTTGTTACATGGGCAAAATATGATTATTTGAGAAATTCATAATTTCAAAAGGCAATTTGAATTATTCAGAAAAAAGTTAATGAAAGAATTCATATGTAACGCACTCTCACATTTTAAAGTTCACACTTAGATATGATTTATAGAACTTACTCATGATACACCTCAGTCTTGTTTTGTTTTCATTTTGTCTAAAACAATTTTCCTAGGCAAATCTGCCTCCACAGCAAGCTAGAGACATATATCACAATTTGTTGAGATAGTCCTGCTTCCTACATGCTTTTCTAGTATAAATTATTAACAATATCCCCTTTCAATATCAAAAGTATTCTGGTTTGGACAATAATTATGCAGTTTCTCTAATTAGAGAGAACATTAGTGGTTTAAATAAAGTGTCACACAGACCTTTGAAGGACAACACTTTAGAAAGGCTGAATAACCACCATCGATTACTTTGTATCTGTTGAAGATGTTTACTGGCTTTGAAAAGAATCTGAATAGTAGAGTGAGGGAAATTTACAGTTTAGATGCCACTTACATAGTGGAAATGATGAACAATTTGACACCTGTGTCACTGCCTTTTTCAAATTTAATCCTTTATAGCCTGAAGTGAGTCTTTTTTCTCGCTAATGAAAGCTTTTTAGTGTTCTAATAATAAACCTAAATAAGCTTGTATGTCACCCGCACACATATATTAGGAGGTGAAAAGAGTTTAGCCCAGTATTCTGTTAGAGGGATACAGTCCACCACTGACTATGAAACTAACTATCCTCAGTTTGATAATTAGACAAAATAATTCAAAGAACTCACTGACAGCTACTATACCCATATATATGCTTAATTAAAGGAAAAGGTTATAAATTAAAATTAGACAAAGGAGGATGAAGTACATAGGGTGAAATCTGAGAAAGTACCTGTTACTTTCCCAGCTTCAATGTATGACAGTATGCAAGAGGTATGGCCAAGCTCCCACAGGTTTGAGGTTCAGAGATTGATTGATTGATTAATTGATTGGTTGATTTCTTCTTAGGGACAGGTCTTGCCATGTTGCCCAGGCTGGACCCAATCTCCTGTGCTCAAGAGATCATCCCACCTTAGCATCTGAAGTAGTTGAGACTACAGGTGCATGCCATCGTACCCTGCGAGGCTCAAAGTTTTCACTGGGGCCTCATTATATAGGCATAATTGATAAATGTCTACATGGTTGATTTAATCTCTAGGTTTACTAGTACCCCATGATTCAATGTCTGTACCTTAAATCACACCATTGGTCTTTCTGATATGGTCAGTCCCCATGGTAAATCAGTGTTAATATCTGTCTAGTCCAAACCACCAAGGGAAATAAATACCTCCCAGGAGCGATGAGAAAAGGCTAGACCTCTTCCTGGCCCAAGTTAAATTCTTTTTTGTTTGTTTGTTTTAATAGCTTTTGTTTTTATCATTTTTTATTTTTTTATTTGTTATTATACTTTAAGTTTTAGGGTACCTGTGCGCAATGTGCAAGTTTGTTACATATGTATACATGTGTCATATTCGTTTGCTGCACCCATTAACTTGTCATTTACATTAGGTATACTTCATAATGCTATCCCTCCCCTCTCCCCCCACCCCACAACAGGAGCTGGTGTGTGATGTTCCCCTTCCTGTGTCCAAGTGTTCTCGTTGTTCAATTCCCACCTATGAATGAGAACATGCAATGTTTGGTTTTTTGTCCCTGTGATAGTTTGCTGAGAATGATGGTTTCCAGCTGCATCCATGTCCCTGCAAAGGACATGAACTCATCATTTTTTATGGCTGCATAGTATTCCATGGTGTATATGTGCCACATTTTCTTAATCCAGTCTATCATTGTTGGACATTTGGGTTGGTCCGAAGTCTTTGCTATTGTGAATAGTGCCACAATAAGCATACGTGTCATGTGTCTTTATAGCAGCATGATTTATAATTCTTTGGGTATATACCTAGTAATGGGATGGCTGGGTCAAATGGTATTTCTAGTTCTAGATCCTTGAGGAATCGCCACACTGACTTCCACAATGGTTGAACTAGTTTACAGTCCCACCAACAGTGTAAAAGTGTTCCTATTTCTCCACATCCTCTCCAGCACCTGTTGTTCCCTGACTTTTTAATGATCGCGATTCTAACTGGTGTGAGATGTTATCTCATTGTGGTTTTGATTTGCATTTTGCTGATGGCCAGTGTTGATGAGCATTTTTTCATGTGTCTGTTGGCTGCATAAATGTCTTCTTTTGAGAATTGTCTGTTCATATCCTTTGCCCACTTGTTGATGGGATTGTTTGCTTTTTTTCTTGTAAATTTGTTTGAGTTCATTGTAGATTCTGGATATTAGCCCTTTGTCAGATGAGTAGATTGCAAAAATTTTCTCCCATTCAGTAGGTTGCCTGTTCACTCTGATGGTAGTTTCTTTTGCTGTGCAGAAGTTCTTTAGTTTAATTAGATCCTATTTGTCAATTTTGTCTTTTGTTGCCATTGCTTTTGGTGTTTTAGACATGAAGTCCTTGCCCATGCCTGTGTCCTGAATGGTATTGCCTAAGTTTTCTTCTAGGGTTTTTATGGTTTTAGGTCTAACAGTTAAGTCTTTAATCCATCCTGAATTAATTTTTGTATAAGGTGTAAGGAAGGGATCCAGTTTCAGCTTTCTCCATATGGCTAGCCAGTTTTCCCAGAACCATTTATTAAATAGGGAATCGTTTCCCCATTTCTTGTTTTTGTCAGGTTTGTCAAAGATCAGATGGTTGTAGATGTGTGGTATTATTTCTGAGGGCTCTGTTCTATTCCATTGGTCTACATCTCTGTTTTGGTACCAGATAGGAAGAATCAATATCGTGAAAATGGCTATACTGCCCAAGGTAATTTATAGATTCAATGCCATCCCCATCAAGCTACCAATGACTTTCTTCACAGAATTGGAAAAAACTACTTTAAAGTTCATATGGAACCATAAAGGATCCCGCATCGCCAAGACAATCCTAAGCCAAAAGAACAAAGCTGGAGGCATCATGCTACCTGACTTCAAACTATACTACAAGGCTACAGGCCCAAGTTAAATTCTTTACTACACAAAAAGCTCTTGTATTTGGATATTATTAAAAGATACCACACTGACTACAGATTCGGCAGTATACCAAAGCCATAAATTCAGCACCCAAACTGTGAAAATTTTAAACTAATAATAATCAAAATTTTCTATCACATGTAGACAGTTAAGTAAATGAAATTAGTAGTGAAGCAATACTATAATCGAAGTTCCTCTGGAAATTGTTTTTAAAATTCAATTTCTTTACAAGCAAAACCTTTGTAGGCACAAACATCAGTCAAATTAAAATCTAGGTTTGGCAGTTCACTCAAGGCGGTCAATTTCAAAATGTCTTTTTAAAAAAGATGCATAGGCCTGTTTTCCTTTTATTATTGCAACTAACTGATCTGAAAAAACTTATAGTTACATTATCACTTCTAACCTGACTGATATAAAATAGAAGTTTGGTCATGAAAGTAAATTATAATCCTTGGGGTTTAAAAAGGAGGAAGAAAAAGAAATGGGGGAACATCAGTATGCCAAGTGGTAATCATCATCCCCCAAATCATTTCCATGTGTCTGTGAAAGCATTTGTCACTCTGTCCCTCTGTAGAGTACCTGTTAACCTAGTTGTCTCCTCAGTCGCCCTTCTCCTTCCAACTTCTTGAGTGAATCTTGCCTAATGAAATTACTGAAGTCAACCACATATTTATTAAATGAACAGTTAAATGAATGAGAGATTACTTTTCATTCAAATGGGAGACCTGGATTACTTGGTGTGGTAGACAGGGTAATTGTTCCCCACAGATGTCTATGTCTTAATCTTCTAAATTTGGGAATATGTTACCTTACATGGCAAGAGGGACTTTGAAGATGTAATTAGATTAAGAACCTTATGATTGGGAGATTTTTTTCTGGATTATTTGGTTAGGCTCATTCTCATCAAAATATGAAAAAGAGAGGCAGGAGGTCTGAACCAGAGAACAAGATGTGACCATAGAAACAGAGATAAGAGAGGGAAAGTTAGTGCAGTTGATGATGCTATCCTCCTGACATTGGAGAAATGTCTTATTTTAAGCCACAAGTTTCTAGTAATTTGTTATAGCTTCAATAGGAAATTAATACGTTTGGGATGTACTGCTGTTCATCTACCTTTCTAATACCTTCTCACAGAGCCTGAATGGAAAAACTGTTGTTTACAGTCATTTCTGTTAAACACTGATCTTCTTATCGGGTCATAGGAAAAAAATGACACTATTCAATTTTCTATTATTTAATTATAGCCAGACTACAAAAGAGGATAGTTATTTACCATCCATTCATTTAAATAATAGCTATACACTTCATCTCAAGTTCCAGGCATTCTGCTCAAATTTAGAGTTAACCCAAACAATCATAATGTGTACTCCTCATAGAGCACATATGATTTTCAATTAAAATTTAAAATGGTTCAGAATATTAGTAGAATACATTTTTGTTTGTGAAAATCAAAGTTTAAATGGAGACCATTCTTACTGGCCAACATTTTGAGTGACTGACACCTATTGAACAGATACTGAACAAGTAAACATGTAGGCGAATATATAGCTTTATATCTTGATGGGACATAGGCATATGCATAGACAGATGCTAGCTACCTAGCTATCTCGCTAGGTATAAATTATATGACTAGGGATTTGGCTTAGAAATGCAATCCTATACTCCTTTAAAGAAAGGACATTCTATCTGAAACCTGAAACTTGAAGAATGAGTCAAGTCAGTTCTATAAAGATTGAAAGGCATGGCATGTTATGCAGGAGGAGCAGCAAATAAATAGTTCCCTGTTCTGGGAAAAACTTGGTACATAGGAATTGCAGAAAGAATAACCATGTGTCTTAATGTTCCCATATATGAATTATTTCCAGGAAATTTCTTGAGAAACTTAAATGTTTTTCTTAATTTTAGTTCTAGGAACAATCAGGAAATTAAAAAATTAAGAAAAATTTTCATAACTTAATAGAAAATACTGACATGCAAGTGGAAGAATTAAGATCTATATTTCGGGGAAACAGGTTTATAGCAGTAAAAAAGAAATGCCACAATCAAATATCATGCTTAGTTTTAGCTGTTGTCACTTATAATGTTTGTTTTTGGTTTTTGGCCACATCTACTGCTAATGGTGGAATATTCTTGTAAATATAATCTATATAAAGAAGTTAATTTACATACTTTATACAAATCTTATGAGTGGTGTTCCATGACATGTCAAGTTTGGAAGTAAAATAAATCCTTAATCTGGCAATTTTGTAAGTGATTCTGTGCATTCTTATTTACATTACTAGGAGATCCAAAGGTTGTATTATTTGAATGCTACCCTGTAATGTTCCCTGATGTTTTCCAGTGTTGGAATATTTAGCATAGTTTATAGTTCTTTAGAAATGCTACAAAACTTAATACTATCTGTTTATTAAGTATATATTGTTTCTATAATAATGGCTGGAAAGTATAAAATATTAGATACTCATATATGATTTAAGGGATTCCTGAGTTTTCCTGAGAATTCTGATTTCTTATTCATAAAATCTGAAGAATTTAGAAAGACTAGGATAGAGGTAGCTGAATTAGGTAACGCAGAAATAAGCAGATATCCAAATATATGGAGCCTCAAATATATTAATTTTATTAAAAGTTGTTATTATCTAAAATGAAATGGGAAAAATTGTCAAATTTTAAATAGAGGTATACAGGATCAATATATTTTTTAAATGATCACTGGTTTCTGTACAAAAATGGATGAAAGGGTGCAACAGTTTAAATAGGAAAAAAAAAAAAAAACACTTAGAAGACCTTTTAAGAGACGGTGGCAGTGGAAACAGTGAGAAATGGCCAGATCTGCAGTGTATTTAGAGGTAGAACAAAAAATATTTAGTGAGGTATCACGACTGTACAAAGGGTGGCAATTAATCTCAGCAAAGAAAATATTGTGCACTTAGGAACAGAGGAGACAATGAGCTGTGGTAAATTAATTTTAAAATTCTTAACCAAATAGTTCACTGTAGTATTTAATTTCTGTAGTACAAAGAACATATATTTATTTACATTCATTTAGTATGCATTTATGAAACACCTTTTAAGTGACGAGCCCTCTGCTAGTTGCTAAAAATTCCAGCATAGATGATACCATTCTTTCCTGAAACAAGATGTATCAACCCCTGCACCATGACATTTTGGGCTGTATAATTCTTTGTAGTGGGGCTGTCCGTGCATCGTAGTTTGTTTAGAAGAGTCCCTGGTTTCTATTATGTAATGCCACTAGCACCCCATTTTCAGCTTTGATAATTAAACATTAAACATTGCTAAACTGCCCTAAATCAAACCACTAAGAGAAAGCATTAGAATAAACAAATCAATAAAATACTATAACTTGATAATAGTAACTTAGGAAGCCTGCCATGAAAGTATAGCTTAGTCAAATTGGTAGCAAGCATCACAGAGAACTCAAACATCTGGTGAGGGAAGGGGACATGGTGACAGAGAAATGAGACTGGATCAGTAAGCCAAGACAGAGTGTTTAAGTGGCTTGTTAAGTTCAGAAATTTGGACTTTGTTGTGACAGCAGTAAGGTGTCATTGAGGGATTCCAAGAAAGAAAGTATACGATCAGATTTGTGTTCTAGAAAGCAAAACTAAGAGTGAAAGCATCAGCTGATAAAACAGAGAAGGCAAGGTGATTATTTAGAGGATGTTAAAGGGAGAGACTTGACCCCATTAAACTAAAGGTAGTGTATGTGGAGATGGTGTAATATGGGCAAATATAAGACAGTCATGTCTGGTGGAATACACAAGATTTGGTGACGTAGGCATGATGGAGGAGTGACAATAAGTTGAGGTTTCTGGGAAGGATTACTAATGATTGGTGGTGTGTCATCCACTTCCTTTTTAAAGAGAGAGAAATGATATGCTCCAAAATATACATACATACACATGTATAAGTACAAGCATTGAACAAGGATAATCAAGAAACTTTGATAGCCAAAATTTTGTTTGAATTATTTTTATAATCGTGTTTCAGTTGTAGCTTTAAAAACAGAGTTTAATTTTAACTAAGTCCTCAAGATTATTCTCTATACTAGTGATAGTCAAATTTTAATTAAACCAAATTGTATCATTTAATGTGAAGTGATGCTGCTGACATACTTCTAGCATCTTCTCACTTTCAAAAACCATACTTTTACTTAGTCACTAATCAAAGTGGCATTAGTGAGGAATTCTTGGCTTACAATGTCATTATTCCCACATTCTGCATCATGCTGAGGAATACTAAAAGATGGTAACCTTTTGGCTCTTCATTTTGTGAATTTTGTATTATTAATTATAGACAATTTTGATTCTCAGATTACTATAGTTTTTCCTACCCTGACAAGCCAAGGAACTTATTATAAAAAGGCCAGAAATATGTAAAACATGAAATAGATTTAAAACACAACATGTTCTCTGGTGAGAGCCTGCATATATCATTTTTGTTAAAATGCTTAATAAATGAAGATTTTGTTTTCCTTTTTTTTTTTTAAGCCAGCTTGCTGATGGATGACAAAGATAAGGCATCTTTCCTAAATAGCAAACACCCATGTGTCTGGTAGAAGCTCTGTATGTTACAGAAAATAGTATACAGACACAATTCTAACTTTCATAGCTATGAATTCCATGTGTGCATGCATGTGTGAGAGAGACATGCACATACACACACAGAGAGAGAGAGAGAGAGAGAATATCTGTTGCAGTATAATCACTCTGAAAGAAAAATTATGGTAGTATTTTCTCTTATGAATTTAATGAATGGGTAGGTTTTGTTGTGAGGTATAGCGGGATGTCATGGAAAGATTTCAGAATAAGATAGAATAAAATAATAATATGTTAAGTGGGACAGAGTACACATTAGGTTATAACGTCTTGAGATGTTTCATATAAATATGTTTTAGCATTGAAAAATACATTCTGCATCCTTTTAATTCTTTATTATAAGTAGGAAAATATGATATGTTTACTTCAATTAAGAGCTTCAATCTCTCTATTTTTAATCATTGAATTTTAAATATTCTCATGATAGATAATACCTAGATTCCTATTTTCTTAGCAGGATAGAAATTTTATGAGAAAACCTTACTTTGTGTGATACTGTCTTTCTCATTGCAGAATATTTAGCACCTATGAACCAAACATTAAACTCTTCTAGTATTTACCCTTCGCATTTGAAACTCAAAAGTAGTCTCACATATTTCTAAGCTTCCCCCAGTGGAACAGGATCACCCAAACAGATTAAGGTTTACTGATTCCTGTGAATTGTGTTTAACTATATTTTTGGTCTAAAACAAATTTTCAGTAGTCAAAATGATAGATGAACCATATTTTAAATTCCCTGATCATCTAAACTTTTATGGTTTCCACAGAACATATATATTTTTTCTACACAAATTTTTTTTCCTTTTTTAAATTACTAGTCTGATACATTGTCCTGAATTTTGGAGCAAAATGCAATTATTTTTATTATTGGGTATATTATGTTGGTTGGATACAGAAAAAAATAAAGATTTACGTCTGGCATTTAAAAATAAAGAATTTTTTCTGTATAAAATTTAAAATGTTTGAAATTGTTTACCTCTAACTTATTCAAAGCATATTCAAATAACTCTTCCTAGAGAACTTTCAACCATATTAACATAATAAAGATAATTTAGTTGCATTTTTTACAAAAAATTACTTATACTGATTTGTTCATCTTAGAAATGGTGAAAATTGGATAAGCACAGAAGTATACATTTTAAAGCATATTATTGTTAATTTATATCTGTATCATAAGAAATTACTGACCCATTTAAAAACTCTTCAACCAAACTGCATGAATCTATGATAGCCTACATAGAAATTAATAGAAACCTTAGTTCTGTGATTGTTTCTTGTATAGATGCTAAACAGGGTGAAAAGCCTGGAATGACCATTGTATTTTCAGCAGGTCAAAAAGCGTATTTTTCTTATAAATTCAAATTTTCTCTGCCCTGTAGTGGGATATGTTAGTAGTGTTCAATATATGAATATTTGCAAATGGCAAATTTATGTCATACGGGTACCTCTCTTCCAGATTTTGCTTTGTCAGAATTTCATTCCTATGAATTTATAAATATTCATAAATTGTTAATACTATCCATTAGTGGAACTAACTATTGAAAAAATTACAAGTATTTTTATATTGTAAGCAAAATGAGAGTCCAAATAAGTTTTGCATATGTTAGCAATCTTTCTAGTATAAATTACTCTTCCTGCTGTATCCAATTGCAAGGATTGAGAATCTGAAATTTGATGAGTAATGGCAATGCAAAACACACACACACACATACACAATGTGTAAGATCTCTAAAATGAGAAAAGGTTTTTATTCTCTTAAGTGACATTCTTTGTCTACTTCGTAGATGTAGGAAAAACTAAAATACCAAAAAAGGTGAACTTGAGGGCTGGGCGCAGTGGCTCAAACCTGTAATCCCAGCACTTTGGGAGGCTGATGTGGGTGGATCACCCAAGGTCGGGAGTTTGAGACCAGCCTGACAACATGGAAAAACCCCAAAATTAGCCTGGCATGATGGCACATGCCTGTAATCCCAGCTACTTGGGAGGCTGAGGCAGGAGAACCGCTTCAACATGGGAGACGGAGGTTGCTGTGAGCCAAGTTTGCACCATTGCATTCTAGCCTAGGCAACGAGAGCAAAACACAGTCTAAAAAAAAAAAAAAAAAACAAGGTGAACTTGATTGATTCTGGCTGCAGAAGCCCATTTAAACTATAGTGGGGAACATAATGAATGCTGGCAGGTGGCCATCAGGATCCTGCCTGCTATGTCATTTGGGTTATACAGACCCAAATTCTGCCATATTTTCTAAACTATTAAGAAAAGGTAGGCATTTAGATTTAGATTAGGCATAGCCATGTTTAAAAAATAAACTCAATTTCACAGTGGTTTGAAAAACTAGCTCATTTTTCTTTCTCTCAGTAAAGCTAGAGAATCCAGGGATGCACATGGTTATTAGTGACCTAGTTCCTTTTGTCTTTTGAGTTTAGCATTTTAGTATTTGGTGTCCATTTTTAAGGTCTTCTTATTTTCTATTGTGTAACTGGAGCTCTGGCTGGAATAATATTATTCCAAGCATCAAAATGAAGAATGTTGAGAGAAGAAAATGAGCATTGCCAGTAGTTTGTACTTTTTAGGAACTTTTCTGGGAATCTAAGTCATCAGCATTTACCTCCTCTGGTGACTGTTAGCTGAGAAATATGCTGTTTTTCTGGACCTGTTACCTCCAGAACATAGCTGTGGATCTACATTTAAGGAGATTTGTAGAGCGATGAATGAAATTCATGTTATTTCATCTGTTTGTCTGCTTTAGCCTTGTGTTTCAATGATCCTATAAGCTCTAATGCTTAATGAACACAATCCTTTTGACCAAGGGCGTGGTTTTGTTTGTACCTCCTTGCCATTTTATCTGGAAGCCTCCTGGTTTTCTAGTCAAATGCTAATGTTAATTCTGGCCTCTGACTTTTCCTTGTATTCTCCTTTTATTCCTAAAAGACTATTTGACTGCACCCTAACACTACTCTATATCACAGCAGAACAAGTGCTGTACTAAAAAAGCATTTTCTCGTCCACACACAAGGAGATACTAATTCTGGCTTTCATAATTATCATACTAAATTTTAAAATGATAATTTCAAATTAGGCATATCTAATGGTAAGCACTTTCTTCCTCTATTATCCCTTTATGAAGGCTGGAATATATACATTTTTCTTTATTTGCTTTCCAAAACATGAAATCCTTACTTTTCATATTTTAGAATGTCCATAAAATGTTGTATGAAGAAATGGTGTCACATGCTTCTGTAGGTTATGTGAAGAATGCAAAGTGTTAATTCAAAACTGGCTGTAGAAGCCTATTTAGAACTGTGCTGTTATAAATTCTAATAACAATGATCCTACTACATTCTAAGAAAAAGACATTAGCTTCTATATGCCTACAATCTCCAATAGCCTTTGATCTTTCCTAAATGACTAATAGAAAGCACATTGTCAACCCAGGCAGAAACAGATTTATATCCTTAATTTTAACTTTTTTAGAACTCTATCATATGGGTTTGGATTCATTCACCTCAAGATACTTCAAAAAATTAACATTTTAAATTAATACCTCCTGTTTCTCCTTCTTCACTTCCCTACTGACTCACTCTCCACTCTTAACCTTGCCTACTATCTCTGTAAACTATTGGAAAATAATAAATTTAAAGTTGGTGAAATTTAGTGGCTCATGAAAATAAAAATAGAGAAATCCAATTTTGGTGTGTTCTTTAAAAATTGAGGAATTTGAATCAGCCCCAAACTAAGCTCTAGACTAAGGCAGCTGTCATTTTCTGGTGTCAGTTGTCCCTCACATGCCAGATATACCCGAGCTTAGTAGAACTGCTTATGCTGTTTAATTTATGATCCCATGCACTGGCCGATCAACATACCATCTCATCAAAGTATTATGCTTCCATAAGCTCAGCTACTACGTTTTATGAACTCAATGTATAAGTTCCTCATAATTTCTTTAATGTGCCTCAACAAATTATAAGAGTAAACAAAAATAAAGATAATCTGGTATTTATTGAAGAACAAGTTGCGTTGTGTTATAAAATAGGTGCCTGTTTTCATCTACTGTGGGCAGTGAATTTTACACTGGATTAAATCAAGGTTGATCCTAAGTAGCTGTGTTAAATAAGGTTAATGTGAACTCTGAAGAAGTGTGTCTGCTATACCTGAATAAATACAAATTGCCTACTCTGGGTATGTGAAGGCAAAAACTAAACATGCACCTACAATTTAATAGTACACCTGTGCAGTGCAAGTCAAAATAGTAGACTCTTTGGAAGATGTAAAAGTGCTTAATATATTTCCAGGGTCATTTAGATCATGAAAATATGGAGCCATAGTGAGACATTGTTAACAGAGCAATGATTTGTGCATAAATTAGAATTCTTTATACAACCATTCAGATATATCAGGATAATTTTAGACATATAAGCACAGACAGAAACAAACTGAATTTAAGAAGTTGTGAGGCTTTTATTTATTTCGTGTAAAGGATCTGACCACAGACCTGAATTATTTGGAGGTGACTGGCTTTCTCTTCAGATTTGTTAGTTACTAGTAGAACATTTTGACACTAATCAAATAGCACTTATTGGTTGAATTCACACAGAGAGAGCACTCCACTCAATTTGCAGAGTTCAAAGCAAATGGCCCAAACATTTATAAAGTCTTCAGGCCAAAAAGGACTAAGGCAATAATATCTCAGATAAAAATCTTTTATTTTATTTTACTTTCTAAATTTTAGGTCCATGGGGAGTCATTTCTTTCCTCTCTGAATGTACTCTTTCTGAACAGCTACTTCTGTTTTATCTGTTGAACAAAAGCTTCTCTTCCCTATTAGAATTTTATCAAAGGCTCTATAAAGGAAAAGTGAAGTGAGTAATACTTTGCATATGCTTCCTAGGTTTAAGTCTGTAGTTTGTTCTACTCCATTTTCTATATTAAAATATTGCTGTTTCAACTTATGCTCCTACTTATGATTGCATTTATATTTTATATAGACAGTCTTCAATGCATAACCTTATTCTTTACTTTGTGATCTAGCTCCTTGGCCACCTACTGTAAAAGATAAAGGGAACATTTTTACATGTTTATGTTAGTTCTTTCATTGATAATTGAAAAGTTCTAAGTAACAGAAAAGAAATAAAGCAAGCTCTATTCCAAGCATCTGGTCATCTTATGGGTCACGAACACAAGACTTCAATGATCCTTATGTTTACTGGAGAAAAAAATAAGAATAAAAATTTATAGCATTAGTGAGTACAATGAGAAATTCACTATATTTTCTGCCAATTTCTGTAAATTGTGAATTTTTGGGAAAATTGGTATTTCTGCATTTATTTTTAAGCAAGTATTTACTGAATGCATATAGACCATGAGGTGAGTTAGGCAGAAAAGATACAAAATCCTGGAGAAACAGATTAGTCCATTAAAGTCTCAATCCTCCTCGGATATAAAATTCCAATTTTGCATAATGTTTGTGAATATTAAGAATTATAGTGTCAGCTGGGCGCGGTGGCTCATGCCTGTAATCCCAGCACTTTGGGAGGCCAAGGTGGGCGGATCATGAGGTCAGGAGATTGAGACCATCCTGGCCAACATGGTGAAACTCCGTCTCTACTAAAATACAAAAAAATTGGCAGGGCGTGGTGGCACGCACCTGAAGTCCCAGCTACTGGGGAGGCTGAGGCAGAGGAATCCCTTGAACCTGGGAGGCAGAGGTTGTAGTGAACCGAAATTGCACCACTACACTCCAGCCTGGCAACAGAGCAAGACTCCGTCTAAAGAAAAAGATAATAATAATAATTATAGTGTCTATAAGCCTTTGATAAATAACATGCACTCAAATGATAGCTATTATTAGGGTAACTGCTACTGACTTTGACTTTGTGTGTGTGTGAGGGGTGTTACTGTGTTTTCCTGCCTTCCATAAGCTATTTTCTTATTACTGGTTGACTGTAAAAATGATTTAATGAATCATATTTATTGAGAGGCTTCTGAGTACTAGTTACTAAGAGAACAACCATAAAAATATAGGACACTTTTTATCCTTAAGGTATTCACTATTTCTTGTGGAAGATATCCAAATGAACAGAAAATAATAAAACTGTGACAAATGCTGTGATATAAGAATATGCAAAATATTTTGGTTAACTAAGAAGATGTAAGTATACTATTCTGGGGCATTTCAGAGATCGCTGTTAGGGAGGATAAAGTCTAAACTGGGTACTCAAGAATGAGGGGCAGTTTGTTGGCAAAAGAAGGGTGAAAAATATAAATGCATATTCTAAGGAAAGGTAGCACTTTGTATTAAAAAATGATCTAGATTAAGTGAGATTAGCTAGATTTCTCAGATTCATTGCAACCACAATTAGGTAGATATTGGCAAGAAATGCACATCCTTTGGCAAGGAATAAGCACAGGAACACTCAAGACCTAAGAGTTTTTTTAAAAACGAAAAAGTGTTTGAGATTCAGAGAAAATAGTACAGAAATACCAAAGATAAAAAGGATACATTATTATTTAAAGAGAAAAAAGTGTAAGAATGTCTTGCATACAACTAACTATATATTAACAAAGCACTTGCCTTCAGTTTAGCAGCCTATTGCCATAGCTTTGAGTGTTCCCATTATTTTCCTATATTAGTTATATTTCACATATAAATAAATCTTCACTTTTTTGATTATATATTTTGGCAATATCCTCTTACCTCTTAGGTAATAAGGCTTTTGCAGTTTTTTGGTATATTTTAAGTGTCTTTAAAATTTGTTTTATGTTTAATCATTTTACTACAGTTGATGGTTATTCTCAGAATATCTGTACTTGCCTTTGCAAACATATTAAAATGACAGACCTGCTAGAAATGCTACATTTTCTTAACCCTTTTATTGTTCTCATGTCTGATGCTCTAAAATGTCACTATTTTCCATTTTATCTAATCTTTCACTTATGCAGGTTGTGACTATTATAATTTATTTAAATATAGACATTTTAAAATTAAACTATTTAAGCTATCTTTATTTTGATCATTTACAGAGAGGATGCATCTTTCTATATTTGGAATCAATTTTAGGACTGAAAGATAATTGGCAATGATTTCCAATGAATGTTCTAAAGAAAGAACATATTTTGTTTAATAGATTGTCTTTCCACTGTTTACTATTTTAAGAAGACAATTAATAAGGAGTTCCACCTATTTTAACAAGTGTTCTTTTTTTTTTTTTTTTTCTGAAGGTAAATGGCTATTTGGTTGTTGATTTCGGTAATTTAATTCTTTCCATGACAGGTTTTTCAAGTTAGGCTAGCTAGTTTTAGCAATAATCTTCTAAATAATTTGACATGCACATTTTGCATAATTTTGTCATGTTTTCCTAATTCTAATATTAACATTTTCTATTTTAATTCATATAACAATATGATGAAATAGATATATATGACTAATATTACTAATAATATTGTATTTCCAAGCAAAAATTGATTAAAAGAATATAAAGAAGGAAGAGAGGAAGCAGAAAGAAATGCTCAGAGAATCTGATTCCAATGTTCTTCCTGATTCCAGGTCTTGGTTTTATTTCGATTCTGAGCTCTAAACTATTGCTTCAATTTCATGGGCAAATTGGAATTTAATTTTTTTTAATTTTAAGTAATCTGGATTTAGATCTTTCAAATCGCCTTTCCAGAGAAAATCTGTGTCTCTTTTCTGGAACGATTATGAACATGCACAACTGGTTATGAATGGTATAGAGACAGTAGACT
Organism: Homo sapiens; assembly: GCF_000001405.40. NCBI lineage: Eukaryota > Metazoa > Chordata > Mammalia > Primates > Hominidae > Homo > Homo sapiens. The sequence goes on along the minus strand of NC_000001.11, from coordinate 190,345,187 downwards.
TATTGAGGTCATTTTCAGACCAATGAGTCTCAATGTTTACAACTTTTACAGTAGATCTGATATTAAAGGTGTGCATACATGAACAAGGACCCTGACTAAACTACTTGGCAGGTTAATGGATTTAATAAAATGTTCTGAAATTTATACCATGACTTTAAAATTTATTAATCATTTGTGACAGTTTTTTTGACAATGTACGTAATGCATATTCAATACAATTATATTAAAGCCAATTATATAGTTCTCACAGTGCTCACTACTTCTGCTTTAAGCGAGTGTTCATCATTCTGTAGTAATAATCTCCTCTGAATGTCTATTCCCTAAGGTCGTTGATGGCATATAGGTTAAAATAATGCTAAATTGTTTAAATATTTGAACTTTATACTCTGACTAGCAATAATTTAATACTGTGTCTACCACTATCATTATTTAGCTAGATTATTTATTATGTTAAACTTTTCAACTACCTCCTAGCTAAGAGATTCAAACATGACTGATTATCAGTGAACACTTGATATTATGCACATTCTTTCCTTTGTGGTCTGATTCTTGTCAGATTTTTCAAGATGAATGGAAGAAGAAACCATGATTATCAGAAAAAGTGTTCTCTAAGAAAGTCATGATGATGACATTAATATTTAGTAATGATTCAGAGCTATACTGAGTAGAAAATTGTGAACTGAAAATAGTAATAGACAATCAAATCTTTGCTACTTATGTTTGCACTGAAAAGTTTTGAGAGGGTACTGTTGTTGATGGCCAATTCAGCAATCATAGTTGAAGTACAGCTCTGTAGCGTCAAACTGCCTAGGCAATAATCAAGTTTAGTACTTTCTAACTATTTGACCTTAGAGAATTTACTCAGCCTCTCTCTATCACTTTACTGAGCTCGAAATTGAAAGTATTGAAGTAACAGACTCAAAGGGGAATGAAATTAATGTATGTTAAACAATTGGCACAGTTCCTAGCATATAAAGGTCTCAAAAAATTTAGTTACTATCTAATGATATTTCAACAAACAGCCTTATTTTTTATATTAGTAATAGAAGAAGATTTTTTTCTACTGAAATTGAAGGACAATATATTTTATCTTGGTGAATAAACATAGTTCGTTTTATCACATATATGTTGTATAGCTCTCCACTGATATTTACTTTTTGTATATTTTTTCATGAGCACTAGGTCTACTCATGATATTGTGTATAATGCTGCTGTCTGCTTTGTCCTTATATTATGAGTACATTATGACAGTAAAATGCTTCAGAAGACAATTTTTTGGCACCATGGACTTAGGAACAAGTCTATAGGAATAAGCTTATGACTATAGATATTTATAAGAAGAAATCTACTTGCTGTTTGATATCTGAGTATGATACAGCCCATTTCATTTTTGAGTAAAAATAATTTTATTATGATTCTTCTGTCCTTATTAGTGTAATTGAAGTACATACAGAGTCGGTTTATTGATTGGTAGAAGACGTACTCTCCCTGGTCTATGTTACCAATTTTCTTTAATCTAACACCTCTAACAAATTAGAGATTAAATATAATAATACTAGTAATGGTTTTTATTATTGTAATGATAATAATAAAAGTAAAAATGATTGTTGAGCATGTACTATATACAAGGCATTCAAATATGCACTTAATTTATATGTCATCCTTCCTTTATAATACCTGTGCAGAATGCTTATTATTTTCCAATTTTACAGTTAAGTAAGCTGAGTTTTGGAAAGGATAACTGACTTTCCCAAGTAGCTCACCATAGTACATAGCAGAATCAAGATTCAAAATCAGGCTAATTTGGTTTTGTTTTCACTTTACTGTGCAAAGTTTCTGCATTTATTCATCTGTAGTCTTAACTTCTCTCTCAAACTCTAGCCTTAAACAGCCACCTTCTTCCAAGTATATCTGCCACAGAATTTTAAATATTTACCTCTTCAAACCTAACTCATTTTATTTTTCTGTCAACTTTTTAATTCACTCTTCCTCCGTTCCCAAAATCTAACCCTGGGTGGTTCTTCCTCATTATACATGCAGCAGTTTCCCTCAGTTTAATAAATCAATAATTGATACATCGCCTGTTCATCTTAACTTCAACCTGTACTTTGATTGATGGTAGATATTTTTCCTAGATACATTTAATGGCTATGCCGCAGTTCTGTTTAAAGAGCCACCATAGTTCTTCGAATCCTACTGAATGAAGTCTACCTCCTTAAACTTGTATTCAAAGCTTTTCATCACTTGATCTTAACACCGTTTTCTGTCTTTGGCCCATAAGAAAATTCTGTATTTATTCTAGGCCACAGCTAAATACAAACATTTATCATTTGAGATATACTTCATATGTTTAAACATCTATATTTATTCATTTTTTTCCTAAAAATGTACATGTAGTTTATATAACTGAGATCAGAAGTATTGTTACTTACAATAATCACATTTATTTCCCTTAGCTCAGCCCTTAGATTGACATCATAAAGGGAGGTGTCTGCAAGAGAATAATCCCAAAATTATGATTCTGGAAGTTTATATAGGCTACATGCTGCCCAGTTGCCAACAGTAGCCCTCATGAGAGAGGAAGAAAAATCTTACATCCCTAATATAAACATCTTACTTGGAAATATATATATATATATATGGGCAAGTGCCTACCTGAAATGAAATATTTGACTCCAGAGAGACATGTTTCAATACTCTTCGTAAAATAGCAAAAGACTCCAGGTTAAACACCAGTAGGATGTAAAAAGCAAATGGGCCTGTGGAAAAACATTCAGAATCTTTATAACCCATCATTTTTTTTTTTTTTTTTGCACAGAAAGCCCTAACCATGAATATGTAAGCAGAATAGTGGCCCCCCAAATGTCAACATTTTAATGCTTGAAAATGTGAATATGCTAGGTTACTTAGTAAACTTGGAGATGGAATTAAGGTTGCTAATTAAAAAATACTATATGATAGCCTCCTTAATGGGGAGACTATTCTGGATTATCCAGGTGACCCAGACATAATCACAGTAATTCTTATAAGTAGAAATGGGAGGCAGAAGACAGAGAACCAGATAAATGCAAGACTGAGAAAAAGACCCATCGCAACCCTGCTGACTTTGAAGTTATAGAAATGGGGTCACATGGCAAGGAATGTGGGGTACTCTAGAAACTGCAAAAAAAAAAACACAGAAATAGGGCCTCCACTATAGTGTCCAGGAAGAACTCAGTCCTGCTGACACTTTTTGATTGTAGCATAGTGACATCCATCAGACTTCTGACTTGCAAAACTTTAACATAATTGTATAATGTTTAAGCCACTAAATTTGTGATAATTTGTTAGGTAGAAACAGGAAACAAATACACTGCAGAAACATGAAAGTGTTAGTATTGCTTCCTGATAATGTCACACACATATATATGTCTGTGTCTGTGTATGTTTTTACATCTGTGTATTTGTCTTTGTGCATGTAATTTTTTTTCAACTATGGAACTTTGATATTTCTGCCTCTTTTTCCCATCTTATAGTCATCTCCAAATAATGTCATCTTGTAAAGCCAGTCAAAAGATAACTCTTTGAAATCTAGAGTAATGGTTTCCTTCTGTAAATATATGTGTGGTCTTTACTCATAGATCACGTTTTTTGTTGTTTTGTTCATTGGAAGTATTATGCTATATGTGCTTACAAAATGGGTGGCATTACTTTTACATTAAAAATAAAATTGCGTTTTGAAGTGCCTTTGTACCAGGGAACACACACTGAAAGAAAAGTACATTTTAAAGCTCTTGTGCAAATAAAACATGATAAATATAGAAGAAATATTAAACATCATATATTATCATGTATAATAAAAGTAGTTAGAGATTTTATACTAACAGAACATGAAAAACATTAAAAGTGATTATTTGTCCTACTACATTTTAATTTGTTTGCTGACATTACTGTAGGTGTGTTCACCATAGATTAGCATTGAAAAAGACAGAGGTGTTTGTTCAACTAACCAATGTGAAGAACAAAAATTACTAACTAGTGGCTGATTGCTTTTCTGTGAAGTGTGATGGTAATGGATCTTCTAAATTCCAGATGACTGGACCACGGATTTCATCTTAAACTACTGGAGCATAGCAGTTATCTCAAGCAGATAATTAGTGCTAGTTTTTCTCTTTGTCCCTAACATGATGAATATAAGTTCTACTCAACAGAGTATAAACTGCACAAGAGCAGAAAATTTTGTCTTTCCTGTTAAATGATACATCTTTAAGCCTTAAAAAGTATTTCTTGGAAAAAAAAAGAATGAGTATCAGACAAATTCATTGCTTATATCTGCTCACATAGAGTATTCTCTACATTAGAATCCAGGTACTCTTGATCCTCTTTTAGAGAATAAGGATTGAGCTGAGGACCAAGTACTTAGCATTGAGAAGTGTGGCTGACATTACATTACACAGATTTTTTTTTTTGACAGGGCCTATGAGATTTTGTTTTCTCATTCATAAGAAAGGTTCTATTCTAGTATGCATGTGGGGAAATAAATTAAGAACTTGTGTGGTGTTACTCATTATAGCCACTGAAGTTCCAGTAAATAGTCTTCTATTTTTCAAATGTGGGTGTCAGGAACACAGACTTGCTTGGTCAATCTGAAATATTAGAAAGATTGGGATAAATTGTTCATAATTCCAGAGATATTAAACTATCTCCTCTTGAGTCCAGGGACCCATAATAAACCCATGGAGAGATAAATCAATCAATAAGAAGGAAGAGTATATACTGAGCTAGACCCAAAAGGAGTGTCATAAAAGATTTTGTACTGCAGCAGAGTCTTCAAAGATTTGATTATGAGATGGAAAATATGAGCTTTCAGATGAGCAGCTCAAATAAAGACTTTTAAGCCTCACCCAGTTTGGCAAATGTCTTTTGGGGAGTGTCCTCCATTTTTCTATTCCTTGATTACTTTTCAAGTCAGTAAAACCACTACCTGTTTGCTGCCAGCAGATAACATAACCCAGAGGTCATTTGAGATTCCTATGATACATTGAATTGAAAGCTTTTCTTATCTAAGGATTTTATTTATCTTTGATTTCCCCACATTGTATAGGCTCAATATATAAAATATGAGTCAGTTTTAAGTGTGGCTATAGAAATAGCTATTTTTTCTTTCCTCTTTTTGATACTCAGTCATAGGTAGTAAGTGTAATCAATCAAATTTCACTAGTGCTGTCATAAGGCACCTGTCTAATAAATTGGACAAATGGACATAGAAGCCTAGTTGAAAATATATGCCTTTTGACAGAAGAATAAATCAACATCTTTTGCAATCTTAAATTACAATTCACAAATAAAATCAGGACAATGTCTATAAAGTATTGATCTACTGTGTGTCTCTGCTAAGTAAAAACTCACTTTTGAAGATAAGATATGAAGAACTCAAAACACACCCATACGATAACAGAAATAAATGCCTAAATGAATTATATTGTTAGAAAAAGGGTTTGGCTTGTTTTAATATTTTTTAAATAGTACGGGAGGCGGTTGGCAGGTGGGCAATACTAGAGGAGCCACATGAATAACATTGTATGAGCCACTCTGAATGAAATCATTGCCCAAGGAATATGTCCATAATTACTTCTGTTTGGACAGAAAAAGATCTCCTCTTCAGGGATTTTAATTTACTGGTTTAACGTAATTTATCTGCCTGACCTTCAATTACATTTAAGCATTAATTTCTGAGAAACCTACTTATTTTCTTCTAGGTCATTAACTCAGTGAACTGAGATGTGATTCTAGTGCAGCTTGTACAGATACTGTAGAAAGATGTGTAAGAGTTCTCAATGTTATCAGGGTTTCTACCAGCCACAAAGGGAAAAATCTGACTTTGTTTTTTTCTAGTCTAGGATTACAATCCTTTTTCAAAGATATTCTTGATTTTAATGAAGCTTTAGAGCTATCTGCAGTGCAGCTACTGCTTTGCAGAGTATCCTGTGAAGCTTTAAGAGCAACAGTGATAAAGTAGATTAACTATTTTTGTGAGGCTTTTGAAAGGCCACTGTCCTAGAGAGGGTAAGGCAAATTAACCTGTGCTGAGCATTCTTTCAATATTATGTGTGTGCTGCCTAGTTTCTGCACTGAAAGCTGAAGAAAAAAGATTGTTTTATTTATTTATTTATTTATTTATTTATTTATTTATTTATTTATTTTGCATTTGCAATCAGCTATACTCTGCCTGTGGGGGAAAAGCAAACTTTCTCATATATACTTGCTTACACCATCACACCTTGTAACTATGCATAAGAAACATTCCCTTTTACTGACAACAAGAATATATTGATAACTATGTTTTTAGTCCTTTGTGAAATGAAGGTCCTATATGATAGTTTTTCTTAATTAAAACTCCTTACCTTTTCTAAGTCTAAAATTACATTATCTTACATTAAAATGTGATCAACTGTCATTATTTCTACAGAGGTCTTGGATAGTATAAGATAGTACAGGTAAGCAAGACACAGCCCACTAGGAAAAAAAAATACTATTACAGCAATTTTATTATAAATTGATAGACAAAAACAGGCATGTGTCTAAAATTTGTTCAGTGTATTTCCGTTTAACATCACTTATGTTTTGATATGCATCATTTGTTTTCTTTCCATATTCTGGTCTACAAACATTTCTTAATAAAATATATGCACATATCATAACTAGTAGCAGTGCCGGTACAAATAAACTATTTTCTCCTCTGGACAATAGGAGTTGAAATGATAAGTAGCCCTTAGATTACCATGTACTTAAAGTTTACCTTTTCAACAATAGAGTCAACTTAGAATATTCAGAAAAAAATAACAAATTTACATTTCTTTCAATATCCAAGACATAAGGTCCTTTATTAAGTAATTCTTAACTCTGTTATAGTGTAAACAAAATGACAAATTACCTCTAGAGCTAGGCTTAGATAGTCTGCTCTATTTAGTTTCCTACTAGCTTTAGATACTACAGCAAAAGAAAAGATGTCATTCGCATTGCATTCTGAGATTTGATTTCTTGAAAGCTTCTTCAATTGCTTAAGTTACTAAAATGTCAAGTTTAGATTTGCAACGTTTTTCCTAGACATCAGATCAAGTTTGTTATCCTTGAATCATTGCAATAGGGAGGGATGTATTATGTAGACTAAATGGAATAACTACACTTCAAGTTTTTAAAGTATAGTTGAAGAAATTAAGTCAACACCAAGCAAAATATCTTTCATATGTGACAGGACCCATTTCACGTATAAAAGTATGACAAGAGGTAGACACTATCATAGTTTAAAAAACACAGAACAACAACAACAACAACAACAATAAAACCCAAGCATGGCCTTAGATAGTATCCAAGTCCATGTCTGTATTAGTCAGGGTTCTCTAGAAGAACAGGACTAATAGGATAGGTGTATATATGAAAGGGAGCTTATTAAGGAGAATTGACTGACGTGATCACAAGGTGAAATCCCATCATAGGCCATCTGCAGTCTGAGTCCCAAAACCTCAAAAGTAGGGAAGCTGACAGCTCAGTTTTCAGTCTGTGGCTGAAGGCCTGAGAGCCCCTGGCAAATGACTGGTGTAGGTTTAAGAGTCCAAAAGCTGAAGAATTTGGAGTCTGATGTTCGAGGGCAGGAAGCATTCAGCACGGGAGAAAGATGGAGGCCAGAAGACTCAGCCAGTCTAGCCCTTCCATGTTCCTCTGCCTGCTTTTATCCTAGCCATGCTGGCAGCTGATTAGATGGTGCCCACCCAAATTGAGGGTGGGTCTGCCTCTCCCAGTCCAGTGACTCAAATATTAATCCCCTTTGGCGACACCCTCACAGACATAACTAGGAACAATATTTTGGATCCTTTAATCCAATCAAGTTGAGTAACAATAGTAACCATCACAGAGTCCAAATCCAAAGTCAACAGAAGGCAACAAAAGCTAACAAAGCATAGGGAACTGGAAAACACTACTCAGTTTCCATCCGTTTTTTTTCTGGGAGTAGGAGTGGGGTACATAGAGAAAATTGGGTTTCCTTTGATTATCTAGGTATCTACCATGGCGGTATGCAGACTTGAGTGTTAAACATAACTTCAACATCAAACATATGGTTCATGTTGACTGATTTCTCACTTGGATCTTTCTCTCTTTCCAAGATGCCTCAGGTTAGTTTAGTATTATATAATATTGTATGTAGCTATAGTTTTGTGATGATATTCATTACATTCTAAAGTTATTTAGTTATTTCACCAAATATTCATTAGTATTCTTGGTGGGTATCTTTCTAGGTAAAGTCAGAAGAAGGAAGGGAGGAAGGAAGGAAGGAAGGAGGGAAGGAAGGAAGGAGGGAAGGAAGGAAGGAAGGAGGGAGGGAGGGAAGGAGGGAAGGGAGGGAGTGAAGGAGGGAAGGGAGGGAGGGAGGGAAGGAGATAGTATGTGAATTATTATTCAATTTAGTGGAATATTACTTAGTATTCACTTTAAGAAATGAGCCATAGATTCTGTAGAAAGAGCACGTTTTGCAGTGCTGGATGCATGCTATTTTGTCTACACCAGTTTTAATTTACACCCATACTTTCAGGAATTCATTCTCCCTGTGTAAATAACATACATAGTGATATTTGTCCTGGGTTAAAAATCTCATTAGAGGTGTGTGGTGTTTGATAAGATTTACGTTTTCTTGAGTGGAAGAATAGGCATTTTCATACCAATATAGTAGCTTGATTTTGGGATTTTTTCATTGTGATATTTTAATTCTTTTGATGTTAACATAGATCTATATGGCTTTCTTCTAGAATCCATGCAGTGTTTGACTCATATATAGTTTATTATAAACAAACAAACAAAAAACTATGTAACTATTCTAATTTCATTTGTCAAAGAAGGTAGATATGGAAACTTTGCACAACATCAAAATGATCTTAGTAAAACATAGATTAATCTTCCAAGTATCTCAAGGCACCAACTGCAATTATATTGTTAAATAGAACTGTTAGGCATTTGTATATTACTGGAGCTTTAATACTTTCAATTAGAAGAATGAGGGAGAGTAGTGATGGAACCAGTGACTGTTCCAAGGAGTTGTAATACTGACTTATTGTAACCATTTCATTTCGTTATGGGAAACAGAGGAATTAAGGCACTTGCCTTAATATATATCACATGGTAGTATTCCAAAAGACGGAAATGCCAGACATCCCACTTGTAGAAATTCACTGATAGGCTTACCACACTACCTTATAATCTTTTTACTGTTGGGGATCACAAATAAGTTCTGTTATCAGATGTCACATTTGAGAGGAAGAAAAGGTTTTATAATAGGTTACACTATTCCTTGAGTTTGTCTACCACAATATTAAACAGTAAAATCTTTAACTGGCAATGTACATGTTAGAGATGAAACTAGACAAGTTTACAGGAGCTAGCTTCATTCAGACTTTAAAATCTCCATTGTAATGATGATTTCTTTCAGGTAATGTTATGATCTACTTCTATTGAGATTATTTATCTGAGAATATCTTGAGGTTTTTTGAAAAATATTCGAATTTATATATAAAGTGTTAATGAGTCATATATTCTTTAAAATGTCTGAACATCCATTTGGGGTTAAGATTTTATACAAACTTCAGAAAATAAATATATTTATACCACCTGATACTAAATATTCATCAAACTTAACAATGTTTTCTTTAACAATATGAGGTTCAAACTTTTCAATTATGTAAACATTTATTTTAAACATCTACATGTAAGTAAAAAATTATCATTTTTTAGTATAGTATTTATAAAATAAAGACATCATCCTATTATTTATGACTTCAAGAATTAGAAGTCCTCTTCTTCTAGAGTCACTCCATCTTTTAAGGCAAGTAGTAAAAGTTTAACTTTAGCCTCTATCGGGTAAGTGACTGAAGAAATATCCTAAAATGTGCCTAGGAAGTGTTTAGTGGTCCTAGTTGTTTAATCTTCAGTTCATGCTGTTGATTTCTGCTTCTATTTTCACTTCAGCCTATTTTGTCATAATTTGGCAAGATTGATGAAGATCTTTTTGTTCCACTTTACCCAAGTCTTTAAAAGAATTCTCCCTGCTTTCCCAGTACTAACTATGGCTAACTAAATTTTCCTGGAGATTTGTAGAAATGAAGGGAAAAAGCAATAGGGAGTAATTACAATATAAAATAGGCAATATCTTTAAACTAGATATCAAACATCAAAATCCATCAAGCTCATTTACCACACCCAATATAAGAAGTCTCTTTCTAGATTATATTTGTGTCCTGTCTTTCATGCTTTTTTCTTCTTATAGAGACTACCACCACTTCTTTTTTTGCATGTTCCTAATCTTAAGAAATTTTCTATCTGAGCCTGCCCACAGGAAATCAAATATCAGTTCATATTGCAAGAACCACTACAGCATTTTCACCTTATTATTTCAATACCCTGCAATCTATAGAACTTTATTTTATACTTCCCAGTTTAAGTTTGTTTCAGAGACCTAATTACATGCCATTTAAACACCCAGACAAATCATCTTCTAAGCAAAATATAATTTACCTTAGAAACTAATTGTGCTCTTAGGTAGAATGCAAAAAGGGTCATAGTCAATTTTCAGCCCATTTTTCTTTTTATAAGATATATAGTGAATATAATCTCACCTTATTCAAGGATAAGAGTCATGCACCTCAAATAAGGGGAAATACACCCATCTCCCTCCAGCGATAATATATAAAATACAACAAAACCTGAAAATTATAAGAATGGAAAAAAATTGCATCTTTTTCAGTTTCTCGTGTTGATTTTTCCATTTTAAAAAAATTCACACATATTTAGCCAAGACTTGCAAAATTCCACATTATGATGGGAAACCAAAGGAAATAATTATTCACATATTTTTCAGCATAGACTCAAATGGACAAGAGTGTTCCTTGAACGTAGCGTGGGCAGGGGCCTTCAAAAACAAGAAAACTTGAAAAAAGATTGAAATCAGAAGACAAAATCAAGCTGCTTTATTTGCCACTCCACCCATTTGTATAATTAACTTATTATCTGAACTTAACCTGAAATTTTCATGATTTTTAACTTTTTTATTATTTAAACAAATTTTATTTAACTAAAGATCTGATTCTCTTTATGTGTATAAATGTGAGGTGAAAATGTGGGAAGGAAGTGCATGCTCATATAGCGTTGTGCAAATTTTGATGCAATGCATCTCAACTAAGTAGTTATTGGAAGTATTATGGAACTGAGAAAACTTATTGGAGTCATTAAGAGCCCTATGAATATTTGAAGGGCTGTCAAGTAGAGTGAGCAAGTAAATTAATTATGTGTTACTCAAAAGACAGAATCAGGATCAATGAGTTAAAGTTAAAAAGCAGCAGCCTAGGACTCAAAAAGATCACAAGATATAGATTGGGCTCTGTTACAAGAAATTGAACTCCTTTTCCCAGGAAATGTTTAAGTAGATGTTGGTAATCAATTAGTATGGATGTTGTTAAGGTAATTTCTACACTGGGAAATAATTTGCAAGATGCAACTTAAATTCACTTTCAGTCCTACAAGCTATTCATAGAGTGATAAAAATAGTGTAAAATTTAAAATTTTGTCTTTACAAGGTGATGCCATAATTTGATATATTTCATCATTAATATATAATTTGATCATTAATATATTTGAACACATAATTTGATCATTAATAATGCATATTTAGTTTGATGTTATTAAGATGTGCATATGCTTCATTTACTCTATTAACTTTATTTTGATTTTGATTTTTTTCACTCTCTTGATATCTTAAAAAATTACGATTTGACCACTCACTGCAGTATATGTTCCACTAAATTTAGTGTTATTAACAAATGTGATCACCATACCTATACTCTTCATGTGTTTGCTTCAGAAGAAGGGCTTCAGAAAACTCTCTACGATTGAATCGTAGGTTCACCACTCAGTAGCTGGCTGTATACCTGGAGATCATTTTTAATTTTTTTGTACATTGATTTTCTCATCTATAAATTTTTATGCAGTGGGGGAGAAATCTACCCTAGCAATTGTAAAAATTAAATAAGATCATTTTTTCAAATCAATTAGTGTTGGGTCAGGTATATTATAAGCATCCAAAAATGTTGGTAGTACTTGTTACTATTATCAACAAATATATTTAAAATTTGCTGGAGGTGAAAAGCAAGTTTTTCATCTTTGTACTGAATTTTTTTTTCACAATTCTAAGTGCAAAACAGATGTGAAATAAAGCTTAAAAAATAGGTATATGGGTTCATAGATGCATGAAAAAGAAAAGTGAAATAAATCACTGGAGGGCCACTCAACATGGAAACACACCCGGATTGATAATAGCCTGAAGTATCTTTCTAAATCAGGAAACAAATATTTATTGTCTTTCTCTTATGTTTTTATTCAGAGAAAGATCATCTGATTTGTTCTTAACAACTGCCCTTGGAGAAATCGTAGTACTCTAAATCACAGTGCAAACATGCCTTGCCTTGGACATATGTAGAAATGTGCCTTTATTTCCAGTCAGTCAGGTATTGCCAAAAAGGAAATAAGGAACATATGAATAAAAGAAAGCAGAGAGAAGGAGCCTGTTGTTTTGAGAAAGACTGTCTTTCTGCTGGCATTGTAACGGTAGACACGCCTGAGTTCTGAGACCCATGTATTTCAGCTTGGCCACCATTCCTACTGAGGAGAAGACCCTGGAAAAGGTGAACAGGTATTTGAAATCCATACATGTAGAATACTTGGGGAAGTTGTCAGAATGGACAGGTGCAGTGGTAAATATGAGAAAAGAATAGTTAGCGTTTGGCTGCCATACAGTATACCAGTTCAGCCAAATATGAGTTCTTCGGCAACAGCCCTCAAGTTTTCTTGAGGATGTGCTGCTTCATTGGGGCAATTTGCCCTTTGGCACCCATTTACCATACATATTCCTACTTTCTATCAGTCAAAGAAATGAAAGATAAGTAAGAGTTGGCAGTATATATGCAAATTGTTTACAGGAAATTCACACACGTGTTCATATACTTCTTCTTGACATGTATCATTGTATCAGTATTTAATTTGTGAACAAAATAGGCATATATAATTATTGGAAAAAATAGCTTAAAATAGGGTTGATGTAAGTTTGTCTTATTGTAAATGGCCAGATTAACAAAAAATTAGATTCAAATAGTCTGATAACTTTTAAAATGTATTAATAATTATAAAAAGCACGAAAAGATAATAATAACAACCATATTAAGAAAATACTAGTGATGCATTGATAACAAAATGAATTTCCTTGAGATTATGGGAATTTCTGCCATCAACATGTCTATAAAATGGAAAGAGCCTAGTGACATTGCTAAGCATAATTTATTAATTGTGTTAGGCTCACTGCTGCAAGTAATAGATGCCACAATTAATGATTCAAATATAAGTATGAGTTAATTCTTACCTATGCATTGGAACTGTGTAGGTGATCTACTGTTTCCATTAAGTGGTATTTATGTTTGCTCTGATGTATAATCCCATTTCTGCTAGCTGGAAAAGCCTATGGAGAAGTTCAGATGCTGGGTTTTCACAAACCATGTCTGAAAGGAACACATCACTCCTGCTTACACTTGATGGCAAAAATCAGTCACATGGCCACCTCGTACTACAAATAATTATGTGCTTTCTGAGGATGAACAGAACAACAGCAAACAACTTTTTAAAAGCATTTAACAGACTCTACCATACACTGCATGAGAATCAGACCTGTTAAAAGCATGATGAAGAGTTCTTGGTAAACTATTGTTCTAATGGACTAAATATGGTGTGTGAAATCAAGACGACAGTAAGTTTTCATAGCTAAGTTCAAGCTTTCAAGTGGTTATTATGCATAGGTTAAAAAAAAGTCTTTGGGTACATACATTGTTCAACCAGGAAAAGCTTGCATTATTTTTTCTGATGTTATATACTTACATATCTTTTAAATATTTTATTTTATTTTTTCAAAACTTAATAGGCTATAGAATGATGAGAACGCCATAATGCCAGCTTGCAAGAGCTGGAGGAGAGGAGAATGTGAGATGACTCTCTAATGGATATAGAGTTTTTAAATTTTATTTTGCTTTATTTTAGTTTCAGGGAGTACATATGCATGTTTGTTACCTGAGTCTGTTGCATGATGCTGAAGTTCGGATGCTAGTGATCAATATATGGATTTTCAATCCTCCCCCACTCCTTCCCCGCTCCCCTAAGTAGTCTCCAGGTTCTGTTGTTGCCATCTTTATGTCCGTGAATACCCAGTGATCTCCCACTTATTAATGAGAACATGCCATATTTGGTTTTCTGTTCCTGCATTACTTAGGACAATAGACTCCAGCTACATCCACATTGCTGCAAAGGACATAATTTTGTTTTATTTTTATGGTGGTATAGTATTCCATGGTTTGCATATACCACATAATCTTTATCCAATCAACCATATGGGCACTTATGTTGATTCCATGTCTTTGCTATTGAGAATAGTGGGACAATGAACATGTGAGTGCATGTGTCTTTTTGGTGGAATGATTTGTTTTCTTTTGGATATATACCCAGTAATGGGATTGCTGGGTCTAATGGTGTTTCTATTTTAAGTTCTTTGAGAACTATCCAAACTGCTTTCCACAGTGGCTAAACTAATGTACATTCCTACCAACAGTGTGTAAGTATTCCTCTTTCTTCACAGCCTTGCCAGCAGCTGTTATTTTTTGCTGTTTAATAAAACTCATTATGTCTGGTATGAAGTGGTATCTCATTGCGGTTTTGATTTGCATTGCTTTGATGATTAGTGATGTGGAACATTTTTTCATATATTTGTTGGCCACTTGTATGTCTTCTTTTAAGAGGTGTCTGTTCATGTATTTTGCCCATTTTTAATGGGGTTACTTGTATTTTACTTGTTGGTTTAAGTTCCTTATAGATTCTAGCTATTAGGCCTTTGTCGCATGCATAGTTCTTGAATATTTTCTCTCATTCTGTAGTTTTTTTATTTATTCTGTTGATCGTTTATTTTACTGTGCAGAAGCTATTTTGTTTTAATAGGTCCTACTTGCCAGTTTTTATTTTTGTTTCAATTGCTTTTGTGAACATAGTCATAAATTCTGTAACATGGAAAATGACCAGAATGATATTTCCTAAGTTTTCTTCAAGGATTCTTATAGTTTTAGATCTTATATTTTAATTTTTAATCCACGTTGAGGCTTTTTTTTTATGATGAATGGTATGGGTCCAGTTTCATTCTTCTGCAGATGGCTAGCCAGGTGTCCCAGCACCATATATTAGAGTGTCCTTTATCTTTTGCTTAGTTTTAATGAGTTCATTGAAGATCAGATGGCTCTAGGTATGTGGATTTATTTCTGGATTTCTAACCTGTTCCATTAGTCTGTTTTTGTGTCAGTACTATGCTGTTTTGGTTACTGTGGCCTCGTAGTATAGTTTTAAGTTTGGCAACGTGATGCCGCTGACTTTGTTCTTTGTGCTCAGGGTTGCTTTGGCTATTCAGGCTCATTTTTTAATCTCATATGACTTTTGGAATAGATTTCATAATTCTGTGAAAAAAATAATATTGGTAGCTCGATAATATGTTCATTTTAACAATATCAGTTATTCCAATCTATGAGCATGTAATGTTTTTTCATTTGTTTCTGTCATCTATGATTTCTTTTAGCAGTATTTTGTAGCTGTGTAGAGGTCTTTCACCTCTTTTGTTAGACATATTTCTAGGTATTTTTTTTTTGTGTGTGTGCAGATATTGTAAATGGTATTGTATTATTGATGTAGCTCTCAGCTTGAATGTTATTGTTGCATAGAAGTGTCCCTGATTTTTGTATGTTGATTTTATATCCTAAAGCTTTACTGAAGTTATTTATCCATTCCAGGAAAATTTTGCAAGAGTCTCTAGGATTTTCTAGGTATAGAATTAAATCATCACATTGTCTGCAAAAAGAGGTAGTTTGACTTCTTTTCCTATTTGGATTCTTTTTTATTATTTTCCCTTTCCTGACTACTCTGGCTACCACTTCCAGTATCATGCTGAATAGGAATTGTGAGAGTGAATATCCTTTATTTGTTCAAATTTTCAAGGGGAAATGTTTCCAGTTTTTGCCTGGTCAGCATTATATTTACCGTGGGTTTGTCACGTATGGCTCTTATTATTTCGAGGTATGTGCCTTCAACAGTGAATTTCTTGAGGATTTTTATCATGAAGCAACGTTGGATTATTTTATAAGCTTTTTCTGCAGGCATTGAGATGATCATGTTGTTTTTATTTTTAATTCTGTTTATGTGGTGAATCACATTTACTGATTTCTCTATGTTGAACCAACCTTGCATCTCAAAATAAAGCCTGCTTGATTGTTGTGAATTTCATGTGTCGTTGGATTCAATTTGCTAATATTTTGTTGAGGATTTTTGTGTCTATGTTCATCAGGAATATTGGCCTGTATTTTTTTTTTTTTTTTCTTCATTGTCTCTGCCAGGTTTTTATATCAGGGTAATGCTGGCTTCATAGATTTAGTTAGAGATGAATCACCCATCTTTGATATTTTGGAATAGTTTCATTTGAATTAGTACCAGTTTTCTTTGTATATCTGGTATGATTCAGCTGTGACTCTAACTGGCCCTGTGGCATTTTTCAGTTGGTAATGATTCAATTTCTGAACTAGATATTATTCTGTTCAGTTTTTCCATTCTTTTCTGATTTAATCCTGGGAGATTATGTGTCCTCTAGATTTTCTAGATTCTGAGTGTAGAGGTATTCATAATAGTCTCAGAGGATCTTTTGTATTTCTGTGGGATCAATTGCAATGTCATATTTGTCATATCTGATTGTGCTTATTTGAATCTTCTGTGTATTTTTCTTTGCTAATCTAGCTTGTGGTCTGTTTATGTTGCTTATCCTTTCAAATAACCAACTTTTGTTTTGTTGATTCTTTGAATGGATTTTTGGGTCTCAATTTTATTCAGTTCCACTCCGATTTTAGTTATTTCTTTTCTTTTGCTAGCTTTGGGGTCACTTTGTTTCTTTTTCTAGTTCCCCTAGCTGTGTTGTTAATTCATCAGTTTGAGATCTCTCTAACTTTTTGATGTAGGCATTTAGTGCTAAAAACTTTCTGCTTTAATTTCATTGTTTACCCAAAAATCATTCAGGGGCAAGTTGTTTAATTTCCATGTAATTGTGTGGTTTCGAGATATCTTCTTGGTATTGATTTCTGTTTTTACTCCAAGAGTATGGTTTGTATGATTTTGATTTTTTTTGAATTTATGGAGACTTGCCTTATGGCTGAGAATGTAATCAATCTTTGAGTATGCTAAATGTGCAGCTAAGAAGAATGTGTATTCTGTGGTTGACGGGTGGATTATTCTGTACATGTCTATTAGATCCAGTTGCTAAAGTGGTCAGTTTAAATTCAGCAAACATTGTTTTGTTTGTTTTCTGCCTATATGATCTGTCTAATGCTGTCAGTGGAGTATTGAAGTCCCCCACTATTACTGTGTAGCTGTGTAAGTCTTTGTAAGTAAAAAAGTAGTTTTATAAATTTCTGTGCTCCAATATTAGATGTGTATATGTTTAGATAGCAAATTCTAATTGTTAAATTGAATTCTTTATATTTTTTCCTTTTTTACTGTTGTTGGTTTACAGCCTGTTTTATCAGATATAGGAATAGCAATCTCTGCTCGCTTTTTTTTTTTTTTCTTTTTGTTTGTGTCCTTGATCTCTCTCCAACTTTTTCCTTTGAGCCTATGGTTGTTATTATGTGTGAGATGGGTCTCTTGAATACAGCAGACAGATTGGTCTTCTTTTCTTTTCTTTCTTTCTTTTTTTTTTTTCCTTTTTTTTTTTTTTTTTTTTTTTTGTTCTTTTTTTTGAGATGGAGCCTCGCTCTGTTGCCCAGGCCAGAGTACAATGGCGTGATCTTGACTCCCTGCAACCTCCGCCTCCTGGGTTCAAGTGAGTCTCCTACCTCAGCCTTCCAAGTAGCCGGGATTACAGGTGCCCAACAAAACGCCTGTCTAATTTTTGTATTTTAATAGAGATGGGGCTTCTCCATATTGGCCAAGCTGGTCTCAAACTCCTGACCTCAAGTGATCCACCCGCCTTGGCCTCCCAAAGCGCTGAGATTACAGGCATGAGACACCGTGCCAGGCTTGTGTATTTTTTTTTTTTTTTCTAACTTGACACTGTCTGTTTTACATCAGGCATTTAGACCTTTTACATTCAAGGTTGATACTGATATGTGAGGTTTTGAACCTATTGTGAAGTTCTTAGCTGGTTGTTTCGTAGTTTCTAATGTGTGGTTTCTTTTTAGGGTCTGTGGGCTATGTACTTAAGCGTGTTTTTGCAGTAGTGGCTATCATTCTTTTGTTTACATGTTTGGTACTCCTTGAAGTATCTCTTGTAAGATGGGTTTAATAGTAACAGATTATTTTAGTGCTTGTTTGTCTGGAAAATATTTTATTTGTTATTTGCTTATGAAGCTTAGTTTGACAGGATATGAAATTCTTGATTGGATTTTCTTTTCCTTGTAAATCTTTCAAATAAGCCCCCAAATCTCTCCTGACTTCTAATGTTTCTGCTGAGAAGTCCGTTGTTAGCCTAACAGCGTTCCCTTTATATGTGATCTGGCCTTACTTTCTAGCTGCTTTTAAGATTTTTTTCTGTATTGGTGACCTTGGACAATCTGGTGATGTCATGGTGATGATTATTTTGTATAGTATTTTGTAGGTGGTCTCCTGATTTCCTCTATCTGACTGTCTACCTCTCTAGCAAGATTAGGGAAGTTTTCCTGTGTTATTCCCTCAAATATATTTTTCATATTCAAAGTGGCATATTCAAATATGCTTTTTCTCCTTCTCTCTCAGGAATGCCAATAATTCATTGCTTTGGTCACTTTACATAACTCCATATTTCTCAAATACTTTGTTCATTTTTAAAAATTCTGTTTTCTTTATTTTTGTCTGACTGGATTATTTCAAAAGACCTGACTTCCAAGTGCAGAAATGCTTCTGTTATGGTCTGGTCTATTGATAAAGCTTTGAATTGTATTTTGAAATTTCCTAAGTGAGTTTTTCAATCCCAGAAGCTCCAATTGATTTTTTTTAAAGATGTTTAGACCTTCCTTAATTTCCTGGATTACTTTAGAAGTTTCTTTGTGTCAATTTTCAACCTTGTCTTGGATCTCATTGAGCTTCCTTGCAATTTATTGTTTGAATACATTATTTTTAATGAGTTATTTGACCTTCAGGGAACTCACACAGGTGAATTTTATAAAACAGTTATTATTGGTTTTTAACATATTAATGTAATAGGATCCACTTGAGCAGTATAAATTAGATATCACAACATGTGAAAATGACAAATCATTTTATAATTGTTATGTACATGCAGAAATGATAAAAATATTTTTGGATAAGGGCAGTGCAAATGACAAAGATTGTGTCAGATCAGCATATGAAGTGTTATTGTTGGTCTGCCAGTTATACAGACATATTATACAACTGTCTTCTGAATAGTTACATACCTAAATATTTTAATATTGTCAAGTAACTCAAGACAACCTTATCGAGTGGTCCAGGCTTTCTGTCAACCCTTGATGAGTGCTCCTTTTCCACACATCAGCTATCACTTACAAGTACATTTTCATAAAAATTGATATGAACTCTTCAGTATGTAATTTCAATATCTACTTCCGATGACTTCTCCTACATTTAAAATAAGGCTAAGTTTCTTCTTAATCCTTTCTGGTAAGTTTGCTGACTTTTATCATTTTTCAATGTATGCTAAATATGGTTTTAACTTTCTGTCAGTCAATTTATCACTAGTATAGGCAGCGATATTCCAGATCTAAAATGTAAAGTAGCTAAGTTCTTGCTTACTTTTCTGAGCTTAATCCTCTCTTGAATCTACAAATTATTTATTTAAATATCATTTTAAGGTAATTATAATCAAATCAAAAATTTTACTGTCTGGAGCAATTAATCTATTTTTTATTACAGAAAATACACAATTTATTTTATTCCCTTCAGCATTTTATATGAGCAAGCTTTTTTTCTGGGTATCAGTCTTTCAACCTTCAATGCTGGCTGTTTGTAACTGTCTTGTATTTGTCCTACTATGCTGCCGATTATTTAGTTTTTAATATTTATTTGAAAATTCAAGCACTTTGAAGAAATATAAATTTATTAAGGTTATAATCTTTTGGTTTAGTCATCTATGAAAACATTTTTATTAGATTTTTGTTTATCGAGCTCCACAAGTTTTTGACTCTTACTCCCTCTGAGAATCATAATGATTACAAGGTATCACACTTATTTTAAGGTAATCAATATTGCTTTTCTGCTTCCATACATCTACCCTCAATTAATTACGGGTAATTTATTTCACTAAACTTATGACAAAAATATCCTCATGACAATCATTGCTTTGTGATTATAAAGTATTTCTATTTATCTCATTATATAAACATGGATATCTATTATTTAAAATATTACAAATAATATTTTAGACAAATTTGATTCTTAGTAGCAGTAATCATTATTAATAAAACCATTTAAATAATTTTCCCCAAAATAAGTCAGGAAGAACACTTACCAAACTTAAGCAAATATTTCCAGAGCAATATTGGTCATCATATTGTATAAACAGAATGAAGGACCATATCAGTATGTTTACCTATTTATATTCATTTATCAGTGATTTATTAACGCTACATTTTCTCCCAAGGTAACTTATTATTGATTATTGATAAAATTTGGGAATTTTTGTAGGGGGAAATGTCTGTGTTCAGTGGCTTGTGGTGAATTCACTGGTTCTGAACCCAGCTTTATGTATTGGAGACAGGCATGTGTGATCTCAATCTCCAAAATTATGATGGAACATAATTTTGGAAACTGCCATATTAATTTTCAACTTATTTTTAAGTCCTCTTTCTCATTGAGCTTTCGTGTTCCGAGACAACACACACGTTGTATAGCTATAGGTCTTAGAAAATGATCTTTCTTTTTTGCTACTTACCAAAACAAGTTAGAAGCTTGCATTACAATTAAGACCATGGTTTGACTGGATCTAGAAATTTCTTCAAAATGTCTAGTGTTCTTCCTACTTTTTGCAATCTGAAACAGGTTTAAAACAGTTTTAATTGTTCTTACCCTGTAAATGGACAAAAAGCAGTCATTGATATTTTTCTATTTTTTATCTAGTGTTCCTCTCTGTAATGCCAGAAGCATACCTTTCCAATATTTTATTTGTTTTCTTTTCAACAACAATTTATTTAGTTTTAGAGAGATTCAGGTTTTATAACTGTAGATTTAAAAAATAAAAGACTAAGACTTTATCACTCATCACTCCTATGCTTTCAAGCTATGAAGCTGAAAAGGGATTTTTCTCTTACAATATCTTTGGTGTAACTGAAAGCTTTTCATTTGCAGTAATTGTGCACCTATCTCATGATCATGTCATGCTTGTCATGTTTGTCTTGCTTTCCCATGTAATCTCAGAGTATAAGTTATCATATTCAACCACAGAGAACTGTGAAATAAGCAGCCTTAATGCAAAATAAGAAAAAAATTCTTATTTTTTTTTTTTTGTATTTTCTTAAGCATGTTTCTGAGGTAGACATTAAATTATTATTTTATTCGTTCCGATGGATAACTCTCATTAGATGAAAAAATTAAACAGGTACAATGCACTTCATTCCTCAAGAGAAGAATTACAATCGTTAAAGGGTTTTCATATCTTCTTTTGTAAATGTTATGATTCTTAATGATCATCTCCTTTGTTCTCATTTGACCACTAAATATGACAACTATATTTGAAAATCAAGTCATCATTTTGGTATGCAACATTTTTTGAGACTGAGAAAAAGCAGACCCAGTAACCTCTCTATTGTCTATCCAGTTATGCTAACAAGAAAAATTATAATAATAAAAATTTGACAACTTAACATATAAATTTGTGGTGGAAATCACTTTTCTCCTTATTTGTTCCTTATTAAATTTGCACTACCTAGACCAGGTATGTGAAAGATGTCACTATCATATGATAGCCTATTATTTATGCATATACTTCAATTGGTAGAGAACCCAGACACCCATAACTAATTTATATTTTAAATAAGAAGCTTTTGGTGTAGCCTACACTTTGAATTAATACAACCCCAGTTAAGACCTTGAATCCTCAAAGTACAATATGGTCAAGTTACATAATCCTTCTGCGCTTTGAATGTGTAAAAATGTGAGTTGCATCACCCGCTCTTTAAAAGAGCTGATCAAATTAAACGAGATAATTAATGTGAAGGAAATCATTACTGCTTGAAACTTAATGAGTACTCAGAACATTGATAATGATGATGATGGTGATTTGGTTAAAAATCATACAGTGTAGAACTAAAAGGAATGTAACTTTATATTTATTAGAAAATTTAATATTTATATGCATATCTATTTGGTTGGATGGTAGACATGTAAATTCCCTAATTCAAGATTCCTCCATCCTTTCTGAGAAGTATGTTGGGAAGATTGACATGTTGGCTTTGGCAAGGGTTTGTCAAACCATTTCTGGTCCTCGGATTCATTTTTTATTCAAGTTCACGGCCTTTGCAATGTCTTCATCACTACCCTGTCTTAGGTGATGAATATTCTAGGATATTCCCGTTTCTCAGCCGCACTTTTTCTTCAGGTCTGTCTGTGTACTCAATCATGTGTATACGCAATCCATGGTGTTCTGTCACAAGTGAGAAATATTCTACATCTCTGTGGAGCACATTTAGGCCTACCGGTCTTAACACAGGGTGCAGACTATTATTTTGTTCTCAGGCAAAACTGAGAGCAAAGCAATCCTCAGGCCTTGTAATATTTTTGGACTGTATTTAAAGACAAAGAACTGGTTTTCTTCTCAGATGCACAAACCTATCAGGACTTTATCTTCTTCTCATTTCCCAGCCCCTTCCTGAACTTGTCTCTAGAGATAAGGTGCAAAACAAATTTTTAGGATCAACTACTGTATTTACTGGAAATACCATATTCTTCAGCTTTTTGATCCATTATATGTAATCTCTTGGTTTATTATATGAACTACCTTTCATTTAAAATACTATTATTTCCCATATATGTATGAGAAATAATCATATATATATGCACACATATATATGCACACATATATAAAAATAGATTTATGAAAAAATCTTATATATATTTCAATAGTTTTAAAAATCATTTCATTAATTTTAGAGAAAACTCACTTAATAATTGTAGGCTTATACTTTTTCTTGCATGTAACATGAACAACAACATCATTTTTAAAACAAAGACTACTTCTTGTTATGTTGAGCAACCATTTTTCCAAATGGTGTGAGGTTTGCATACCACAAGGTAAAAACCAACTATATTTAAATATTACCTGTTCTATCAACTTCAGATGAAAATATGCAGTATAATAATTTTCAAAAACAAATACATTGAGGCGATTCTTTGCCATCATGATGTTTCCAAAGCAAAGATAATAAAACGTCAATTAATGAATAATGATGATGAGTAAATAATACCCAAATTTGTTTAATCAGTCAAAATATAAAGCCAGTGAAACTGAAAAGCTTTTGTTGTTTCCTAATCAAGAGACCTTTTGGCTAATTTTATTACTTAATAAAACATTTATTACATTGACTTGGTTCTACAAACTTTAAAAAATTTTTGAAATATATAGAAGTCTCATTTTTATTTCTATAAATCAGAATCTTATAATTTTCACTTCATGTTCAAAATATTTCTCCCTTTGCTTCCTCTTTTATGCATGGTTTATAAATAGTTATCGAAGAGAATTAGAAACATACATGAATGGTACTTTAGGAGGTATATGATTTTTAACTTAATTCAAATTACAGTTATGTGTTCAGTTCAGGATAATAAATAGAGTGGTAATGAATTCTTTCCATTTCTGATGCATGCTATTGGGTATTGGATTTATGGTAGAGATTAGCTTTGATTAATTCTTCCCTGTCTGCTGACTCAACTCTATTCTTCAGTGTTCTGACCACTAGATGGTAGGGTCGTGTTGCCTAACTAACTAGTCTGGCCCTGCCCCTATACAGCATAAAAAATGTAAGATCATTCATTATTTTTCTTAACATCTGTCTCTTATTTTAAAGGATTATTTATTATAAAACTCCATTTTAATCTGGAAATGTGCGTATATACAGACATATACATACGTGTGTGTGTGTGTATATATATATAACATATATACATATATACAAACACACACACAGCAGGACATCAGATAATATTGTTTCATGAAAATGTTGATGATTAACAAAATCAATTTTTGGCCAGGGCCACTGTCTGTGTGGAGTTTGTACGTTCTCATATCATGAGCATGTATGTACATGCTCATATCTGCATGGGTTTTATCTAGGTAATTCAGTTTCCTCCCACACCCCAAAGATATGCACATTAGGTTCACTGGCCTGCCTAAATGGTCCCAGTATGAGTGAGTGAGTGTGTGTGTGTGTGTTGGGGGGTGGGAGTGACTATGACCTGTGATGGAATGGTGTCCTGTCCAGGGCTGGTTCTTATCTTGTGCCCTGAGCTGTTGTGATGGTCTCTGGCCACCCACCACCCTAAATAGGAATAAGTGAGTTAGAAAATGAATGAATGAATGAATAAATACAAATTGTTATAAAACAAATATTCATGAAGTATACGATAATTATACAAATGCACAACAATAAGCAATGTGGTATAAAAGTGCCCAGTGGGATCTCCTATTAGTAATTGTTTGCTTTTGAACTGTGTAGTGGTAGGAGGGTCTCCTAACAATGTTCATTGTGTAAACTTCACTTGATTTAACTCACCACAATTACAACTACCATCACTCACTGGTTCACTAAAAATCGAGTAAATAATTATCTTATTTATTATTAATCTTTCTTACCTGTATGCATAGATGATATTTATTTCAGTGTTTAATATTAGGAGTGTTTTGGGTATTTATTTGGAAGTTTGGTGGTGTTTTTATGACCAGAAATATACTGTAGGAAGTTAACCCTGTGTATATCAATCACCCTGTGTTAAAATTTGTTTCATTATTATACATTGTATTGCTTAAAGTCAAAGTTACCAAGAACCTATCCACCAAGTTAAGTGAGCACATACATTTACACACACACACACACGTATATCACAAAGATCAAAATTTAAACAAAAAACTTATAGAATATTCTTTATTCCATTTTCTATTTTTAAAATTTAAAAATGACATCTTTATAAGTGATAGATTTAGTGCTAGGCGTCAAATGTGCAAAGATAAATACAATATAGCACTTACTAGGAAGCTGATAGGATTTGGATCTTTGTCCCCATCCAAATCCCATGTTAAATGTAATCCCCAATGCTGGAGGTGGGGTCTGCTGGGAGGTGATTGGATCAAGGGGGTAGTTTCTCATGGTTTGACACACATCATCCCCCTTGGTGCTGTTGTTGTGATAGTGAGTTCTAATTAGATCTGGTTGTTTAAAAGCTGTGGCACCTCTTCCCTCAATCTCTTGCTCTTGCTCGGGCCATGTAAGACATGCTGGCTCTCCCTTTGCCTTCCACCATGATTTGAAGCTTTTTGATGCCTCCCAAGAAGCAGAAGCCATCATGCTTTCTGTACAGCCTGTGGAACAGTGAGCCAATTAAACCTATTTTTTATATAAATTACCCAGCCTCAAATGTTTCTTTATATCAGTGCAAGAATGAACTAATACAGAAGCCTATTCTCTAATAATGGAAACAGGGAAGTAATTTAAAACAAAAACACAACAACAACTTTGGGATAAGAGCTATAACACAGGAATACACAGTGTGAAAAAGTGCCAAAACCCAAAATGAGGCCAGTGAAGGAAGAAGATATGCCAGAGGAGAAGGACATAACCATGTAAAGAGGAGAAAGGGGAATAAGGGAGCGTAAGGTATTCCAAGCTTCAGAAGAGAATGTGAAGATAAATATCCTGGGTTTAGATCCTAAAGGATGGATTTAGATGAAGGTGCGATATTTGAGTCAGGCACATGTAAGGAATATCCTAAAGTTCTGCTAGTGAGTAGGAGCATGAAATATTAAGGTGAATAAGCACAACCAGGTCTGAGCT
This sequence comes from Homo sapiens, assembly GCF_000001405.40. Lineage (NCBI taxonomy): Eukaryota > Metazoa > Chordata > Mammalia > Primates > Hominidae > Homo > Homo sapiens. The sequence continues at coordinate 190,319,061 of NC_000001.11, read as the reverse complement.
TTATTATTACATACTAAGCAGAAAAGTGTTTCACTTGTTCCTGTTATTAGCTTTCACTCATTCATGAAGATAAGGTAATTAAAGCTGTTCAATTCATAAAATAAGTGAAAGATAGAATGAAATATATAGATCTACATCCGAACAAAATATATAGATCTACATCTGCGCTTTGTTATTACATACTAAGCAGAAAAGTGTTTCACTTATTCGCATTATTAATTTTCACTCATTTAAGAAGATAAAGTAATTAAAGCTGTTTATTTTACAAAATAAGTGAAAGACAGAATGAATTATATAGATCTACATCTGATATAATCATTTTAGGGATGAGGAACCAGTCAGGAGTATGTCCCAGCTTCATAATTCAGGGATCAAGTGGAAAAAAAAAATCTCTGTGAAATTTAATTCTGAGCTACTATTTGTCTTTACTTTTTAAACAAGAGGAAAAAAAATAGGGACCCATTATAATAATCAAAACCTTTCCCTAATCCTGCATTTATCACCAGACTTCAGAAGAAGCTTTAGCCTATAAGTGCATTACCCTGAGAAGCAGTTTGGGAGATTGAGTTATATGGGCTGCCAACATGCAAGCACCTATTTTTCAAGAACTAGATGGGATAAAGAATACTTGAGATATATTGCTTTCCATAGTCTAACTCCTGTAATCAAGTGAAAGGGAAATTGGTACAAATCAAACTATTGCATCTAAGTTCTTTATAGAAATAAAAGAATCAAATCAAGAATCATTACATGCCCCCAATGCTGAAAATATTAGATAAAGTTTAATAAAACTAGAATGGAAATGGGATCTCAGGAGGAAATAAATAAATGAGACTATTCTTAGGAAGAGATGCAAATACAGGTATTATAATTCTACATTGATTATAAACCTGAAATGTAAGGTAGTTTGGGCTACTATTAAGATTAAACTTAAAACAGTGAATTTGAGCATACCTTTCCTTGTTCAATTATTTACCAATATAAAGAAAGAGGAAAGGTGTATCTGATTTGCTTCTTTCCTTGGAATAGTATTTTTATTTATTCATTCAAATATATATTGAACTTTTAAATGCTAGTTTTTGTGCTCAGGAACTGATTATGCTTACACACGAATTTTGCCTTTAGTCAAAGAGGAAAATCAACATGTAACAGATAAATTTATTTTTTACACAAGTAACCTAGAGATCAATCAATTGCAGCTAGAGTGCATAACATGGATGAACAATTCTACTCATTCAAACTAGTAGAGATTTTACCAAGAAGGAGATAAAGTAAAAATCTTACAGCATAAGTGTGAGTTCAACAGGCTAAAATAATTAACAGGGAGTTCTAGCAGGGGAAACAATACGGGTAAAGGCATAGATGTATGAAAAAATATATGCTTATTTGGAATATGATAATTGTTCATTGTGATTTTTTTTTCAATGTGACTTTCTTAAGAACTGGGAAACTATTATAATAAATTAGAAAAAGCATAACTGAAAATCCAAGAGAAAGGGAATGATGAATATGAGACAGGGAATTGGGTCTCAAGCATAATGTGCAACATAAAATGACATCAACACTTTCCCTTTGGCAAGAGGGAAGAAGGGACATATGGGATGTATTGCAGACAACTTGAGAGATGGAGATCAAAAATTTGAAGAACTTTCTCCATAATGGCCTCAGTTTATACCATGAAATTGAAGACAAGGCCATTCATGGAGGTTTGATGTGAGTGACAGAAACTGAATAGCTGCCCTTGGTAATGGCTGAGTTTGGGGTAGGTGTTAGCAGCAATTACGTGCCCCATTTCTTCTCAAGAAGACCCCTTACATCAGCTGCTGCTGAGAGTAATTGTTGTTTTTTAAGGCAAGGTATTTTAGAGACTTTTTTTTTTTTTTTTTTTTTGAGATGGACTCTCGCTCAGCCACCCACTCTGGAGCGCAGTGGCCCAATCTCGGCTCATTGAAACCACCCTCTCCTGGGTTCAAGTGATTCTCCCATCTCAGCCTCCCGAGTAGCTGGGATTATAGGCACCCACCATCATGCCCGGCTAATTTTTCTATTTTAGTAGAGATGGGGTTTCACCATGTTGGCCAGGCTGGTCTTGAACTCCTGACCTCAGGTGATCCGCCCACCTCAGCCTTAAAAAATGCTAGGGTTACAGGCATGAGCCACCACACCCGGCCACATTTTTAGCATAATAAATGATAATCCAACCTTTATAAAATCTAGAAGTCCTTCATACTCTTTTTCTTGGTTGTCTTGAATTCATGAATGCTTAAATTGGTGAATTCAAAACTAGTTTAATGTAAACTCAACAATTCTTTCAGGACTTAGATTCAGCATGAATATTATTGATGTGTTTTTGTTTAGAATTGAAATGGATTTGAGATTTTAGAGGTCCCACAGGTCTCTGCAACCCTTATGCATTATAGCACTGAGGCTGTCAGAATGTGTGAAAATTATAAATCTCATTTAGTAAAATATTGAGAGTTTTAGAGAGATTTAGTAAAATACTGTGATAGTTTATATTAACCATATTAATATTATCTGTGTATAATCATAACTTATTCCCACTGCTACTTTGAAATACACCTTTCCAGGGTCAGCAGCAACTTATTCTTGTTCAAACCCAATAATTTTGTCTCAGAATAGCAATTGAGAGAAGAGCATCTGTAGCCACACTTCTTTGGCTCAATTCTGACTCTGCCACACATTAACTAGTGTAACCTTGGACAAGTAACATAATTTCTTAGTGCCTCAGATTTCTCACCTCTAAAATGAAGTCAATAATTGAATCTACCTCATTGGATTGTAAGAATGTCTGAGTTAGGGTTACATTAGCTACTGTAACAAACAAACCACGAAGTTTCAGTAACAAAATAAAGTCAACCTTTTTTTGTCATTCTGAACTTTCCAATGCTGATTTTCCTGGTCTTCAGAGTTGGAGGTGATAGGACTGACCTCTCAGTCATTCTGGGCCCCACGTTGCTGACAGCTCTGTCATCCTCAGCTGCACCGGTGTCCAGTTGTTTGGGGTGGGGGGATTGATCATGGGGGATCAACCATAACGAGTTTTGATGTATCATGCTTGGAAATGTTTCTCATGTTTTCCCATATATCATCTGTTTGCTAAAACTGTCACAAATCTACTTCTAACAACATGAGAGGCTGGGAAGTATTGTTTGCCTGTGTGTTTAGAAAAAAGAGGAAATGAGGTAGGTGATGAGTTTGCAATTTCTGTAAAATTCTACTATTTGGGACATGAAAATATAAATGTAATTTTCTTTTAAAATATGGAATATACTTACATCCACTGCATGAGAGACAAACCAAAGTTCCCTCCAATCATTGTACCCAAGATCTTTGGATCTAGCAGAGTTATGTCCATCAATTCTGGATTGGTTCCTCACATCTATCAATGAATGAACTTAAAGCAACAACATTTTCCAGCCCAGACAGATGATAGCCACAATAACTGCATTTCTCGTGTAGAAGAGGGAAGAATAGAAGACACAAAGCAATTCTTGATAAAAATATTATGCATGCTGAAGACTTCCGAATTTATGGGTAGGGCATGTCTCTTGATTAGGCTTTGGCTGTGCTCTCTGTGAGGAAATTAGTTGTCTGGTGTTATCTGCAGTCCTTGACCCCTGCCTTTTGAAAGTTTGTTCTTATCCATTGCTCTCTGTGACCATATCTGCAATGGCCATTCCACTAGGTCGAATTTCCTCCTTGGGAACACCACAGCTTCCAGAGGCCACTTGCTTATTTTAATTTGGACTCTGGGGGCTGTTTTAAGCTCAAACATCACTGTTTCTCAAAGTATTTCCATGGCATCTAATCTTAAATTCAGTCCTCCCTGTTTCCTGTATATCTGTGCTTCCTTTATTACATTTTCTTGCACATAATCTTATGTGACTCTGTTTTTAATTTTATCAAAGTCTTCAATAACTTTCTTCATAGGCAACTCATTGTTAATATGCCCTTCAGTCTTGTTTACCCTCTCCCTTCAATCTGAGTTTATAAAACTTCACCATAATGCTAGTGTCACCTGTCTTAAACACATACCTTATGTCACTTATCTGATTTTAACTTCTATTTTAGCCCCCTGATAAAGTCCATCAACCTGACCATGAATAACAAGCCCCTATAGGAAGTACTTCTTGTTTTTGTTTTACCTTCAGCATACTCTCAGCTCTGGGTCTTGCACATATGTTTCCTTGTACTGGTGACAAGAGTCTCCATATTATATAATTCTTATGCGTGCATTCAAGGTCTCCGTTTAGGGATTTGATTTGTTTTGATTGCTGTACTAACAAATTACCACAAGCTTAGTGGCTTAACACAACACAGATTTATTATCTTATAGTTTTGGGGGCCAGAAGTCCAACAGGAGGCTCACTGGGCTAAAATCAATATGTCAGTGCTGAATTCCTTCTGGAGGCTTTAGAAGAGAAATAGTTTCCTAACTTTTCAGCTTCTAGAGGCCACTGACATCTCTTGGCTAATGCCCCCATTAGTCCAGCTTTCAGACAGCATGGTTAAGCTGATTCCTTCTTATTTTGCAATGTCTCTGCTTCTCTCTTTTGTTCCTTTCCTCTACTTCAAATGACTGTTTGGATTATATTGAGCCCACCTAGTTAATCCAGGATAACCTCAGTATTCTAAAGTCAGGTAATTAGCAACTATAATTCCCCTTTGTCCCGTAACCCAAGACATTCATGGATTCTAAGGAGTAGGATGTAGGCATTTTGGGGAAGGCAATTATTCTGCTTACCCAATATTTACTTCTCCAGGAAACCTTCTTTTACTCCCCAGGCTACGTTATTATTTTTCCAATATGTTTCCAAAGCTGTTCCTACTTTTCTATTATTCTCCATTAAAAAATTACAATTTTTGGTACAGATTGATCCCTTGATAGACATCAAGGTCTATGAAGTATTTTTTTAATCTCAAAATATCTATCATAGTACTCTACATATACAAGTCACTCATTATATTTTGAAAATAAATTAGATAATTTTGCGAAAAAATACAAAGCCCTTAAGTGTGCTGGGTGACTCCTCACATCTCTTTCAGCCATATTTTATTTTGTTGAATTGCATTTGATGTATGAAAGATTAGTCAAGACATTAAAATACCTATTTGTAGTTTTTCTAATTTTGAAAATATAAGTTGAAATATATTTTACCTACTTAGTTCACCAATTATCCACATAAGAGGAGGACAAAGCTGAAGCAATGAAAGCACCAAGGTCAGGTCAATATGGGTTAGAATTCTGTCTGTCTTAATAGCTATATGTCTGTATAATTCATTTATTTCTTTAAACCTTAGTTTTCTCATTTGAAATATAAGAAGAATCCAAGTAGCTATCTCAAGGGTTGTTTTGAGGATAAAACAAGATAATGCAGACAGTACTTATCAGAGTGCCCAGAACTTATTGAGATCTCAGTAAGTGTTGATTATTGTTGATGATGTTGTAAGAATAAAAATTTGCAAAATGTAAAACTGAACAGATACTTACACATTACATGTGATTATTGTTAAAATCACATAGGTTGCAGAATTTTGCTTTAATAGTACTCTATACTTAGGGAGGCTTCCCTACTAAATACAAATTTAAATTCCTGCTAATGCTTTTACCATTTTTACCACTTGCAGGATACTGCCTGCCCCACCACCCTTCACGCTGACTTCTGCTTTCCTTTCTTCTTCCTGTATCATCTATGCTATCTATTTCTTTAACTTACATGTTTCCTATTAACATGATATACATGCATCAAAAAAAAGGCATTACCAAATTTTGTTGGTCTGATTTACTCAGCACCTTATCAGCTTCTCTTAAAAAGGCATAAAAATCTGCAGGTACCAATCCCCTGAATTTATGTAGTTAGCCAATTTTATCTATCATATTTAATTGTAGTGTTCTGAAATAGGTCCATTCAATTATAATTTTACTTATTTTTTTTCAAATTGCTCTAAATTACTTGTAATTTGTAGTCGTCATCTTAAGAATGTATTGGTTAAAAGTAATTTGTAAATTAAAACTTATTGTGCAGTGTAGTTTGTAGTTGATGACATTAATGGTAGCTATTATAAGGATACATTGAAGAATTTGAAATGCATGTTTAAAATCAAATTGAATAGAATGACAATCTTGCTCAAGAAATAAGCCACATATTCCCAGAACAGGTTATTATAACCACAAATTGGCAAAGATTTCCAATTAAATGTTTGAGACTATGAAAGAAATAACCCATCACATATGACATGACATTTCCTGAAAAATATCACCCATATCCTTAGCTATCTCCTATTATCGGATGATGCAAAATGAGATTTAATTTAAGATTTGGTCTTACTATTTTGGAACTTTAATTTAAGAAATTTTATCTTGATCTTCTTTTCAAAACCTTTGAACCACTCATATTTGAAAGCTTTCAGTAACTTTGGGAAAAAAATCATAAGAAAGCCTGCGAATATTGATAACACATCTTAAGGTCTATTTCATTTCCTATTTTGAGGCAGAAAGACAACTTGTAATATAACTGGATCCACAACTGAGGTACTCTGAACTCTTGGGAAAGCCTGCTCTATTCATTTCAATATGTCAGGGTAGAATAGATATATTTTAGGAGATCACTGGGAAGGATAAAGTATTTTTTCTTTCAAATATCACTGAGATCATAAATATATTGTTAGAAATGCTGTATTTTGACTTTTCTTGATGCTTTAGTGTCATTCAAAATTTATTTTGGCTTTTTCAGATACATGCATATTCTCTGTAACAATATTTCTAAATGACAGCTCATTTTCAACTATGTAAGAATTTTAGGAGTTTTTTATATTGAACTTTGCAATAACATAAATTCGCAATTTACGAAAGATCATCATTTGCTATTGAGTTTTGGCACCACTTCAAATGTTGCCAGTTACTTCAATATAAATATACTTTAATTTTTAAATGTTTTTATCTACAAGGTGACCTTAGAAATACATATATATATATATATATATATATATATATATATATATATTTGACTTTTCAAATATCATGTATTTTTTATATTTTCTAGACAGTGTTGAGTTTAAATATTTTGTCTAATTAAGATAACATGTTTTGAATTTATATTAATAATATGATCAACATGCCTCTAGGTATGTGAGTATTTACTCTCCTGGCACTATTCTTATAAGTTGTGTTGTTTTTAAACTTTATAAACTCTTTTTCATCTGTGCAAATAGACTTTACGATTGTTTTATTTCTCCACTCTCTCTTTAGACGCAGCTTTTCTTTCTTCTTCTCTATCTTTAGTGTCACCAGTTATTTTACTCTTATACAATTTAGAAGATCTAATCAACTTCTTTTCATATAGGAAAAGTTTTTTATAACACTGTGATGATATAAACTTTCCCACAGAAAAAATTAACCTCCATATTAACTGAAGATAACATTAAAATAAGTATTTTTGGTTGGCATTTGGTTTATATCACTTCCCAGATTCTATGATCAAATTTTTATTAATATTACTTTTTGAATCCTCAAACCCATATCATTATTTCTATTTAATTTCTACTTTTTTTTGGCTACTAACGTCAAATTCTTAATCATTATACTCTGCTGCCAACCACTGTTTTTCAAAATTGATTATATATCTCCTTACATTCTGCCTTTCACACTAGGACTAATCTTTGTTTCATAAACATTCTCCTCACTTTCATTTATCCATGTCTGTGCTCAGGTCTTTTCTGTAGCCTTGGATGCTTTCCTCATATTTCTCATATATAAAAATCATTGTCAGTTTTCAAGGCAAAGTTTAAATGCTGTGTCTTCTATGAAGCCTTTCTTGATAATTGAAATTAAAATAAATGTTCTACTTTTTCAAACTGCAGTCATTTATGATAAAAGCACATGGGACCTTGTGCTTGCTGTTTCAGTTCATTGGCACTCTTGCTAGAATTCTGACTCCAACCCAGAGTCAGAAAGAAAGTACAACATAATTTAAAATACTTGGGTTTTTAAGTAATAGTTATCAGGGTTTCAAACCTGGCTCTAGCATTCAATAATGATTTATCTAGGGAATATGAAACCCTACATGCTGGTTATGGAATTAAGTAACATGCACTAGCAGGTATTCACTCACTTGAATTATATTGTTTTTGTTTAAAATTAAATAGCTGCTTTGTTATGCATCATGGGCTAATCTATTAATTTAATTTATTCTTACCTCATGGATTTGGATAATTATAGAATGAAGAAATATGTAATAAGTGACTCTGATTTTGAAAGATGAGCAATTAAAAGCCTTGGAGAAAAGGTGGAGGCTTAGGTATTTCAAAGGGAACTGTTCTATGAATATATAATTAATGAGTTAGAGAAACTGGAGAAAGGGAGGGAGATTGAGTAAACAGTAACAAAGGGAGAAAGTTATGATAATTACATATGAGAAGATGATAATAATGCATTAAGTTGGCCATAACTGATGATCTTGGCTTTTAGAGGAGCTCATTTATTTAAAAAATGGCATGCAGTATGCTGGATATTTTACATAATCTATCATATTTTTTCCAGAAAGAAATTTTGGTCAATTCAGAATGCTGTTGTAATCATTTCTAAGCATATATAAAAACATATTAGCCTTAGAAATACCAGAAAATATGTAGTTTAACTTTGTTGTATTTGACTAGCACTTGAATTAATCTTGATCACAAATTAGTATTTTCAGAAAGCCTGTATGCCTTATGGTGGAATATTTTCAGTAAACATGAATATGAGCTGTTAAAAGCTTTTCTCGGTACACTGAAAGTCAAGAAAGTGCAGAACATTTTTCATGCAATTAACTGCAAATGTTTTGCATTCAATACATAATCCTCTTCCTTATCTGTTTCCTGTGGGTTCTTTCCTTGGTGTTATTTGAAAGGGGAAACATCAGTTTAGTTTGTTAGAACTGCACTTAAAAAAAAAAAAAACAACAACCACAAAAGAGGTGAGTCCATATATACTAAAACACAAAACTTACAAATAAGGGAAAATATACAGACACTAGAGATTGGCCATTGTAGCCTACTCCATGTATTCCAGCTGCAGACTCTGAAGGGATCTCTATGAAATCTGGTAATTGAAGTTTCCAAAACCATTACAGTAGAAGATTAAAATAAAATAAATTAGATTAATTTTAGGGATTTCATTCTGAATCTTTGAGATTTAAATGTTATTTTTATAACTAGAATTAACCAAGTAATATTTTCAGATTAGCAAATTATAAATTAGAGTGGTGTACACTCCTGGAAAGAATTATTTCCTAAGTAAAATGGGATTATTCTTCCTTATATAAATAATCAGGGAAAATAAAATTGGATTTCTCACAAATGATTCTTTGGCATTATGAATCAACTTTAAGCAAAATTGTCATACCCAGTGTGAATTTTCTTAGGGTTCAATATAGAGTATAACACAATGAGACTTGTAAAATAAAAATCTTCGATCATGAGGTTAATACCAGTCATTTGAAAATTATTTTTGTTGGAACTATAGAAAGTTAATCACACTTCTCTAAAACTATTCAATATATGCCGAAATCATGTTTTTAAATTTAAAAAATTACAGTAAAATAGACGTATCATAAAATTTATCATCTTAACCATTTTTAAGTGTATATGTCAATTGTATTAAATATATCCATATTGTACAACTATCAATACTATACATTTTCAGAAATCTGTTCACCTTCAAATGTGAAAATCTATTTATTAAAAAATGACTTTCCATTTCTCCTTCTCCTGTCTCCCGACAACTACCATTCTACTCTGTCTCTCAAATTTTGGGGTACTCTAAACAACTCATATAGGTGGAATCATACAATATTTTTAGCAGTTTTTTTTTTATTGTGGACTTATTACACTTAGCATAATGTCCTCAAGATTCACACATGCCGTAGTATGAGTTCAAACATACTTTCGAGGCTGAATAATATTTTATTTTGTATCGATACCACACTTTGCTTATTCATTAATCTGTTGATGTACACTTGGGTTGCTTAGACCTTTGAGATATTGTAAATTATGCTGCTATGAACATGGGTATACAAATATTTATTTGACACCCTGCTTTCAATTATTTTACATATATATCTAGAAGTGGAATTGCTGGATCATATGGTAATTCTGTTTTTAATTTTATGTCCCCAAACTGCCATACTGTTTTCCACAGTGTCTGCACCATTTTAGTTGTAACTTTAGAAATATTAACACATATAAACATATATACATTTTAACATATGGCAATGCTATAAAGTCTAACCTTTGTTAATATCTTTCTTCAGAAAATTCAAGGACTTCAGAATCTTTTAACTACATTTCCTCTCCTCCTTAATTATATGTCTATTGTTTAGTTGTTTTAATTGTATTAACAACAATCCTTTTTTTATTATTATTATACTTTAAGTTTTAGGGTACATGTGCACAATGTGCAGGTTTGTTACATATGTATACATGTGCTATGCTGGTGTGCTGCACCCATTAACTCGTCATTTAGCATTAGGTATATCACCTAATGCTATCCCTCCCCCCTTCCCCCACCCTACAACAGTCCCCAGTGTGTGATGTTCCCCTTCCTGTGTCCATGTGTTCTCATTGTTCAATTCCCACCTCCTTTGTGGAGACAAGGATGAAGCTGGAAACCATCATTCTCAGCAAACTGTCGCAAGAACAACAATACTTACACAATCATTACTCTTTTACACTTTCAGTTTTGCCATTCATGAGAGATTTTCTTTTATCTAGTGCTAAAATTCAAGATATACAAGTGTTCTTATGTCTTCTCAAAAGCAAAATTATGTTTAGGTTGCCGTTAAATATAATTGAAAACTATATACAAGTGTTCTTATGTCTTCTCAAAAGCAAAATTATGTCTACGTTGCCCTTAAATAGAATTGAAAACTATCGAAGCCACAGTTTTAGGTGTAGGTGAGGGTGTGGAAGGAGTTAGAGGTTCCCTATTACCTTGACTCCTTTGATATATGTTTATACCATATCAAACAGAAAGGTCATACAAACTGAAGTTTAAGTTCATCTGGGTTAGGCAAATGTCATCAGAGCAAATCTTGCTTCAGTGTTTGGTTCACATTCCTATGACTTAGCTTTCTCAGATTTTTGCTTCTAAAGTTTCCTAATTTTCTTGCCAGTTCAACGTATTTTGAAATGTTTATTTTAGTCACACATTTAATTATTTTTATGGTAGGACAATCCACCATCTTGCAGGAAATGGAAGCTTGTTCATTATTTTTGTCTTTTGTTAGTGTTGTAAAGTACAGATGGAAGGAAAATGAAAAAAAGAAAGTTACTTCTTAATATGGAAGCTCTTTTTTTCGAGGGAGGTGGTGAACAGTGCTTCACATTACTGATGAGCAAAATCTACACTTTGAAAAAAATTAAAAAGCAGTAAGACTGAATGATAGACTAGAATAACTTAACTAGTTTGAGTGAAAATATGGCCTTGCTTTCTATTAACATATATTAAGTGCATCTATGCACAAAGCTATTTGTGTACACAAATGGAAATAAGAGCATGAAATACTAATAGCCCAGACTTTTCTTAGATTTGCCTTAGATTTGTAGAGACAACTTAAAGATGCTTTAATTAGCCAGGTGTGGTGGTGCAAGCCTGTAATTCCAGCTATTTGAGAGGCTGAGTCATGAGAATAATTTGAACCTGGGAGGCAGAGGTTACAGTGAGCCAAGATAGCTCTACTGCACTCCAGCCTGGGTGGCAGAGCGAGACTCTGTCTCAAAAAAAAAAAAAAAAAAAAAAAAAAAACAATGTTTTAAATGAGGAGCTCAGTTCGTCATAGGGCATTAAAAAAAACTTAAAATATTTAATAAATATTGTATGTTTTAATTTTTAATTTCATTCCTAATTATTACTCTTTAACTTTAGCAATGTCACTGAACCAATCCCAACTAGGATTTTGTTTCCAAATCTGTAAAGTGACAAAACGCACTATACAAGACAGAGTATTTTGCACTCAGTAGACACTCAAGAGTTTAAACAATATGTGCTCCTCAGAACTACACGAGTTTCATGGAAATGATTTATTTTTGGAGAAACTAGTAGTGTCAATTGTAATTTTTACTGCTAATCAAAGCTATAAAATTTGAACAATTGTAAATATTGAGGTACTATATTGTTTTACAATAGTATCTTTTATTTAAATATTCTAAACTATTCAATGAATTTTATGCATAAGAATTACTCCATCTACCTTTGAGATGTTACATTTATATAACCCACTTTTCCCTGGTCTCTTTAACCTCATTCTTGTGTCTAACTGTAAATGTGCCTGCTGTACAATAAATCTTGATTATCTGTGCTAAAATAGTTGCGCTCTAGGACATGGAATTAAAAAAAAAACTGATCCATCCAGCTAGACTACAGAGAATGTTGATATGTTTCAAACTTAATCCTTATAACAACTAGGTCTAGGTCATGGCCATTTTATCTAAAGTTATACCCCCACCTCCACACCTAGTTTAGTCTTTAATTCAACAAATAATTCTATTACCTTGAAGAGGTAATATACAGTTTTCATTAGTTAATATTTCAAATAAATATTAAAAATATATAGTTTTATTTTCTCTAAAACTCCTTTCATTTCTGTCTTTATGGCCCTTGGACACCCTACTCTTACAATCAAAATGTTTCAGTGCCCTCCAAAATCGCTTATTTAAATTCAGATACTCCTTTTCAACCACAGTGCCAGCTCACAAACTTCTTTCATTTCCTTTAGAGTATGTTGCTCTTCTGCTCAGAAATTAAAATAACATTTTTGGTTCACAATTTTTTTTTTTGGACAGCACTAATTTATGAAATGTTTCATATTGGGCAGATATCTTTATCTCATTAAGTCTTTGTTTTATCATCTCTACAAGAGTGATGATTGTATTTATAGATGCATTACAAATTATTATGAGTCTTCAAAGAATGAGAACATTGATATAAAGTTATGGCTGAATATAGTTATCATTGTTTTTACAGGGTGTCAGTTGAATATTGCCAACAAAACAGAAAAGAAACAATATTTTATTGTTATAAGTATGTGCATGTGATAGGACATATAGTATAAAATATTTTTCTTCGTTAATTTATGATTAACACATAATTGTACATATTTATGGGATACAATATTATGTTTGATATATGTACACATTATGTAATGATCAAATCAGGATAATTAGCATATCCATTATCTTAAACATTTATCATTTTTTTCTAATGAGGTTTTAAAACCTCTCTTCTAGCTTTTTTGAAATCTACAGATATTTCAAAATATGTTTATATTTACAAATATCTGTATATTTCAAAATATCTCTATGTTAACATCATTGTTAACTAGTCATCCTACTATGCAATAGAACATCAGAACTTATTGCTCCTATGAAGCTGGGGTGTTGTAGCAATTGACCAGTTTACCCCCATCTCCCCCTCTTCTCCTTGCTTTCTAATAATCACTATTCTTCTTTCATGAGAATAACTTCTTTGATTCCATATATTAGTGAGATAATGCAGTATATGCGTTTCTGTGCCTGGCATAGCTCACTTAATGTAATATACTCCAGGTTCATTCATATTGTTGCAAATGACAGGAGTTTTTTTATGCCTGAATAGTATTCTACTGTGTATAAATGCCATACTGTCTTTATTCATTCATCAATTAATGGACATTTGGATTGATTCCATATCTTGGATATTGTCAATAGTGCTGCCATAAACTAAAGAATGCAAATCTCTCTCCCACACACTGATTTCATTTCATTCAGATAGTTACCCAGGAGTGGAATTGCTGGATGATATTGTAGTTTGATTTTTAATTTTTTGAGGAACCTCCAAATTTTTTCTACAATTGCTATACTAATGCCAGCAGTATATAAGGGTTCCCTTTTCACCACATCTTTACTTACACTTTTTATTTTTTTATTTTTTATAACAGCCATTCTAACTGGAGTGAGGTGATATCTCATTATTGTTTTGATTTGTGTTTCTCTGATGATTAATAATGTTGAGAATTTTTCCAGATGCCTATTGGCCATTTGTATGTCTTCTTTTGAGAAATGTCTCTTCAAATTTTTTGCCCAGTTTTTAACTGGATTATTTGATTTTTTGCTGTTGAGCTGTTTGAGCTCCTTGTATATTTCGGTTATTAATCCTTTGCCAGGTGGATGGTTTGCAGATATTTTCTCCCATTCTGTGGGTTGTCTCTTCACTTTGTCGGAAGTTTCCTTTGCTGTGCAGAAGCTTTTTACTTTCATGTAATCTTATCTATCTATATTTGCCTTTATTGTCTGTGCTTTTGAGGTTTTATCCAAAACATCCTAACCTAGACCAGTAACATGGAGCTTTTTTCCTATGCTTTTTCTCCTAGTTTCAAGTCTTAAATTTAAATCTTTGATCCATTTTGTGTTGTTTTTGCATATGGTGGGAGATAAATATCTAATTTCATATATCTGCATGATAATATCGTTTTCCCAGTGCCATTTTTTGAAGAAACTGTCCTTTCAGTGTGTTCTTAGCACCTTTGTTAAAAATCAGTTGGCTATAACTACATGGATTTATTTCTGAGCTCTCTCTTCTGTTTCATTGGTCTATGTGTCTGTTCTTATACCAGTATCAGTTTGGGTTAATATATCTTCGTAGTATGCTTTGAAGTCATATAGTGTGATGATTTGTGAAGGATAATTTTTAATATGTAAGTCTTCATAAAATAATATGGTGAATCACATACTAGCTACCTAGGGATATGTTTATATGTTTATTGAAAAGTGTAAATGCATGATATTCTTCTATTATAGATGTTATATAATTGAAAGCCAAAAATCTAAAAAAGAAACATTTTAATGATTTAAGCCTAGGTTCTTGGTTTTATAGCATGGAAAATAAAGAATACAAATGACAAAGTAATTTCTTCAAGTTCATAAAACGAGTTAGTGGCAGACTTGCATAAGTGTAGAATTCTTACTTTCTTCAGGTTTCCATTTTTTTAAAATTAAACATTTATTTTATTTGATGTATAGTGTTTTTTCTTCATTAGATGACTAACTTTTATATGAATGGCAATTTGAAGTACTACCTAATGGAAAAAATAAATTATTTATGATTTTATGTTGATTGTTAAATTTTTTATTAAACCATCAGTTGTATTTTTAAATACCTAGGGGGAAAATAAAAATATTTACTTTATCTAACCCTGTAATTAGAAGAACTGAATCATCTTCCATTTTCCAATTTGCCAGATTTTCACATATATCACATTAATAATTGAATATTGAGACTGAGCCAAATTCAAAGTAGTTAATTTTAGTTGAGTGAATTCAGTGCCATCTGGACTTCTGGCTTTACTGACTTTTAACTGACCTAGTTCTTTCAGAAGTGTCCTCATACTTAATTTATAAAATATTTACTCAAGCCTAAACCAGAATAAGTAAGGCTATTTGACAGAATACTTAATTGCAATTTTATTAAAAATGGAACAAATGAAATAAATGACTGATGCTTAAAAGCTTATTTATTTTCATTGTCAGATAATTATGTCATATAGCAGCCTGATTTCTCAATATTTAATTTATAGCTTTTACTCTCTCCTTTTTCAATCTTTATTGAATATTACTTCTGTATTGCCTATTTGGAGTCTTCTGATTACAATATATTTATTTTACAAAAAGAATGATTACCCTCATCTTCATAGTCACCCCATCCCTATCTGAATTATTTCTTTTCTATAAAACATTGGATTTAAATTATCACTATAAGAGTCATTATATCATTTAATTTATGTTTACATTGATATCAAAGCATTACTGTTTCTACAAAATTTAATTTTAATTACTCTTTGGAGATCATCTTGAGATTATCTTTCCTTTAAATTTTTAAAAAGTTGATTTCCATCTGCTCTATATTCAGAAACTTGGAAAATTAAAATATGTTATCTAATTATAAGAATTATCGTTATGTTTTTATAAGTGTAAAATAAGGCCTTAGCATCCCCCATTCATTTTGAAGGTGATATACCAACTTGTTATAAATGCTAAATTTTAAACTAATATTTTTATCTTTTTGCCGAAGTGAAACACAACTATAAATGTCTATACTTTAAAGATTATTATTATTATCATCATTAATTATGTTTTATAACAAGGACATATAATAGTATTCACTAGACAGAAGCTAAATAAATATTTTCTATATTCTGTGAAAATATTCGCATTCTATTTAAATATATACAGCACTTACCTGAAAGTTATTCTTAATGTAGAGGAACTCTGTAATTCTGTAACTCCTGCCTATTTTCACATTTATGCTCTCAGCAACCCAAAACTAACCTGCAGAAGACATGGGACTTTTAAAATATGAGCAGAAACAAGTAAGCCATGGTGCATGTACTGCATAAAATATTTATGAGGGGATTTTTAAGGAAAGGTTGAATAATTAAGTTGGACAAAGTTAGATCAAATATGAATAATCATGTGTAACTGAGAGGTGTCCAATATTCTGCAGTGAGAGTTCATACAAATCCAAAATTAACATACCGAACAGTTACTACTGGTGCTGCTAGTTTGGATTTTTATTATCATTTTAAATATTTATTGTATTTACTATTAACTAAAAATTATTTTAGTTGTAACTGGGTTTTGATATATTTGTCATAGACATTATCTTTTTAAATCACAGTGTGATACATTTAGAGTTATAGAGGTGTGTTTGACAACTTCTACAACATTCCATCACTTAAAATATATATATATACATTTATATATATATAAAATATATATATAAATTTATGTATATATATACACTTCTTGTCCAAACTCATAAATGTGCAACACCAAGGTGGACTGTAACATACACTGTGGTCTTTGGGGAATAATAATGTGTCATTTGCTTTCAATAATTGTAACAAATGTGCTACCTGGTGGGAGATATTGATAATTTAGGAGGCTGTGCATCTGTGGAGTTTGGGAGTATGTGGATTAACTCTATATTTTTCTCCCAGTTTTGCTTTTAACATAAAAGTACTCAGAAAATAAAGTATGTTAAAAAATGCTTCTATCTATATACAAGTAGTACCAAAACACTTTCAGCAAAGAAATATAGGGAACTATAGACATATAAATTGTATCTATAAATATTTGCTGAAAAAATGTTTTTCTATAACTATATATCTGTTTAAATATTATTTATGATTAAATGATAAATTTTGTCAAATAATGCTTGGTTTTACTGTCCACTTTTTCTCTCAACAAATAACACTTTTGTATAGTTATGTAATCTTTCTCTGTAGTCTTAGAAAACTCTACCTTTAAATGAACACAGAGATAGTTATGTAATTACACAGAAATAGTTTTCTCACCTTGCTTTGTTTTCTCAACAACTTCTTTAATATATCTGTATATTCCAAAACTCTAGAAAACTTTTCAATATTGTATATACTTTAAAAATTTTTATTTCATACATTTTCAGGACATTACATAAAATTGTTTGGAAGGAAGGAAAGAGATAAATGAAGGAATTATGGAATAACAGGAATTAAGAAAGAATGGAAAAAGGAAAAATATGATAAATATAAAACTTTTTCTTTTCACTACAGTTTTCCAAAGTATTTTGACAGGTGAAGTGAAAATATAACACTATTTTCACTGTTCAAAAGGAATTTAGAGGAAATATTAAACACAATTATATTATAAATGGCAGAGATAAAATGAAGTAAAGGGAGGTAATGTTTCTATGGGAACTGGTAAAATATTGACCCCAGTGGACTGTGATAAGATATATATATATATGTATGTGTGTATATATATATATATATATATATATATATATGTATGTGTATATATATACATATATATATGTATATATATGTATATATATATGTATGTGTGTATATATATATGTATGTAAAGCCATCAATAAAATATATACACAGATATAATCAACATTACTATAGATACATAAAAATGGAATTTTAAAAACTATTCAAGTAACTCTTTAAATTTTTTTCAAAGTTTTCAACTTCTTTGCCTTTGCTTTGAATGTCCTCCCGTAGCTCAGAGTAATTTGATCATCTGAAGCCTTCTTCTCTCAGCTCGTCAAAGTCATTCTCCATCCAGCTTTGTTTCGTTGCTGGTGAGGAACTGCGTTCCTTTGGAGGAGGAGAGGTGCTCTGCTTTTTAGAGTTTCCAGTTTTTCTGCTCTGTTTTTTCCCCATCTTTGTGGTTTTATCTACTTTTGGTCTTTGATGATGGTGAAGTACAGATGGGTTTTTGGTGTGGATGTCCTTTCTGCTGGTTAGTTTTCCTTCTAACAGACAGGACCCTCAGCTGCAGGTCTGTTGGACTACCTGGCCGTGTGAGGTGTCAGTCTGCCCCTGCTGGGGGGTGCCTCCCAGTTAGGCTGCTCGGGGGTCAGAGGTCAGGTACCCACTTGAGGAGGCAGTCTGCCCGTTCTCAGATCTCCAGCTGCGTGCTGGGAGAACCACTGCTCTCTTCAAATCTGTCAGACAGGGACATTT
Source organism: Homo sapiens (assembly GCF_000001405.40). Taxonomy (NCBI): domain Eukaryota; kingdom Metazoa; phylum Chordata; class Mammalia; order Primates; family Hominidae; genus Homo; species Homo sapiens. Next base: position 190,300,516 of record NC_000001.11, on the reverse strand, counting down.
AAGTCTGCAGAGGTTACTGCTGTCTTTTTGTTTGTCTGTGCCCTGCCCCCAGAGGTGGAGCCTTAGAAGAATGTATAACTAGAATAACCAATACAGAGAAGTGCTTAAAGGAGCTGATGGAGCTGAAAACCAAGTCTTGAGAACTACGTGAAGAATGCAGAAGCCTCAGGAGCCGATGCGATCAACTGGAAGAAAGGGTATCAGCGATGGAAGATGAAATGAATGAAAGGAAGTGAGAAGGGTAGTTTAGAGAAAAAAGAATAAAAAGAAACAAGCAAAGCCTCCAAGAAATATGGGACTATGTGAAAAGACCAAATCTATGTCTGATTGGTGTACCTGAAAGTGATGGGGAGAATGGAACCAAGTTGGAAAACACTCTGCAGGATATTATCCAGGAGAACTTCCACAATCTAGCAAGGCAGGCCAACATTCAGATTCAGGAAATACAGAGAACGCCACAAAGATACTCCTCGAGAAGGGCAACAACAAGACACATAATTGTCAGATTCACCAAAGTTGAAATGAAGGAAAAAAAGTTAAGGGCAGCCAGAGAGAAGGGTCAGGTTAACCTCAAAGGGAAGCCCATCAGACTAAAAGCAGATGTCTCGGCAGAAACTCTACAAGCCAGAAGAGAGTGGGGCCAATATTCAACATTCTTAAAGAAAAGAATTTTCAACCCAGAATTTCATATCCAGCCAAACTAAGCTTCATAAGTGAAGGAGAAATAAAATACTTTACAGACAAGCAAATGCTGAGAGAATTTGTCACCACCAGGCCTGCCCTAAAAGAGCTCCTGAAGGAAGCGCTAAACATGGAAAGGAACAACAATATGCGGTGGCATATTCTCACTCATAGGTGGGAATTGAACAATGAGAACACATGGACACAGGAAGGGGAACATCACACTCTGGGGACTGTTGTGGGGTGGGGGGAGGGGGGTGGGATAGCATTGGGAGATATACCTAATGCTAGATGACGAGTTAGTGGGTGCAGCGCACCAGCATGGCACATGGATACATATGTAACTAACCTGCACATTGTGCACATGTACCCTAAAACTTAAAGTATAATAATAATAAATAAATAAATATATATATGTTTTAGGAAAAAAAACTATTCAAGTAACTCAAGAGGATAGGAAAAAAGAGAAAGAGAATGGAAAACAGAAACAAAAGAAAGCATTGTACTTAAGTTTTATAATGTTAATCATTACTTTAAATAGAGATGGTATACATACACTAATTAAAATACAGACATTGGTGGAATAGATCAAGAAAACTTAGCTCCTATGTAAGCTGTCTATGAAAAAAACACACTTCAAATATAACAATATAGGTTAGGTAGAAGTAAAGACTGGAAAATGACATAATAGGTAAACATTAATTTCAGAAAAAGAAGTAGTGACTATATTAGTATAAGGTAAAGCAGAATTCAGAGCAAAGAAATCTAACAGAGACAGTCACTTACTATAATGATAAAGGATTAATACAACATGAACACATATTAGCCTTAAATGTGCATGCACCAAACAACTGGGCTGCAGGATATTGTAAGCAAAATTTAATAGAATTGAAGGAAGAACTAAAATAATTCACAACTATTGATGGATATTTCAACACCTCTGTCGTCAGTTGCTAGAACAACTTGATGAAAAGTCAGCAAGGATATAGAGGAACACAACAATGTCAACAAACATGATCTAGTCAATATATATATATAGAACTCTTTAACCAAATGCACAGACATTTTCAGGGCCCCCGGGTCACATGAAATAGAGCATATTAAGAGTCATGAGACAAATCTCAACTAATAATGATCACACAGAGTATATTCTATGACCATAATTCAAGCATACAAGAAAGCAATACTAGAATGACAAGGAAATTTCCAAACACTTGGAAACCAAACCACACACTTCGAAACTTACTATAGGTTAAAGACAAAGTCCCAAGACCAATTTTTTAAAAAACCCAGAAATGAGTAAAAATGAAAACACAAATATCAAAAATTGTGGAACATGATTTAAGCAGTGCTGAGAGAGAAATGTATAGCACAAAAAACTTTCATGTAGAAAAGAAAAAAAAAATCAAACCAATAATATGCTCCCTCCTCAAAGATCTTTAAAAAGCAAAATTAACCCACACAAATGAAGAAAACATAAAGATAATAGCAAAAATCAATGAAGTTGAAAAAAGAGAAACAATAGATTAAATCAATGAACAAAAACCTAGTTCTTTGAAAATAATAACAATAAAAATAAAATTGGCAATATTCTAGCAAGAAAAAAAGACAGTAGACAAATTACCAAAGTCAGAACTCTTAACAGTGGTTAGCACTACACAACTCGTGGATATAAAGAATTAATTAAGAGGATACTTAGGAATACCGTGAAAACTCTATACACTTATATTTGACAACTCATATTAAGCTGACCAATTTCTTAAAAAGCACAAACGACCACAGATTATATCATTGACTAGCCCTATAATTATTGAAAACCTTGTGGTTGCAATTTTAAAAACTCCAAATAAATCTTCAGGCCCAGATGATTTCACTGGAAAATTCTAACAAATATTTGAATAAGAATTAACAATAATTTTACAGACTATTTCCCAGAAAATAACACTTCCAGTTCATTTTTTTTTCAATCTACTGTTACCCTGATAACAAACCAGAAGAAAAAGCATGCACACACACACAGGTACACACACGCACACACACACACACACACACACACGAGAAAACAGAATTCAGCTACATATAAAAGGAATTTACGCCATGACCAGGTGGAGTTTATTCTAGCATTGTAAGTTTGGTTCAACATTTTAAAATTAGAATAATCCATAATATGAACGGTGTAAAGAAGAAAAAATAAAATGATCATACCTGTTCTTCCAGAAAAAAGGCATTTGGTGAAATTCAACATTTATTTATGAGAAAAAAATCTGAGAAAAATAGGAATCAAGGAAAAATTCCTCAACTTCATAAATTGCATCTATGAAATTCCACAGCTGACATTACACTTAATGGTGAAAAATAGTGTTTTCCCATTAAGGTTGTAAACAAGGAGCTTTTCTCTCCACAGTTTTCTTTTAGGAGTTTTATGATTTCAGTTCTTACATTTAAGTCTTTAATCTTTTTTGAGTTTTTTTTTTGTGTATTGTATGAGACAAAGGTCCAATTTTAATCCTTCACTTATGAATATCCAGTTTTCTCAACACTGTTTATTTCCTGATTGTGTGTTCTTCACACCATTGTCAAAAATTAGATAACCATATATGAATAGGTTTATTCTGGCCTCTCTATTATGTGTCTTGTTATACAAGTACCATATTATTTTTATTACTGTAACTTTGTAATGTAGTTTGAAATCAGGAGGTATAAAGTCTCTAGGTTTGCTGGGGTTTTTTTAATATTGTTTCATCTATTTTAAGTCTTTTGTGATTTTACATAAATTTTAGGATTCTCTTTTCTACTTTTGTGAAAAATGCCATTGAAATTTTTACAGGAATTACATTAAATCTGTGGATCATTTTGGATAGCATGAACATTTTAACAATAATAATTCTTCTAATCCATAAACATTGGATAATTTTTCATTTTTTTATGTGTTCTTCAATTTCTTTCATCAGTGCCTTATGATTTCCAGTGTACAAATTTTTTACTTATTTGGTTAAATTTACTCCTAAGCCTTTTATTCTTTTTTATGCTATCGCAAATGGGGTTGTTTTCTTAATTCCTTTTGTGGATAGTTCTTTGTTAGTGTATAGGAATGGTACTGATTTTTGTATGTTGAGTTTGTATCCTACAACTTCACTGACTTTATTTTTTGGTTTAGTGGAGTCTTTAGGGTTTTCTTTGTGTAAGATTACGTCATCTGCAATAGAGACAGTTTAGCTTCCTTTCCAGTTTGGATGTATTTTATTTATTTTTCTTGCCTAAATTCTCTGGCTAGAATTTCCAGTACTATGCTGAATAGAAATGGTGAGTGTGGGCAGCCTTGTGTTGTTCCTGATCTTAAAAAGGAAAAGCTTTTCATTTTTCACCATTGAGTATGTTAGCTGTAGGATTGTCATATATAATCCTTATTATCTTGAGGTACATTTTTTCTATACCTAATATGTTGAGAGTTTTTATCATAAAAGAATGTTGAATTTTGTGAAACCCTTTATCTGCGTCTATTGAGATAATTATATTGATTTTGTCCTTCATTCTGTTAATGAGATGGGTCATATTTATTATCCATGTATATCAAATCATCCTTACATCCCATGTTTTTTTTTAATTTTTAATGTTTGTGGGTACATCCTAGGAATATTAAAGACTTAAATATAACATGAAACTGTAAAACTTCAAGAATAAAATATAGGGGAAAAGATCCTTAAAACTGGTTTTGGCAAAAATTTTTTAAATATAACACCAAAAGCCCAGCCCCCCCCCAAAAAAAAAACCACAAAAGCAAACAAACAAACAAACAAAAATATAGACAAATGAGGAGCCAGATCATGATGGCCAATTAGAAGTTCCCAGTGATTGTTACCTTGCAGGTACATTACATTGAATAACTATACAGATTAAAAATCACATTCAAAAGAACAAAATTAATCACAGTGCCTGATTTTGGTATAATAACCAAAAGAGGGGAATTGAAGACTTTAGAAAGGACAGTACCACATTGTCTAAACCACCCCTTCTTGATACCAGGGAGAGCAGTGTGGAGAGAGAAACTGGCTGCTTGGGGAGGGAAAGGGAAGTGAGTGTGGGAATTTGCATTGGAACTTAGTGCTGGCCCTGCCACAGTGGAATACAACACAGGGCAGGGCCCTCATAGTCCTTGATTCTAGACTGGCGCCCACAGAAGAGGCATTTAGACGTCTCTGCACCAGAGAGGAATCTGCCACCCAAGTAACAGAAACCTGAGTCCCAGCCTGCTTCACCACTACCTGACTACAGTGGCCTCGGGCCCTCAGTAAATTTCAGTGGCAAGCAGGCTGTAGTGACCATGGCTTTGGGCAAGTCCCAGTACTGCACTGGTCTGGGAGGCTGATGGCTTGGGGAGCAACCTAGCATCATGTAAGTTGTGGCAGCCATTAGAGTGCCCAGATCACTCCTCCCCCAACCCCAGGCAGTGCAGTGTGGAGAGAGAATCCCTGTGTTGGGAAAAGAAGAGGGAAGAGTACAGGGGCTTTGCCTAAGACCCAAGTACGAACCCCACCACTTAAAACAACAAAGGACAGAACCAAGTGAGCTGCTTGGCACTTCTAGATCCATCCTGGGCCAGAAGGGAATCCACCATCCTGGCAGAACAAACCGGAGTTCTGGCCCTCTTCTCTACTGGCTGCCTAACGTAGCCTCAGGCCTTGAATAAGTGTCAGTGTCAGTCAGGCAGCAGTGACTACAGGCCTTGACCAAGCCCCTACACTGTGCTGGTCAAAGAGGCTTTGGGTGCAATTCAGTACCTTACAAGCTGCAGAGGCTACTGGTGGCCTGCGTCACCCCTTCTTCAACTACAGAAAGTACAGAGTAGAGAGAGAATCCTTCTGCTTGAGGGAAAGTGGGAGGAGAGCAAAGGACTTTGCCTAGAAACCCAGGGAACTGTCCCATGTCTTTTCCATGTTCAGGTTGGAGGGTTGGTGAGCTAGCAGTTTGCAAGACTTACAACAAACCTAGGGTCAGGGCACCCTTTAGTGCTAAAATGCCAAGAGCAACCACTGGCTTACGGAGCTCAACAGGCAGTCCCCTTTAAACTACTGGAAGACTCTCTGAAGAAGGACAGGTACAAACAAGGCAAGACTGAAATAAATACCTAATTTTTCAATGCCTAGTTATTGATGCATGCCTCCAAGTATCCAAAATATTCAAGGAAATATAACCTAACAAAATTGATTAAATAAAGTGCCAGTCACCAGACCTGGAGAGGTGAGGTTTGCCCTCTCAGCCAGGAACTGAAAATAGCTGTTTTGAGGGCCAGGTGAAGTGGCTCATCCCTATAATCCAAGCTCTTTGAGAGGCCAAGGCAGGAGGATCACTTGAGCCTAAGAGTTAATGACCAGCATGGGCAACAAAGTGAGACCCTATCTCTACAAAAAATTAGTCAGGCATGGTAACACATGCCTGGAGTCTCAGCTACTCAGGAGGCTGAGCTGGGAGGATCACTTGAGACCTGGGAAATCGAGTCTGCAGTGAGCCATGATTGTGCAACTGCAGACTAGTCTAGGCAACAGAGTGAGACCCTGACTCAAAAAAAAAAAAAAGGTATTTTGAGGTACTTCTGATAGCTATAAGATGTTTTTGTAAAGTTAATGACAACCACAATGCCAAAAACTATAATAAATACCCTAAAAGTAAAACTTAAGGAATTAAAAATACCACCAGAGGAAATAACTTAACAGGAAAGGAAAACAGTAAGAAGTGAAGAGAGGAAGAGAGGAGCTACAGAACATCTAGTAACAAAATGGCAGTATCAAGTCCTTACCTACCAATAACAACACTGAATATAAATAGACTAAATGTTCCAATTAAAATTTTGTGGCTGAATGAATTAAAAAAGAACAAAAAGCTAAATCTGACTGTATGGTGCCTACAAACAATCCACTTTACCTATAAAGACATACATAGATTGAAATTGAAGAGGTGGAAATATATATTCTATGAAAATGAAAACCAAAAAAGAGCAGGAGTAGCTATGCTTACATTATATAAAATAGACATTAAATCAAAAACTGTAAAAAGCGTGAGCGAAGTTCACTGTATAATGATAAAAGCATCAATTCAGTAACAGGATATAATGATAGTAAATGTTTGTGTACTAATACCACAACACCCAAATATGTAAAGCAAATTTAATAGATCTCAAGGGAAAGATACACTTCAATGCAATGATAATAGGGGACTTCAAAACCCCATTTTCAGCAATGTTTAGATTATTCAGGCAGAAAACCAACAAGGAAACATCAAAGTTAAACTATGCTCCAGACCAAATGGATCAAGCTGACATTTCCAGAACATTTCACTCAAACTGCTGCAGAATAAACAATCTTCTCATCAACACATGGAATATCTTCAGGATAGATGATATGTAAAGACACAAAACAATTTCAAGAGATTCAAAAAAATTGAAATCATATCAAGTATCTTTTCTGACCATAATGGACTAAAACTAGAAATCAGTAACAAGAGGAATGATGGAAACTGTACAAATACATGGGAATAAAACAACATGCTACTGAATGACTTATGTATTGATAAAAAAATTAAAAAAGAAAAATTTAAAATGTCTTAAAATGCATAAAAAGGAAATCAAAACATAACAATACATATGAAATATAGATAAAGCAGGAATAAGAAGAATATCACAATAAATGCCTAAGACAACAAAAAGACTTCACATAAAAACTTAATGATGCACCTCAAGAAATGTAGAGAAGTAAATGCAAACCAATCCCAAAATTAGTAAAAGAAAAGAAATAGTAAAGATTAGAGCAGAAATAAATGAAAGTGAGATTAAAATATTACAAAAGATCAACAAATCAAAAATAATATTTTTAAAAAGATGAACAAACATTTATCTAGTATAAGAAGGAAGAAGACACATATAAGCAAAATCACAGATAAAAAGAAGACATTACAATAAATAACACAAAAATACAAAAGATTGTTAGAGACTACTATGAATTCCTATATGCTAACAAATTGGAAAACCTAGAAAAAATGGATACATTCTTGGAAAAATACAACTTACCTATACTGAATCACGAATTACATGAAAACCTGAATAAACCAATAGTGAGTACAAAGATTAAAGAAGTACCAAAATTTCTCCCATCAAAAATAGACTTTACTCTTCTGTTTATTTATTTATTTAGAGACAGGATCTTGCTCTGTCACCCAGGCTGAGGTGCAGTGGTGCAATCACAGATCAAGGTAGACTAGACTTCCTGGGCTCAAGTGATTCTCCCTTCCCTTCTCAGCCTCTTGAGTAGATAGGACTACAGGCAAATGCCACCAGAGTAAGCTATTTTTTATTTTTTTGTAGAGAGCAAGCTATGTTGCCCATGCTTCTCTCGAACTCCTGGGCCCAAGCAATCTTCCAGCCTCAGCCTTCCAAAGTTTCAGGATTACAGGCATGAGCGACTGTGCCCAGTTGTCATTTTTTTTATTTTATATTTTTTCTTGTCATGTAGAGTGACTCTTCATAATAAGTTTTACAGTTCATCAGTATTTTAGGTTTGCTGATCACTTCCTTTTCAAGAATACAATATATGGCCATTAACTATAATTGCCATGCTCTACAATGGACCTCTTGAACTTCTTCCTTCTGTCATTTTGTATCATTTGGCCAGCATTTTCCAAACCCTCCCATGGCTCCATATCCCCATCCTCTGGTAGCTACCAGTCTACTCTCTGCTTTTATGGGATCAACTTTTTCAGATTTCACATATGAGAAAGGTCAAGTGGAATTTTTCTTTCTATACCTGGCTTATTTCACTTAACATAATGTCCTCTCCTCCAGGTTCATCCATATTGCCACAAATGACAGTATTTCATTCTTTATTATGGCTGATAAGTACTCCATTGTGTACATATAACACCTTTTAAAATCCATTCTTTCACCAATGGTCACAGGTTGGGTCTATGTCTTGGCTACTGTGAATTATGCTGCAATAAACATGGAAGTGCAGATATCTCTTCAACATATAAATACGTATATATACCCAGTGGTGGGATTGCCAAATCATATGGTAGTTCTATTTTTATTTTTTGAAAAATCTCCAAACTGTTCTCCACAATGGCTGTTTCAATTTACGTTCTCACCAACTGTGTGCAAGGGTTACCTTTTCTCCATATCCTTGCCAAAGTTTGTTAACTTTTGTCTTTTTAATTGTAACTATTCTAGCAGGAGTGAAGTGATATCTCATTGTGGTTTCAATTTGCATTTCCCTGATGATTAGTGATGTTGAATATTTTTTATTAAAATGGTGGCCACTTTTAGATCTTCTTTTGAGAAATATCTATTCAGGTCCTTCTTTCATTTTCAAATCAGGGTATTTTTATTTGTTTTACTTTTTATTATTGATTTATTTTAGCACCTTATATATTTTGGATATGAACCCCTTATTTTCTCCCATTCTGTATATTATTTCCTTTGTTGTTTGGAAGCTTTTAACTTTGTTGTAATCCAATGCATCTATATATGCATTTGTTGTCTGTGCTTGTGTTCTCTGCACCCTGAGCTCAGAGTTTGGACTATACTATATCACCTATTAAAGTAACTGATTATAAACCTCTTTAATCATTCACTTCCTACAATTCATCTTTTAAGAAATGTGAAATACTCTCAAAGGCCCTTTAAGTCCTTCTACCATGTAGAGGTTTACATTCTCTGTTTCCTGGGTAGCTAGTCAGGACAATAAAAGATTAATCTATACTTGGCTTTTTGCTTCTGTTTGATATATATTAGTATTTCTCACATTCCTCCCCATTTAATGGATAAACTTCTCTCAACCTTGTCTGTTTCTTCTCTTTCCTCTCTCTCTCTATACTCCATATCTTTTTCTGTCTCTCCCATGCATCCTCCATGCTTCCCACAAATACACACACACACACGTGCACACACACACACAAACACTCACAGATATACATTACCAGTAACAGCCACCTTTCAATCAAAGTTGCTATCAATCTGTAAATGAGTTAATGTCATTAAGTTTGAGGTCTCACCCCCTAGATTCAAATTCTTGCTAGATATACAGCCTCGGAGAATTTATTTCTAACAATCTTCTCTCATTTATCACAAGGAGATAAAAAGAGCACACACCTCAGTGCCATAGTTTAAAATTCATAGGTTGATCGCTTAGAAACAAGTCTAATTAAATTATCATTTCAATTTCAATGATGAAGTAAAAGTTATCTGGCAGAAAATGTTTAATGAACACTAGTATGAAAGTTGTTTTTGCCTACCAAACGTATAAACTTATTGACTGCTAATCAGTGAAAAATTACATTTTAAAGTTTATAGGAGAAAACTAGTCAAATATATTTATTTCGCCCATAAAAGATGAAAACTGAATTTGTCTATATCAATGTGCTTCCCCTGCCTTATGGCTGGCATAGATTAGAGAAATTAAAAATCTTTTTATAGCTGAAATATCTGGATTGCTGTTCTCAAAGTGTATTAACCGTAAGATGCTTGGAGTACCACAACTATACATTTTACTGCCCTAGCAGGAAATGATAGCATATTTCTAAACTTCCAAACATATATTTTAGATATCAGTGGGAGTAGGTTTTTACATACGGTTAGTGTTTCTCAGTTTAGAGCAAATAGTTAACTTTTAATTTGCCCTAGTCACATGAACACTCAAAGAGGATAATTGAGAAATATATTCCTCTACTGAGTTTGATTTTCTGTGAACTTTAGTCAGGGTGTATACTAACTAGTAGGAAACCTCATTCTTTTTCATACTTAGGTAGCTATTTCATTTTAGCTCACATGAGAATATTTACTCATTTCATGATTCCGAGTGTATTTAATGAGTGACTACTATGGGTCATTCATTTGAGTCTTAAAAATACAATGGTTATAAGAAAAAATAATTCACATCTACATGAAACATGAATCAAAGAGTGACACAAGTAAGTTCACAGAAGGAAAAGAAAATTGTGCCACGAGTGCATATAACAAGAGGACCTGAATTAATTGGAGACAGGTATGGTAGAGCAGAAAAGATGGCAGTTCCCACATATTGTTAGTGTCTTTGAAGTTCATATGAAGCAGGTAATATTTAAGAAGTTTATATTATATAAATCCCCAAAAGAAGATGGTAAGACCAAGTGCTTGCTAGATAACAAGTTTCAATTTGTAATCCATACAAGACAGTGGTATCCACAGAAAGATGAAATTACCTGTTAATATTTTATAAAGTGTTTGTGTGTAAAATTGTATTCTAACAATCAAGCCTGATTCATACTGAAAGGTTATAATTTGGGGAATAAAAAATTTATACCTTGTAAACTTAAGTTTATACTTTTTCTGAAAATTTATTTTGTCACAAAGTACCATATTCAGTCTCCCTATCTGATGTATATATGAAAGACATAAAATTAAGAGCATGTTGAAATAAATTATTTGTATATTAAAGCCTATGACCTGCAGCAACACATTTTCATTTGCCTCAACTATGTGGGAAAAATCATCTAACATTTTAAAAGGAATTCCCTTTAAGACATTTTAAGACATATTTCAGGAAAAATGTAAATTCTACTGAATTGAGTTATTATTCAAAACTCATCTTTATTATGAAAAATTTTCTTTAAAAGATGGGCAATTTATATTTATTGTCACTAGAAATGCAGTTATTCTTTAAAAAATCCTTCATTTTGCCTTCTTACTTCATGTAACTTGAAATGAAGCAATATGTGAAGTTGTAATTTATTGTAATCTCAGATATATAATTGGTTAGTTACCTTCACATAATCCATGGTTTAAAAAAAAATCCAATGTTTAATTTAAGGTAGATGTTGTATCATCATAAAGAAATCTCAGTGGAAATGTTGCCTAAATAATTGAAGAAATTGTCAGCAAACATTATTTTTTCATTAACAGATATCTATTTCACATTTACCTATCTTTATGAGCATTAAACTTATTAGTCTATACCTGGAACAACACTGGTGTGGTGCATATTCTTTAAGTGATTTTATTTATAAATTCTTTTGTAAATTTTTACTTATTAATTCCACAAAATCGCATTACCTTAATCAATAATATTTATACATTTTTAAAAATTAACATCCTGGCACAAAAAACCCACTTCACAAATTTACATGTACCAAAAATTACTAAGAAGTAATCCATGTTATCTGTACTACTGTAGTTAAGTTTTACAAATTTTACTTCAAAATGTCTCCTGTATCAGTTTTATTACACCCATGATCATAGATGAGGTGTGTTTATATCACCGAGGTTATGAACTTGCAAAAATTCTGAAAGCTTTACATTTTGTGAATTAAATTGGTGAGTATAGGATTTGAAACTTCAGTTGTTTCACTCCAAATTCCATTTCCTTTTAAAAATTAAAATTCCCTATCTAAAATAATAAAATATATTCACAAATGCAAATATTTATATCTATTAATGAAGATAATGAATTACTTCTGTAAGTATAAATGCTAAAATAAAAACATTCCATGTATCTCTTTTTATCAGAAACAGACTAAATATTTTATTTTATTTTATTTTAGCTCAGATATGTCTATGCCTCTTGACTTGTCTACACTTATCAATAGTTACCTAATCTGTATTATTATATGAATGTAATTAAGGAGTAATTTTGATAAGTTGATATAATATTTGTGATAGAAATTAAACTATACTTTCAAACTTTAGAAAGCAAAATTTAAGCAAAATTCTTACATATTTTCCTTTATTCAAATGAGAAGATCATTAACAGCATGTTTGTATGTTTTTACAGAAAGCTTTTGCTAACAAGTGTTCAAAATGTGATTTAATTTAAACAAGCTTAATCAATTTCTGTATTATCATATATACCTGCATTTGTGTTGTATTTCTCTTAGTTTGCATAAAACCCTATTAAGCTATGAAAGTGATTTAAAACTATGTAACATAAAATTAAATTATTTTCAGTAATTTCAAAGCCCTAAAATATAACATATTTTAAAAATCTGAAGTGTGCATAACTAGCCATAAACCAGACCATCCTTTAAAAATTTCTCAATAGCCCCACCTTCATCTTTTTTGTTTCAATGATAGTCATGAGGTTACAGCTACAATTAATTCTTGTTGTTCTACTGAGATGGCAATTGTTTTTGTTGCAGTCATGCCAATTGTCTTCTGTAGTCTACTTTGAGTTTGGCAGCTTTTTCAAAATACAACAGTCATTAATCAGTGCTTATCAGAAATCCTACATATAAACACTTTACATAAGTTGTATTTGTGATTGGACTTTTATCCCCAGTATTTTATTGGAATAGATTCATTCTGCTAAATTTCCAGCATCATCCAAAAATTTTTCCCAAGCTTAAAAAAAAAATTAAACTCTACTACTATTAAATTTATTTTAAAAAGTTTGATGTATCAAGGGGCTAAAGGGAGAGTGGACTTTTTTATCTTGCCAATTGCTGAGCATTTAGCTGTTTTATAAACACTAGCTTCAGTGGTACAGGCATCCAGGCCATTTAAAACATTTTCCTTTTACCAGCCAAATGGAAAACAGTGTCATTTGTGAGATGTTGAAGCTATATGGTAAGAATGTTTTTGTTTTTGTTTTTTGAGATGGAGTCTCGCTCTGCGGCCCAGGCTGGGGTACAGTGGCACAATTTTGGCTCACTGCAACCTCTGCCTCCCAGGTCAAGTGATCCTCCTGCCTCAGCCTCCTGAGTAGCTGGGATTACAGGCACACACCACCACAGTCGGCTATTTTTTTTTTCTTTTTTTTTTTAGTAGAGACAGGGTTTCACCATGTTGGCCAGGCTGGTCTCGAACTCCTGACCTGAAGTGATCCGTCCGCCTCAGCCTCCCAAAGTGCTTGGATTACAGGCATGAGCCACTGTGCCCAGCCAGTAAAAATGCTTTTAAAGTCAATTTTATATATCACAGTTTCTCAATAAAATTATGGGGAGCCAATATTGACATTAGTGCCATTTCTTAAGATCCATATGATTTTACAGATGTAATTAGAATGTTATCGTTATTAAAGTTTGGCAAGTTAATTTGTGATTTTTGTTTTGAATTTGTTCCAGTAGACATGAATGCTTAGGTAATATATTTATTTTAAGATTCTATTGTGTCTGAAAATTTTAATGGTTATTGATAAAATTACTAGCCAACAAATATAGTAATGTGAAAAGTAATGTAATAATAGCATTTAGGACTTTAGACAACTTCATTTAATGGAAATTAACAGTTAAAGGTAAATCTTTTCAGCTACTGCATCATCTGCTTTTGTCAATATATTTTGGGTTTCTTTTTCATTGGTATTTAATCCAAAATTTCTAATATGAAGAGTGGCAAATTCTGTGTTTTGGGAAAGCCAAACATATGTGTGTACTTTTAAAGAAATCATGACAGTTAATATCTTTTAAATATACTGAGTACATTTGTGTATTTGTATATATTTAAATGCTAATAAGAAAGGTTAATGGCAATGTGGCAATTATGTGACCAGCATTTAACTGAAATTTGATGATGTCATTCTTATTTTCTAGCCTTTTTATGAGCTGAGTAGGGATAAAATTATAATAAACATTGTAGAAAAATTAACGTTGTATGGACATACATAGTAGATGATTGCACATCAGAGTTTTTAGCAGACAAACATAAAACTCTAATAAACAAATAGAGGCTCCTTAGAGTATGATCCCCAAAAATATTTTCAAAGTAATGTTCTGGTTAAACTGGTTACAGCCCATATGTGTGTTCTATATCACAGTGGTGTCTTGAAAAGGACTGAGTTACATTAAACTAACGATTGTGCCTATTTAATTGAAAGACTTGCAAACGTTATGATGGGAAGATAGTTACGTTCTGTGAAGGCTCCAAGTAGAATACAACACTTAGTTAGATACAACAATGTTCTTATTTAATATAAACATAAAGCATCTGGATGAAATCCTGAGATGCCTTAGGTAAAATGTTCTCATTATGGTAATTACATCCAACAGCATGTTTTTAATTCAGCGCTCCATTGCTTTGTTTTTCCAACATTTAATGAATGCATGATCTAGTTGTAACTGAGGTGAATCTTGTCTTCAGGAAACAAGGAAAAAAAAAACAAACCCTCACCCCTTAGATTCCAATTTATATACAGACATTAGCTCCTTATTACCTTCCTAAGATTTCCCAGAGTCAAAAAACTTTACATCAATAATGATATACTAGATTATACTACTAGAAAATAAGCAAATCAAATAATCCCATAATCTTTGCTGGAGGGCAGTGGCATGATCTCGGTTCACTGCCACCTCCGCCTCCTGGGTTCAAGTGATTCTCCCACCTCAGCCTCCCATAATCTTGATGACTTTACATGACAAAATTTACTTTCAGTTCATTCACTTGTTCATCCTGTTAAGCGTTAGGGATATATGTGGACCATAGCAATTCTGATTATAGTTGCTAATCAATGTCCGGGCTTATGGACCAGGTTATACATACATGCTCACAATTCATCTGTCAAAGTAAGCCACATGGCCACGGTGACTTAAAATGTCATCAGTAATGTCTTATCTTGTATTCGGGAAAAAGGGACACTGGGAATTTCGATTCATATCTAATGTTTACTACTCACAGTGTGGTTCTCCAGAGATGACTGTCTTTACTTAAAGCGCTCTTATCACCACTTCTTAGGATTATTTTGTTGTTTTATCTCAGTTTCCAGAAAAACTTTATAAAGATTATAACAGTGATCATATTTCACGACAGTACAAACCAAATGTGGAGAGGAAATAAGAGCTCTCTTAGATTTCAATTTGAAATTTATGTTGTCTACACAAACTAACCTTGTTGGATATACAAAATGGTGTAGTATTTTGCTTTATTCTTTTGGATATACACAATGGTGTAGTATTTTGCTTTATTCTTTATATGAAAATATGGGGAGAAAACTGGAAGATTAAGTTTCTTGAAATTAAGAAAATATTTTTCTTTAGTTATTAACAATAACTATAATTATTTAGTTATTTAATTAGTTTTAGTTTGGTGATATCCCCAAAGAGTTTCTTTCTTTTTGTTTTTTGCATGACAGAGATAATAGATTAATAGATGGGGTGTCAAAGTGTTTTATCATTTGAAATATTAGAAGGTGAAGTGAGACTACAAATTTAACATATTGAGTGAGTAAAAAGTACCTGATAGCTGAAGGAAGCTCTCTGGAAAGTTGTCCAGGAAGCCTTCTTAGGCTATTCAGAGAAAACATATCCAAAGTGAGTTGGATTAGATCCATTCATATCAAAGAACAATGATAAATGGGTAGAGGAGTTGGGCTAACTAAGCTACTATACAATTGTATTTTTACACAGAAAAATACTCTAAAGCCTTTGAATGGCAATTTATTCATTCATATTTTATCTTTGTATAATTTTTGAGCCCTCGAGGTCATAGATTTTCTTATGTTCATCTGTATTGCCAGCAACATGGACAATAATATTAGTTGATAATAAAGAGTAAACAATATTTTCTTTGAATAGCTGATTCTACAGTATTATAGAGCCTTATAAATTGATTTCATAAGATACATAATTTGTTTTAGTTGTTTTGTAATATGTCTATTGTTCTTATTTAAGAGGAACAAAATGAAGGAAGTCATAAATACATCAGGTCAGAATAGATCATGGATTTATATTTGCATATTTACTAATTGTTAAAAAACATAGAATTGCACTTTTCTAGCATGTGTTTACTCTCAGTCATGTATCGAAAATCTTTCAGCATTTTAGAAAGCATTTATACAGGATATAAAATATTACCATTGAATCAATCATCTTGGATTTTTTAGTCTAATTATTTCACTTAGATTGTATCTTAATCTATAAATACATTTGAGTTAACAAATTTAGCACTGTAAACCACTGAAAAATACATGTCACAGCTTTAAGGTCAAGTTATGTTACTCTATTGATTAAATTACAAGCATTTTTCAGGAGTTAAAAAATTAAATGTTTGAGCATAAGCCTATAAATTTTGGAATTAATGAGCAACTATTATTTTGATCATGGTATAAAAATAACTTCTTAGAAGTTTTGTATTACTATATATCCTGAGATATATCATCAAATTTAGGACTTAAATATTTGATTTCAAATGATCTTTTGTCAATGTTTAAATTTTTATTTATATATCCTATATTTAATATTATATATTTTATATATTATACATATACATACATTATGTACCTACAATTCAGATTTAAGTAAATTTATTGTAGAAGTGACTAACATAAAAATTTATTGATATCAACTTAGGTTTGGAAAGATAAAGACATTCTTACTCTATTTTGAGGGAACATTATAATAAATTCAGCCTATAAAAGCCCTATATTTACTGAAAAGATGACACTTTGAAGAGATCTGAAAGACAATATAGCAAATTATGTAGATCGGTTGTTTTATTCAAAGTATGGTCACCAGAAGAGCAGCACTAGCATGTCTGTTTAAAATGCAGATTCTAACTCCTATCTAATACCTAATGAATCAGAATCTCTGTTGTGAAGTTTCCAGGTGATTCTGATAGGTGCTGAAGTTTGAGAACCCTTCGAGGAAAAACACTAATTAAAACTTTAGATGAGCTGATTCTTACAGGAGATAGCAAGAATTTCTCAAAGATGAAAGAATTTCTAATTTATGTTCAGGCCAAAGTCTTCCCTAGATTCAAAAGTGATTCTGATCATATAATTAGTGACAAAAATGGGCTGTTTGTCAAATATGTGCCACAAGTACTAAATATCCATAGTTAGAAACTGTCAGTGTCATGTCCCTTTGTCCTGGAAGTATGTACACTGTTCCTCATTATTCTGCTTCAGTCCTTTTCCTGCCTCCTTGCACCAAGCAATTTATTATTATTTTTTCACATATTGCCTAATTGTTGTCTCGGCAGAGTTACCCTCCTTGGCCATGTAATGTAAAATATGGCCACACTTCATATAGTCATATTTCTCATCAAAGTGGTCTGTATGTGTATCTCTCAGTACATATCAGAATTTAAAACTTTAAAAAATTTAATTTTCTGTCTTTATTTTATTTATTCCTAAACATTTCTCCAAAAGGAGAAGGCTACTTGCAGATGGACAGTGTGGGTCTCATCAGTAGATGAATCTCTTATCATGCACTGATCCTGGCACATAGCAAGCATTTTTTGGAGAAAAATAGAAATAAAGATTGCACATGTGTATAAAGTGTTTAATTAACATTTTATTTGATTATTTTATAAATATGAATTAACACACTTTGAAGTATTAAGCCTAATGAAGAGTGTTCTTCCCTGTGGGTGATATTTGAGAATTTTATTGGACCACTTCTCAGAAAAATTATCAGATGCAGTTTGCTATAATTCTTTTCTAATTTATTATCAGATTGATTTTATCTCAATGTAAATGTATACATTCTTTAAAAAATGTATAAATCTTTTATAGACATATCTTTCATTTTTCTAACTTGGCCAAATTCATCCATAAAATCACTTTGCATCTTGAGAAATTGCAATAGCTGAATTTGGGTTTCCAAATATGTTGTAAACCATGATTATTAAAAAAAAAAAGAAGAAAACTGATTTCTTTTTTGTTGTTTTTAAAGTTCTGCGTCTCCTTAATATTCCTGAGGTTTTTTATGTTCCCACTCTAAAGTGAATAGAGAAAGGGAATCATTAGGGTGATGAATATAAATCATTCTTTTTTTCCAATATACCTTAGAAAATGAAAAAAATTGCCCTTAAGTTGTTTTGTTACTGTTTAGTAACTCTATATTCATATTCTAGGCATAATAAAGTCGTTTTTATGAAAATATATTTTCTTGGGGAAAAAAATCTCAGTGGAAGCTGTACACTTTAGGTGGCTTATTTTTCCTTTACATGACTTGGTTTTAGAGTATTCACTCCAGTTAAATAAATTATAAATATTGCTTCTCCTACTCATAGCACACAACCTAGTATTACAAGCAAGAGACATTGTAATGTACTGACCCCAGCTACCAAGTGAACTCAAATGAAAACATTCAGATAGATTATGCATTTATGAATAAAAATAAATTTGCTTTTCAGGGAGTTTGGCCGCTGGAAAGTAAATAACCTTGCAGTTGAGAGAAGAAATTTCCTTGGCTCTCCTCTGCCTCTTGCCCCTGAATTCTTCCGCAACATAAGACTTTTGGGACGTCGACCTACCCTTCAGCAAATCACAGAAAACCTTATCAAGAAATATGGGACACATTTCTTGCTATCTGCTACTCTGGGAGGTACGGCTCTTTGAACCTATTTGTGCCTGTGTGTGCTTGTGCCTAAAACCGTATAAATCGCAGAAAAGTGTTAATTAATCAAGATAGCTACAGTATGAATAGTTATAGAACTCATTCATTCATTTACCCAACACATTTTGAGTGATTATTAAATGTCCCACACAGTGTTCACAGTTGTGAAGCAGATGAATATTACTAAGTTTCTGCATGAAAGCTATTTACAATCTAATAACATACAAATATTTGACATAATTGTTGCACTCTGTAAGGTGATATGGAAACTTTTATTTAAAATACATGAATAATAAGAAGTCACAGGTGGGGTCATCAATTCTAGTTATAGAGAGAAGGAAAGATTTCTTTGAGTACATATTAAATAACTACAATTACATTGTTAGCACCATTTTAGTGTTTCTGATTGTAGTTGATACAGATTGTAGCTGGTACGGAAAAAGTGATAAACAAATAATTATGATGCATAATAAGAAAGTAGAAATGAATAAATGTCACTTTCTTTGTATATGTAAATGTATACATTTGTAAAAATTAAGGAAGCTATTGTGTGATATTGTTAAATACTATTTAGCCTTAAAAATATGGCTTTTTCATAGTGATGTGTGATTCAGCATTTTGAATATACTTAAATGACCTTTTAGGAGATAATGTGTAATAAGCAACATATGACATTTTCCTAAAATTAAAAAATATCCCAGAATTACATATATTTAATTTTGTGTTTGACTTCAAATCATGTCCCACAATTGCATTTAGAAATAGATGTTACTTTTTCTTATAATGAAGAACACTGTATAAAATTGAATAGGAAAGCCAGGAAAAGAGTGAATCCCTGCTTTCTTGTCAGTTTCTTAATGGGTTTACCAAAGATAGCCGGACTGATTCGCAGCAATGGTATGGTGTCACAAAAGGCAGCTTGTTCATTTTCTAGCCTTAGAGGATGTCTTGTCTTTCCTTAACCTGCCAGCCCAGTCTTTCAGCAAGTCATGTCAATTTTTTACACCAGAATATACCCCATATCAAACTCTTTCCTCACCTGCTCTCCAGCATCTCTAGACCAAGACATCATCATTTTTTTTTTCCTACAATACTCAAATGGTCCCTTCTCCACACAGCTCTTTTAAAATCTTGGATCAGTTCATATTCACTGTTTTAACTGAAACCTAGAACTGGCCACTTAAAATAAAATCTAAGTGTCTCCCTGTGGTTTATAAAGCCTTACATCAATGATCTGTGAATGCTAGCTTTAAACTCAGGCCTCTTCTCATTTCTTCCTCATGCTCTATTTTTCAGTCACAGTCACAATGATGTTCACATTTTTCTACCCAAATGTTATTTTTTCAGGGAGGCCTTTTCCTGACTACTCTTTCATCAATAGTGCCCAGTGAACCCCATTGTTCTCTACTATTTCATGATCACATTTGCATTTATCACAGTATTTATTATCATGTGAAATTATTTTAATTATTTGGCTATTGGTTTATTATCTGTAGTTCTTGCATATTTTCTTAAAAACAAGGGCCTTAGCTATATTGGTCACCACTTCATCCCCATGGCTATAATTGCCCTTCATTTACAGTAGGTTCTCATTAACTGTTTGTTAAATGAATAAACAAGTAAAACTACACTTTCTTAGGAGATTGAGGTCATCCAAATAACTAGATATATGTAAACATTTATAATATAAACAGAGGATAATTGAGTTATAATTCAGGAATAATTCTGAATGCAAGCAAATCCAGAGAGCCAACTGGGTCAAATTCACAAATAAAGATTCAGAATTGATGAGAATCAGTACCCAAGTAAGAGTAGATAAGGAAGGCATGAACAGGTTGAAAAAGGAGTGGATGCCTGAGCACATTGTGGAAAATAACTCCGGCATGGAATCTCAAGACATTAAAGGTGAAAAATATAGGCGGCTAAGGCAGATGGAAAAGTCTGGCTGTAAATACACACTATTTCTCCATTACCTTGTTCCACAAATGAATAGTGATAAAATAAGAAGAGAAAGAGATCAGCCATATCCTTGTTGAATCCTGATTCTCCCTCCCCGTCTTTTAGGCAACTGTGAGACTTTAAAATCTATTAAGTAATTCCTCTGCATTTTAATTATTTAACAGAAAAGGGGAGAATAACACCTATGTGATGGGACATAGAAAGGTTAGTATAAATGTTGAAAACTGTGCTTAGCACAGTGTGTGGTATAATTTAAGTATGTGATGCATTGAAGTTGTTTTCATTATGTTAGTGTAGATAGCCAAAAATATAAAATATTTTAATAATTGTGAAGATTGATTCTGTGAAAGCTGTGTCTATTTGGCTTAGTAATGTCAATTATTATTAATGCAATAAAATCTGAAAGGTAAAATTTGAGTTATTTCTATAACTCCTCCTCTGAAAAAGTTCAGTGATTTTGAAACACATACTTCATTATTATTATATAAGTGATTCAAAGCACCTGTAAGTATTTCAGAAGATAAAATATATTTTTCCAGATAAGAAAAGAAGGAAAAGACAGAGGAAAGACAGAAGAGATCAAAAACACCAATGGTTCCATAGACATTCTTGTTCCTTAGTTCCAAAATTATGGTGACTTTTAAATTTAATTGTTTTACTATGTTGATATGGTGGATGCCACATTTTGGCCTTAAGATTCGTTTTTGTTTTGCATGTTTTTTTTTTGTATACACCATGTTTCAAAATTTGTAAGATTATTCACTTGAGGTTGATTCTTCCAGTGATGGCAGTATGCTCTCTCTAAATGATTTTACTTCAGTTTTTTGAAAGTTTTGTTCAAGTATTGCCTTAAAGGGGGAAAGAGATGGAATTAACAACCTTACTCAGTTTCTAATCTCTGAATATTCCTTGGATTGAGTTTTCATAGTTTTTTGTGCTGGAATTATTTTTCTTCTCAAAATATTACTTTATTTTCCTGCGGGAATTTTTGTTCATTAAAGTTAATAATTCAGTTAAGATGCATGAAATTATTTAAATAGCTTAAGGATATAAGATATCTGCGATTAAAATGTATACCAGAAATGATTTTGGCAATTTTAAAATTATTGCTATTGTACTTACACTAAAATCTTTTTAGTGGCTGTGAGTTTATCATTTAACCTTCACTGTTTTACCTGATTGAACATGAAATTGTATTTCTCCATTTAAAAAAAATGGAGGTTTGTGGCATTTAAATTGAACTAATCCCTCCACTTCTTTCTCTTAATTAATGAAGACCAAGGAAAAACTTATAACACTAGGGTGTAATGTATATAAGCAAACCTTTTTAACAAAAAGCCAGTTGTATTATGACTAGGTGCTTCCTAAGTACCTAAATCTTCAAAAAAATTTCAATGCTTTTCAAAACAAGTTGACTATAAAATACTCACTATCAGTTTTACAGTCATAAAAAGAAATACATGAAAAATGGCTTTTTCCCCTAAGAGTTATTTAGTATATCATATTATTGATGTAGACATAAAACTTTGGGTACCATACTTGAAGCCTTTAATGGGATATTTTATGACAGATAAAGCCAGTGATTGAATTATCATTCTATCTATAGAGAAAAATAAATTATAAAAAACATTCTTCAATATATATTATTTTCCCCATTTATTTCATTTTATAGCTACCAGACTGTTTATCGATATAGTAATTCAGTTTGCTTCTATTTTGGATAATGATATCTAAATTCCATCACTGTTTGAATATCTAAAATAAGCTACTCAATTGAAAGAATCAATCTTGAAAAAGACTGCACTTCTGGGAAATATTGATTTCTAGCTATGGAATATATTTAATGACCATTTTTGTAATACCTTTATTATAATTCAATATATGACAAATACTAAAATTAAAGTGTATCTGTGTACTGAATACAAAATACAAAATATAAGTGAATATGACAAAAAATAATGACTTTAAAATTGGTGGGCTTTAATTAGGGGGAGAAAGAGAGTTTACTATAATGCAACAAAACTGTGTTCTGGATCAATTTTAAAAGACAAAACACTAAGGAACATAGAGACCAAAATATTCATTAAAAATGTATTAAATGTTATAACAAAATATTTATAGAAATTTTAAATGTGCCCTTATCCGCATCTCCTGAATTATATAGCGTTATCCAACCAGTCATAGTAGCCAGGAAACCTGTGAGTTCCTCCGCTAGTACTCTTGTCTCTCTCAGCTCTAAGGCAGTGAGGAGCAGAACAAAGCCTGTGATCTCCTGACAAGCACATCCACAAAAGGAGGAAGAGTAAGAGGTGGAGTTTTCATGGGCAGCCTCTTTCCTACACTATGCCTTTCTGTTAACTCACTGCAGCTCTGTGGGCCATCAGACACATGTTAACAGTGAGGATTGTTTACAAAAAACAATTTCTCATGTAGAGGAATGCAGGGAAAAAGTTTTCTTTTCTGAATATAAATATATATATATATATATATATATATATATAAAACCAAAATTTATTTCAGGATCAAATAGACAATATAATAAGATTTGTTAATTTAGAAAAACTTTGAAGAATAGTTTTTATTCTAGGCATCATAAAAGCAAGTTCAGTTTGACCACTGTTATTGAATGTACAATTTAAAAAGCTATAATTAAATTATTAGCAGAAATAGTTACAATATACTTTTTTCATTTGCAAGTCCTTTTAATTTTTTTTCTGAAAGTATTTCTTAAGATAATATACATTTTGATTACTCTATGGCTAAACTTAAGCATTTTTTAGATATTTAATTTTGTTTCAATACAAAAAAAATTCTCTTCATTGTTGGAATAAAAAATTCATGATCAATGTGCAAAAATAGTATTAACTTCATACAATAGTGATTTAAAACAATGTATGCTACCTCAATTCTCATGTAGTATATATATATGTGTGTGTGTGTGTATGTGTGTGTGTGTATGTAAAACTATGCCTCCAATGTAGTTCACTTATCTAAAAAGTTTTACAAAATATTGTGTGTGTGTGTGTGTGTGTGTCTTTTAAAGAAAGTGTAAGTCAGAAGTTAGTAAGATACAATATGGATAAAATATCAATTATAATTTTTTGGGTTATTTGCATTCCCATAAGAATAAGAACTCTGAATATGCTCATTTAATTTCAGAAATAGTCAATTCTCACTTTTCACTATGTGAATTATGTTCTGTATAAAGTATTCAGACAGTTTTTAATTATTTGTCATATGCCACCTTCTTTCAAAGTTGGTTAACTGCTGTGGTTCTCATTTTCACTTGGTCTGTTAGGAAGAACAAATTTATTTCATTTTAGTTTATAACATAATAAAGTTAATCCACCAAATACACACACATAAATAATTTATTTCTTAAAGAAATATGAATAATTACTTGAGATGCATAGAATTACTTTCTCTCAGAATATATATTGTTTTAAAAGAAAGAAAAATAAATATTTTTGAAGATTCCTATCCTAGGAAATAATCAAAATAAATGTCATTGAAGGGAGAAAAGGACTGCTGTACTGATATTTATTAAAATTAATCTTAAGATCACTGATATTTCTTAAGATTATATCAGTTTCTCTGTCTCATTCTCTTTCTGTCTCTCTCTCTCTATATATATATATATCATGTTTCACTGGTAAATAAAATAAAATATCTGAAGTTAAAGCAATATTGTTAATCTTTTTTTAATTGTTTACAAGGCAGTTATCTACTAAAGCAATTTTAAAAATCACTTATGTAAATAATAAGAATAAACAAGAGCAAAATGTAATTAAAATTTCTGTGTCAGTTGATCTTAGTAAAGGTGTTCGTGGCAACCAAGGTAAAAGATAAATGTTAAGTTCTAGAACATTGGACATTTTATTATATTTTTTCTGGTTCTTTTATATAGCACATTGATAAGGTAGATAAATTACTTGTCTACTTTTTTGACAAATATATACTGAGTTACTTATGACGGTGCAAAACACCCAAGATCTTCCTTAAATGAACATTCAGGTCAATGATAAAGACAGACATTTAACTTGGTAATAAATGTTATTATGGTTTAGAACCTCATTACTTGTGTGTGGTCCATGAACGAAAAGCATCAGCATCAGTTTGGTGCTTGTTAGAAATGCAGAATCTCAAATTCCACCACAGATTAATGAATCAGAATCTACATTTTAACAGGATCTCCAGGTGATTTATATGCACATTAAGTTAAGACAACACTGTTTAAAGTATCTGTATAAATTTAAGGTATAATCAACTGTTCTGAGAAATAATCTTAAAAAAATCATAGCAAGAGTTTGTAACTATACATACCAAAAATGTTTTAGAAAATCTTGTTATATCATTGCAAATAGCTCCAAAATTAGAAGTAACTTAATTGTATTTCACTCAGGGTAGATTCATTGCCACCTAACCTCAGAGCGATTTATTTCCAGTTCCTTTATTTTCATGTTATTGTACTACTATCGAGAGTATCATGGTACCTTCAAATTTGCTTAGAAAATTTGTAGTCTATTCTTGAGGGTAACTCTTAATAATCATAAGGTCAGTTGCTCTCCTTTGGGATACTTTGCAAAACATATTATGTTTCTTTGTCAAAGTAATATAAGGTTAGCTCTTTCCTCCCCATAATATCTTGCAGATGCCAATTGGTGTTAAGCCAACATGTCTATTTCTTAACTATCCTAATATGTTTGGTTCTGCTTCTTGGCAAAAGCCTATTTCTCTAAGATTGTTTTTTTTCTTCTTATGTATATCTATTTCTAAAACACTTTTTTCCCCCACAATACCATACTAGTAGATTAGTAGATAGATCTCACCAGGCTGTGTACCTTTAACATGTGGAGCTTAAGAAGGATGATTATCAGCCCTGAGAGCAACATGTAACTGCAAACTCAATATAATTTCAAAAGGGCAGCAATAACAAAAAATATTGTAAGGCTTTAGCACAAGTAATAATATGGCTTATCATTGCCAAAAAATGGACCATCTTTTTGAGGCAAAAGGCTACATCAAAAGTAAAACCTACAAACAATTACATTTAAACAATGTTTTCAATGTATATTTCTGTGAGAAGGATTTTCACTCAAATAGCATTTTTTAATAACTACAAATCACTCCAAGGCAAAACAGTCATTCAGAGTAAGATATTCAAATGTAAGGAAGTTGAATGACCGGGAAGACATCTGCCATAAATGCACATAATTTTTTTTCTGGGCGGAATGTAAACATTATAGGACAATGGACTAACTCAAGGGCAGTGGCAATCGCGAAATAAAATAAAATACATCCAACTCATAAGAGTCAGCCTCATGGTAGTAAAAAAAAAAGACACAAATTTTAGTTGATCATAACAATAATTGTTGCTTCTGACCAATATTATATGTTGGTTTCTGTGGGTACCCTGTGATTCTGATCTATGTGTCTTGGGAATGAAGAAGGACTCTTTTGCAACATGCCATCCTCCTGGTAGGGGTAAAAAGCAAGAGAACAGGTGTAATTTTGTGATGACTGTCCAAACTTGCATTATATCAACATCTGGCTCACTTGCATTTCACTGATCACAGCATTCTCCTTCCTTCTAATATCAGAATAAATATAATGCATCATGAACTGCTCATAGTTGTTCTCTACAATGGATCATGAAACTATGTATGCATGTTTGCATTTATGATGGTGTTGTAAGTAGTTGCAAAGAACAAAATAATCTACCACATTATCATTGTTGATTTACCTGTAGGATTCTTCGTATCATTGTTTTATCTATTATTTTTAGTCTGTTTCTACCCTCAATAACTATATATATGAGAATGCCAATTGAGAAAATCCAAGTGAGAAGTAAACAGTATGAAGGTTCTTTAATTTCTATTTCTCATTGACTCAACATAGATGATTTAAAGATCAGAATGGAAAAATACATAATTTTAAGGGCCATATCTTATAAAAAATGTCAAATTCTATGAGCCAGCCATGGTATAACATTAAAATGGTGATTTTTTGTTTGTTTGTTTTATTGTCCCCTGTTTCCCATTTTCTATGAAAGCATCCTTCAATATGTGCTTTTAATGACCATAAACCACCACAAAATTTTAGTTGCACAAGACACAGCTGCATGATTTCTATGTGGAATAATCACATCTTTTTATATCCACAGTCATTAATCCTTTTGCTGCCTAACAGACTCAGAATGTTGAATCATTTTCAAAATCACATTTAGTTTCTACAAAATGTGTGGATGTCCTTTGGAACCCATGTCATGCTTATGAGCTACAGCTGGTTTAAAAAAATGAACAAAAATGACTTTTGAACGCAATCATTTAGTTGATTGAATAACACTATTTCAGTTTTCGAATCTGAACATTGTGTGTCATTTACATAGGTTCTGATGAATTGTTATAATTTAATACTTGTGGAAAAGTTACAGTAAAAATTGAGAATACATTTTCTCAGGTCGTAAAATTCTCAAACAACTGTGAAGAAGATAATTACAAAAGTATGATAGTTATGCACAATTGAAAAAAAAAAACAGATCTCTTACAGGAAAGAAAGGCCTATTCTCCATGTAAATTGAGTGCCCTTCTCAAAATTTCTTAAATATTCAACAATCCATGATTTATAAAAGTTGAAGGTTAGCACAAGGCAACAAGTTTACATCAAATAGTCATGTGCTCTGTTGTAAGTAAGGGTTTTAAACAGGATATTCATTAAAAGAACTATTATGGTGATTTAAACTGCAGATTTAAGTTGCCTTACATGCATATCTACAAGGAAAGCTTTTGTATACATGGATTAAAATTATACTGTAGAGAAGAACCATGAGCAATTTATTAATGGATTATCTTTATCAGGCTATTAGAAATGATAACCCACTACTATTATTAGTAATCCTATATATTTTGATTATAAAAACCATTAGAAACAATTATGACTATGTCCTGATTCCTGTGGTAAAATTAAAAAACTATGAAATCCTAGCTTATGAAAATTTAAACTTCCTCATCAACTGTTAGGTCTTAATAAAAAGGAAAAGAGAGAAAGATAACATTTATTGCACTCATATAATCCACCAGGTACTGTAGAGGGATTATATTATTTAATCTTCCCAGATAATTGAAAGAAGAATATTTTCTTTGTTTTAGAGATGGGAATGCTAAGTACATATGCAACTTTACCAAAGCCCCACAGTCAACAAGTAGAGAGATGATGTGCTATTACTAGGATTTGCCCTTACATACCTGACTCTAAACCTCATGTTTCATTTGCCTTCATTATGTCATATTGCCTTTAGAATTATTTAATTGAAGCCAAGCCAATTAAAACACAAGCAATATAGAATTAGTAATAAAAGTGTATTATGGTATACACCAATATATTATCATCTGATTTTTCTTGTCTGAAATACATATTCTTCACGACAGAAGTAAGAAGTCATATTAATCTGTAACTTACAAGCAAATGTGGACACTGAAAAAGACTTTTAAATCTCCTGTAGATAGGAAATGAAATCCCTCTTATTTGTGATGATGATGTTAGACCATCATTTTACTATGTTCATCTTTAATTGCCTCAACATGTATTAGGTTTGTATTATCATCCATGTCCTTACAATAAGGACTATGCTAAAATGGTGATCCCTACTTCTTGTTATGTGTCACTTTCCAGTTGTATCATAGGACAACCTAACATGTGCGAAGTATTCCTAAATCAAATTGGTTTTAATTCACTGTTTAATAATGAGCATGTGCTCCAGCTATTTTGGGGGGTGAAGTATGGCTCAATTGGAATCCTATTAAGAAGAAATTAATGATGCACCATACTTACCTGAAAAGCAAAGACATATGTAGAAATGCGGTATTTATCTGAAAAGCATTTATCTGAAAATCAACATAGATAGCAATATGATATTTAAAGAACTGTGGTGGGAGATCTTTACTCTCTGTATATCATTGCAGACTATAGGACAGGGTTAAAGAATTTGTAAAAGTAGAAAGGCCAACTTCTCATCACAAATAAGATAAACTAGCTAAATTTACTAGAAACTTCTAGGTATGGAATGAGTTGATTTATGCAGCTCTGAATAATAGTGGTGAATAAAAGAGAATAATAATATATTAACAACTTTCGAATTATTACTAGATTCCAGTGATATTACAAACCCTTTACAGCTATCTATTTCAGCTTACAACTGCTCTTTGAGAAAATAATTACTATGCTAATGTTCCATAAAAGGAAACTGAGTCCTAAGATGTGTTGTTCAAGATCATTCAGTTACTAAATTGAAACCAGCATTAGAACCCAAATCTGTTTGACAGTAAAACTTGGTACACTTACATCTAAACTAAAACTGATTATACATTTCTGTCTTCCAGGACCTCATAAACCAGTGAAAGAATGCCTTCTATTGGTCTAATTATCTCTTCTGTTCAACAACATATAGATTTTCAATTAATGTTGCAACACCTTCAGTAATAGGAAAATTCACTACCATACAAAGGGAGACTTACTGAAAATGACTCTTTTCACATATTTAAAATGGCTTTCTTGCATCTCCAGGAGGCAAAACTAATGTCCAATTGGTTAATTGGATCAAATGTTTTGAATTTAATATATTACTCAATTGAAGAAAATATTTGATATAATTATTATGTTTTTAAAAACGTGGAAGTCTCCTTCCAAATACAAGAATGTGTATAAAACATTGAATGCATGAGGGTTGATCTTGGATGCTTCTTCAACATTTTAATGCATTTTCCAAGTGTAATCATCTGGGAATAGCCGAATCCTTTAGAGCTTTATTTTAGCTATAGTATTGGTTATGAACTTACCAATTACTTCAGGATATTTTTATTATAAAACAATATATTTTAAACCTGGGCCAGATGTAGAACAGGAGTTATGAATACTCGTCCCATTATGATTTTGTCTTCAATGACTTTTCAAAGATACCCAAAATAGAGATATTTGTACAATGAATACCCATATACTCATATGTAACAACATACTGCATAAAACCGTACTACTATGAGTATGCTGCTCATGCACCAGGTATAAAGTTTATTGATTCTTTGTACCTTTATTCGTCTTCAGAATATATTCCAAAAATTGATTTACATTCAAAATAATGTGTTCTTAAGTCACTTATTTTTACAAACATGATATACAATTAGTATCACTGGATTCTGTTTTTATTTTTTAGGGATGGCTTTTAAAATTTGATATAATTTTATTTTTATAAATAAATAATAAATAATTTTAAAAATGTTTCTAGTGCCTAAACAACATGATAAAATATGTTCAGAGGAAACTTTCTTCCAAAAGTGTTTCTTTAAATATCATATTTCTATCTATGTTGATTTTCCTGTTCCTGTAGGTAAATATTCATAAATACTTTTGGTTAATCCTTCCAGTGTTTGATGCTTTTTTCCAAATAAAAAGAAACAAATACATATATCTTTATACTTGTATCTACCCTTTTCTTATAAAAAACTTTTCAGAAACAATTTTTATCCACTTTATGAGATCTCCGTAGAAATAATCTTTGCTGCCTTCTTCTGGCTGCACAGTGTTCTACCGTATGGTTGTAACCTAGTTTATTCCTACCGATGGGCATTTATGTTGTTGCCAAATGTCAATAATAAAGCCACAGTGAGACATGTTTTGCATGTTTTAGTCAGTCATCCTTTGAAATACATTCTAAAAAGTAGGATTGTGGAGTAGATTATTGATATATATTGCCAATGTTCCCTGTATGTAAGTTGTATCATTTTGCAATCCCACCAACAATACATCAGAAGGCCTGTTTATTTCTACTTTTCCAATAGATTTGCCCAAGTTGTCAAAGTATGGATTTTAGCAAATTCTGTCATTGCAAAGTAATATAGCAATTACTTTTAATTTGTATTTCTCATGCTATGACTTAGATTGAATATATTTTCAAATCTATGTGGGCTAGTTTTATCTGTTTTTGTCTGAACACTCTTTTCCTATTTATTCCTGTTTTTCTGTCTGATTCTTGTTTTCCTTTTCCTTGATTTCTAGGAGTTCTTGGAATGTTAGAGGAATTAACCATTTGTCCGTTATATAAGTTGTAAATATTCCGTATCAATGCAATTTGTTTTATTTGTGATTTTGTGCTGAAAAAATCTGGTTTTACTTGTTCTAATTCATGAATGTTTTATGTCCTTACTGTTGGATTTTTAGTTATGAATTATTTCCTTCCTTTGTATTTTCATGAACTTTCCTCTAGTACTCAAATGGTTTCATTTCATTAAATAATCATGTCTCTAATCTGTTTGGAGTTTATCCTTTGATAGAATCATCTCCCTTGTTTTCCAAATTGCTATTTAGGTGTCACTTAGTAAAAAGTCTATCTTTTCCCAAGGAATTACTATCCCACTCTTATTACATGCGAAGTTTCCACATGTACTTGTTATTTTATGGATATTTTTCCTGTTCTACTTTGTCTGCCTATTCATGTGTCAGCCTGCACTGTTTAATTATACAGATTTTACAATTTGCATTCAGATATGGTAAGATGTTCTCATTCTTGCCTATTCTTTTTAAGTCTTTCTTACTTTTTTCACTTACAATTCATTGCTGACATGACTAATTTTCCTACTTCCAGGAAACAAAATATTAATATAAACTGATATATTTTGATGTTGAATATTTATGCTCAAGAAAAAATCGATCATGTCATTTAATAAGGTCTATTATGGCAACTTTCAGAAGTGATTTACAAATCTTTTCATGTATGTTTCACATTTTTTGTGCTGTTTAAATGGTGTGATCTAATCCATTATTATTTATGCTTAGATAATATTCGTGTGTTTCAGTCTATTGAGATAGTAATATTTTTATTATTTGCTTGTACCTTACTAAGTTTTGTTACTGTATATGTGCAGTAGTTTGTCTATTAAATTTTGAATTTTCACCTGCATAATCATATTATCTGCGAAATAAACATAGTTTAAGTGTTTTTTCTGACACTGTGATTCTAATCTGCATTCTCTTCTAGGTTTACATTTTAATATATTTATTAGCATGTTGAATAATAGAAGCAACTGTGGGTATGTTTGTCTGGTTCTGATTTTAATAGAGATGCCTCCTGTGTTTCCCCATTAAGAAAGTTGCTGGCTTTTATGCTTAGGATCCTATATTTCACTTCTTTAAAGAAGTATTTACAAGGTGGAGTGGCTCATGGCAGCAATCCCAGCACTTTGGGAGGCTGAGGTGGGAGGATCACTTGAGGCCAGAAGTTTGAGATCAGCCTGGGCAACACAGTGAGACTCCATCTCTATGGGAAAAAACATTGTTATTCATTGATTCCTAATTTATTAATTCTTAGTTAATCATAAATAGTTATAATTATTCATAAATGTATTTTAAGTAATAGAGGATAGCAGCGTTTTTGTTTCTGGATGTGTTAATATGCTGAATTATATTAATGATTTCCTACTATTGAGCCAGTTTTGCAGTATTGGAATTATCCTATTGGTCATGAGATAAGCATTTTTAATAGTTACTGTTGGATATTGTTCATTATTGTTTTAGTCATAATTTTGCTTCAATATTTATTAATTGTAAAATATATTGTATATGATGATTTTTAGATATCTGTGCTAATCTTACACTCAGTTTATAAAAATAGATTTAGAAGTTTTACATTTTCAGTATTATCAATTTTTTTATATTTAAACTTCAGGCAAAAATCCACTGTGAACTATTTGGGTATGTTAATTTTTTGGGGGGTTGTGGGGAAGGTGTTCTGTAACACCTAATCTTATTTGCAATATGGTTTAGAAAATAATTCTTCCCTGTTTTTAAGTAAATGCTCTATTCTCTGTTTTATTATATATTTATTCTGTCAATTCGTTATGTAATTTTCTTTTTCCATGAAGAAAAAAAGTAGGTTAACTAATCGGTGTTTTTTCTCCTGAAAGAAGCTACTTTTGGTTGTGTTTATCGTTTCCACTCTTTTAAAAAACAACGAACACCTGCTTTTACCTTTGTATTTATTTTTATTGGATATAAGCTTTTTTATCATTTTTTTGATTTTAGAATCATGTAGTTAACTCATGTATGTTATAGATATTTCTCTCAGCAGTGCTTTAGCTGTGTTCCTTAAATTCTGATGTATAACATTTTCCTTTAAAATTTGTAATTTTGCCTTAAGTTAGCCTATCATTCAAATATTATACAATAGGGAATTTTCACATGTAATAGTAATATCTTTTTAAATTTTCTGTTAACTTTTAGGTTTTTTATTGCCATCAGTGAGTCATACTATATTCTTACAAATTTATGGAATTTACTAAAGGTTTCTTTGTAACAAAATACATGGTCACCGTTTGTAAATGTTCTGTGTATTATTGAAAGTAAGTTTTATTTGCACTATTCTTAACATAAGGTTTACAATTTATTGATAAGATCTACCTTATTTTGAGGTTGTATATATTTCTATCATTACTTTTATCCCCTTTGTACCTAGAAAGAAATATGTGTTGAAGTCTCATAATATCAGTGTATGTCTATTGCTCCTGTATCTTGTGCTTTATGAAAAGTGTTGCTGTTAAAGCAACGTTGCAAGTTTCTGTTACTAGCACTACATTGCTATTTTTTCTCATTTAATAATTTTTCACCTAAATTCTCTAATATCAAGATTCTTAGCTTTATTTTTAATCTACATTTACCAAGATGTCTCTGTCATTTTATTTTTAATTTTCCTTATTTAGACATGTCTCTTGCATAATTCACAGAACTACACTGTGAGTACTTACTTAGACCACCATACCACTGGTGTTCTTTCTACATCTATCTACAGGGTATTTGTATGTTTTGGCACTCTCACGACTTATCACGTGGATGAGTTTTTCTGATTCATTGGTCATTCTGAGATGCACTTCCTGAAATTTCCTCACCTGTTGATCTTTTTCTTGGAGAGAATGATTGTAGGGGATTTTTTGTTTGTTT
Source organism: Homo sapiens (assembly GCF_000001405.40). Classification (NCBI taxonomy): domain Eukaryota; kingdom Metazoa; phylum Chordata; class Mammalia; order Primates; family Hominidae; genus Homo; species Homo sapiens. The sequence goes on along the minus strand of NC_000001.11, from coordinate 190,266,607 downwards.
ATTTTATAGCATTTATGTATGTATTCTTTTTCTCTTTTAGCTGCCTCTACTCCAAAGCTGTTTTTCATTTACACTACCTAATATTGTTGATGATTTGACCCACCTATTTATTCTTGAGATATATGTTTTTTCTTAAACTATTCTCCTTCCTCTAACTGATTTCTAATATGCATGTTGGGGTCCAAATACCAACAAGAAATGTGAGTTTTAGAAATAATATTTGTTGAAATCTATTTCTGAGAGAAGCTGAACTGATCTCTGGTAGACATGTAAGAGCTCTTACTTAAGATTGGATTGTCACCTGGGCTATGTCATTTTAAAATTGATATTATTGTAAGAAAGAGAGGAAATGCAAACTATTCTATTAGACAAACTTATTTGCCTTTTCATAAAAGTGACTTATTAGTTTATAAATGGGCACAATACTACCCAAACAAAAGGGTTGCTGAAAGAATGAAAACAGCAAGTTTGACAATTATGTGCTAGATGAGTATCCGATAATATGTTTGTCGGAGGATCACAAGTTCTTAATGTCTAACTTCAATGACATGGATTTTTGTCTTTTGGACATTGAAAAGTTCAGCTTAATTGTAATACACTTTACGTTTTACGTTTGAGAACCAATTGCTACTACCTAAATCCTACATAGATTTCAGTGTTTTTCACACAGTGTATTAACACACAATGTTTCAATATATCCTATGCAGGGAAATTCTGAATTTATTACATATATATACATACCTGTATATGCATACACATGCTTTATCTGAATTTTAAAGGTGCAGATGAAAACTAGTGCTTTGTCATATTTCCATTTGGATATTCTATTCTATGGTAAAAATTTCTGAGTAAATGCAATTTCTTTCTTTTTATTTATTTATTTATTTATTTTTGAGACGGAGTCTCGCTCTGTCGCCCAGGCTGGAGTGCAGTGGCGGGAACCTCCGCTCACTGCAAGCTCCGCCTCCCGGGTTCACGCCATTCTTCTGCCACAGCCTCCGGAGTAGCTGGAACTACTGGCGCCCGCCACCACGCCCGGCTAATTTATATATATATATATATATATATTTAGTAGAGACGGGGTTTCACCGTGTTAGCCAGGATAGTCTCGATCTCCTGCCCTCATGATCCGCCCACCTCGGCCTTCCATAGTGCTGGGATTACAGGCGTGAGCCACCGTGCCCGGCCCTGAGTAAAATACAGTTTCATTTTATGCCCCTCACTTGTTTGTTTTCCATAAATTAATTTTATTTTGGACCATATGAGTGTTATGCTAAACTTTGTTAGAAAGTCAATAAAATCTGGAGAAACTGTTCTGCAAAAGCTAAATATCTGACATTCAGTAACTACGTGTTTAAAGTGACCAATATCCCAGGCACTTTTTGAGGTACTTGAGAAATATCTGTGACCAAAAATAAAACCCCTTGCCCTTTTGGCATATATCACTCCTTTGTTTTACTATATTCATAAGCTAGACCTTTCCACCTGCAGATAAGTTAAAAAAAAAGATTTTAAGTGGAAAATTGAATAATTTGAAATATTATTAATGCAGGAGAGGAGTCACTCACAATTTTTGTGGACAAGCGGAAGTTGAGCAAACGAGCTGAAGGAAGTGATTCCACCACCAATAGCTCTTCGGTCACTCTGGAGACGCTACATCAGCTAGCCGCTTCTTATTTCATTGACAGGGACAGCACCCTTCGGAGACTTCACCACATTCAAATTGCATCCACTGCCATAAAGGTAAGAATGAGTTTACGCTAAAATTATCACCTTCCATTGTTTGTTTCCTCTATATCCAAAAGGCATTTTTATGTATTTGCTTATTCCATGAATTTAAACAATTATTTTATAAAAATATATTTACAATTTTCTTGCTTTCAGTTATGTAATATATTTAAGATGAAATTGTATGTATTTCAATATAATATTTACTTGATAAGTAGGTCAAGATTTTTCATGGTTAAATGTAATTAAAGTATATTTGAATTGTATGAATTTATCTTGGGGTACACAGACTCCCTCACAAAATAAACATGAATACAAATTTGTTTTAATAACATCAATTTCTTTTATAATTCTCCTTAATTTATTTTACCCACTTAAAAATACTATTCTGAGAAGAGAGGCTTTATCAGGCTTAAAGTCGTCCATGGCACAAAATATTTTTAAGAAGTCCTGCTTCATAGAAAATGACCCCTCAATGTTTTTAAGATATGTTAAGATGTACAGGTGCATGGTTATATGGGTTTCTAGGAGGCAAAATATAACATAATCTAGAATTGGTGGATTAATATTATGTGTTCACTAAAGTCATTTGACTTTGAATACACTAAGGTTGACTTTATCAAAACTGAGAAAAGAGGAGAATAATTTAGTTCTGATTTTCAAAAGAAAAAAAAGAAAATGAGAGAAAGAGATTGAGAGACAGAGAGGAGAAATTGTTGTCTCCTAAACAATAAGTTTTAGACATATTCTCTGGCAAATTAGGTCAATGTAATTTCATTTGTCAAATGGCCATTGTAAAATTAACAGTCAGAAGAGTATGATCCTAGCCTAAGTTAACCATAACAAAATAATATAGAGAGAGCATTTTGGAGTGTTTCAAATCTAACCTTTCATAGTCAATACAAAAAGGAATGATTAAATGTAACGTTGTATTACTTTATGAAACTAAAATTAATGTGTGTTCATTGTTGTGTCAGTTGAAAAGTTACTTAGGCCTGGCACGGTGGCTCAGGCCTGTTATCCCAGCACTTTGGGAGGCCGAGGCGGGGGGATCACTTGAGGTCGGGAGATCGAGACCATGCTGGCTAACACAGTGAAACCCTCTCTACTAAAAATACAAAAAATTAGCTGGGTGTGGTGCCGGGAACCTGTAGTCCCAGCTACTGGGAGGCTGAGGCAGGAGAATGGCATGAACCTGGGAGGCAGAACTTGCAGTGAGCGGAGATCACACCACTGCACTCCAGTCTGGGCGACAGAGCGAGACTCTGTTTCAAAAAAAAAAAAAAAAAAAAGTTACTACTTCAACTTTCAACTTAAATCCATAAATGGGTTAGAATGCTCGGAAGATTGCTCCAAGTATATCTTTTTGTTCGGGATGTACTGGAGAAAATTAAAGGTGATGTGGAAATACCTTTAGCTTAAGGGTTACTTAAACAATATGACAAAATCCTAATGTTGCTAGTAGATGATGTTGGGAAACAGACTTCAGTAGATACAAATCATGCAATATAGTTAGTTGGCTTCTGACTCTAGGACTAATGTTATATTGAGTAACAAGTATATAAATAATATTTATGCCGTACAGATAAAAATGTAGCCAGCATGAATGCAGATGTTTCAGTTAATTTAAAAATTTTGTAAGATGTTGTTAGAGAAACTTAGCTTGTGGTTGCTGAGGAAAACTAAACTTTTCCAGAAATCAATTTCAAGGATTTAAACAGAAACTTTGGTCAAACTGTATTTTCTAATAGAAGAAATCATTGTTGTAAATGATTTTATTATATAGCTATTGATTTTTGTTGTTGCTGTTCAGCACCAAGTGTGTCTGTGAAATTATACAACAGTTTTTGTACTCTAAGTAAGAAATATACAGGCACATTTCACATCAAAACATAATGGGTATTTGCATATACTTCTCTTCTCCCACAGGAGAAGTATGTGGCACAAAAAAAGAAATATATATATATACACACACACACACATATGTATATATATATGTTTTAATGAGGCATACTGTTATATACAGGCATTGTATTTAGACTCTGTTAATACAAATGGGAATAATGATGATTCATTAAGTCTATAATCTAGCTGTGTGGTCAAAACGAGTCCCAAAGAAGTGACACTTATAGGAAGTGTGTCATCTAAGCAGTTCTGAGAGGGAAGAAAGAGTAATCTGGAATTTGGGAGTCAACAGTCTCACCTTGACAGGGCCACGGGGAATGCCCATTGTCCGTTAACCATGGAAAGGAGTTCCAGTGCTCATAATAAAAATGATTTAAAGTGTGTGTAGAGTAGCTGGAGATGGGTGGAAAGGGGGCTTCATACTAGGTGGAGGAAACAGCAAACAGTGGGAATGATACAGGGTCTATATCATTGTGAACAGAAGTACCCATCTTGTGCTGTAACTAAGGAAAAAAGGAAATAAGATAAGCACCAGCTGGTAACAACATAGCCAAGAATACAGGCATGGAAATTCATAGGGAGTGCAAGCGTGAGGTGGTGAGGTAGCGGGGAATAGGAAAGAGTGGAGAGCAATTACACCTTTCAGGGTTTAATTTAGACCTCAGGGGAATTTCCTTCTCAGGCAGCTGTAATTTTAAGTAGCTGATGATTTTCCAGGCCAAGGTTAGCTGCACTCAGGGTTATTATGAAGGTTCCAGGGAAGGGCATTGTGCTTGTGTGCTGTGTTCAAGCAAGAGTGGAGCCAGAAACCCATGATCATGTGCACTGCAGGAAGTCGACAGCTCTGAGTTACATGAACACTGATGTGTCTGTGCAATTTTGTATGGAGAGTATCTTTTATTTTTATTACTTATCAAATGTGTCCCTGCACAGGTAAAAGGTGTCCCCCTTCATTTATAAGTATGACTAAGATTGCAAGTGCTTAGAAGTAAATATGAGGAACTGAGTAGATGTGTGAGGGGACTTCAGTAGGCTGGATCCAAGGGTATTCAACTACTGAAATATTTTCTAGTTGAATAAACAATTCGATGTAAAGTGCTCTTGTAGTCTCTGAAACCAAGATCTTAATTCCTTTACTAAATACCTAAAGGTTCAATGCATTGCTTGTATGCTTTAAATTGTCAAACTAAGGATAACAAGATTCACAATTTCTTTGATTTGGTAATGTAAGTTGTGTTTTAAGTGACATATAGTAGGTATTTAATTTCTAGAGCAAATATTGAATGAAGTTGTTCTGTGATTTACAGAATTTAGGAGACAGATAATTGGTAAAAAATAAAGTAAACAGAACTGTTATCAGGTAACAGCAAAAATATAATTAGATCTACAAAATCATGCCAGCTTTTATCACGCTAATTCTTACAAATCACAGGAGTTAAGCAATTTAACTATGAGCCAGTTTCTAGAAAGTGGAATAAAGCAATATGTTTGTTTTGTCTTTTATAATTATGAATATAAATGTAGACTATACTTTGTTAATCTGTAAATAAAAAACACTGACACAAACATCCATAGCTTAATTAATTGCTATACTCTTGCAATTAATAGTGTTTATATCAAATTTTATTTCACAATATTATTTGTAGTCCAATAAAATGTGAAGTGTAATGTCTAGAGTTGGTCATTATTTTCTACCGAGACTCAATTCAATTGACTTAAGTTATTCAAAAAATTATACTAACATATTTTTATTTTTAAATAGTCTAATAAACGTTAATGCTATATAATTGACGGTGATGAGAAAAACACAATACATTGTATATTTTGAAAAGATATTTAATCTATCACCTGACATATTATGTCACACATATTTTCAAAGAGAATTTTCTTGTTATTTTAATTTTTAGAAATAATGCACTGAGTAAAATTAAGTTTTTATAATAGGACTCTACTAAAAAGTTTTAAAAGTAATTATTTTCAAAAATAATTACTGATATGTTACTGTGTTTCTTGTATTCTTGAAATGTAGAAAAGAAAAGACAATCAGATAGCTTTCAGAATTATAGTGTTTGGAAAGTTTTGAGCAGCAAACCTAGGAATAAGTAGAAACAGTATATTACAATTAACTTGAAGGTCAGTATTTCAGCTTAAAAAAATCCATCTTGAAATGAGTTTTTACTGCTGCATAGTTAACTTAAGAGTGTTGCAGGTGATGTTGAAAAGGCACTAGAGCTAACTCTAAATTTACATTTCTGAAATTATAAAATACATTACATTAAAATTTTAAAGCTATTTATGAAATTAAACATGACAATACTTTTCCAAGAAGCAGTTTTGATAAGTAAATTATTTGTTATTTGGGGGCAAAATCAGTAAAATGATAATATATTTATTTTTAATTTTACCTCTCTCTCTCTATATATATATATGTTTTTAAAACTTACTTTAAGAATACCCAAGAAAATATGCATATGGACCATTCATAATTGTTGCACATTTTATATTTTACATTTATAGGAAAGATTCATATTTGGTACTCTTTTTGATTGTATATATTTAGGGTGTACAACATAGTGTTTTAATGTATTTAAACATAGTGAAATGGTTACTACAGCCAAGCAAATTACCATACCAATCATCTTTTCATCTTACATACTTTTTTTCTTTGTGGTGAGAGCAGCTAGAATCTATTCTCTTTGCAAATTTCCACTAGGTGATACAATATTTTTAACTATAATCTTCATGTCATACATTGGATCTCTACATTTATTCATCTTATATAACTGCAACTTTGTGCTCATTGACCTAATATCTTGTCATGACCTCATGACCTCCCTCTACCACCTCTCCCATCCTAGTAACCACTCTGTTTTTGCTTTCCTTTTCTTTTTCTTTTTTTTTTTTGTGGTTCTTAAGTTGCTTCTTTTTTTTTTTTCCAATTTCTTTTGAGATGGAGTCTCACTCTGTTGCCCAGGCTGGAGTGCAGTGGCTCAATGTTGGCTAACTGCAACCTCTGACTCCCAGGCTCAAGCAGTTCTCCTATCTCAGCCTCCCAAGTAGCTGGGACTAAGATGCCTGCCACCACGCCTGGCTAATTTTTGTATTTTAAGTAGAGACCGGGTTTCACATATTGGTCAAGCTGGTCTTGAACTCCTGACCTCAGGTGTTTCACCCGCCTCAGCCTCCTAAAGTGCTGGGATTGCAGGTGTGAGCCACCATGCCTGGCCTTCTTTGAGACTTTCTATTAGATAATGTTATCTGCAAACAGAGACAATTGTACTTCTTGTCCAGTCTGTATTGCACTTTATTTTATTTATTTATTTATTTATTTATTTATTTATTTATTTATTTATTTATTTTTTGCCTAATTCTCCTGGTGGTGAGAATGGAAATTCTTTCTTTGTCCTGCTCTTAGGAAGAAAGTGTTCCTTCTCTCATTATTATCTAGGATGTTATCTGTGGGTTTTTCATACATGCTCTTTAATACATGGAGGAAGTTCTTTTTAATTCATAGCTTGGTGAGTGTTTTTTACATGAAAATGTGTTGATTTTGTCAAATGCATTTTATGTCTATTAAGCATGTAATTTTTATTTTTTAATTCTATTTACATGATTTATTACATTAGTTGATTTTAGGATGTTGCATAAACTTTGCATTCTTTGGGCTAAATCTCATCTGGTCAATGTGTATATTTCTTTTATATGTGGCTAGATCTAGTTTGCCAGTAGTTTGCTGAGGATTGGTATGCCTATATTCAAAGTGGATATTGGACTATATTTTCCTGAGATACATCTGTCTGGTTTTGGTAGGCGGTAATACTGGCCTCATAAAAGGAATCGGGAAATATTCCTTCCACTTCTATTTTGTGAAAGAGTTTATGAAGAATTGGTATTAATTCTTCCTTGAGTTTTTGGTTGAATTTAGTGGTGAAACCATCTAGATGTGAACTTTTCTTTGTAGGTAGATTTTGGTTATTAGTTCAATCTCTTCACTAGGTTTATTCATACTGTGTATTTCTTCTTGAGTTCAGTTTCAAGAACTTAAGGGGCTTAAGAGATCCTCCAACTTTGGCCACCCCAAGTGCTAAGATTACAGGCTTGAACCACTATGCCTAGCCCTTGTTCAGCTTTATCTTGTGGCTACATGGCTCCTCCAAACATTTATCACTGTCCTCACCAACTCTATCCAGGCTTGGCCCTTCTAAACCTGAGCAATGACCTTCATATTCTATGTGATAAAAGAAATCAAGGTCATCACTTAAGAAAGTCTCTGTCTTCCTAGAAATGTTTCCATTTCATTGAAATTATACAATTTGTTGGCATGCAATTGTTCATAGTATTTCTTTAATATTCTTTGTGTTTCTGTAAGGCCAGTAGTAATATCCCTAATTTATTCCTGATTTTTAGTTATTTCTAGTTTCCTTACTTTTAGTTACATGAGTTTTCTCTTTTTATCTTGATCAATCAAGGTAAACTTTTTTTTCAACTTCGTTGATCTTTTCCAAGAATGAGCTTTTAGTTTTATTGAATTTTCTGTATTTTGTTGTTTTTTTTTATTTTTCCAATGAGTTAATATTTGAAAAGCTCTTAAAACAATAACTAGTGCAGTATTTGGGTGGGAGTGTCCCGTTTTTCCAGGTATGGTCTTAGCAAATGACACACCAGATTATATCCCGTGCCTGGCTCAGTGAGGTCCCATGCCCACGGAGCCTTGCTCACTGCTAGGGCAGCAGACTGAGATTGACCTGCAAGGCAGTAGCCTGGCAGGGGGAGGGGCGTCCGTCATTGCTGAGGCTTGAGTAGTTGAACAAAGCAGCTGGGGAAGCTTGAACTGGGCAGAGCCCCCCACAGTTCAGCATGGCCTACTGCCTCTGTAGACTCCACCTCTGGGGGCAGGGCATAGCTGAACAAAAGGCAGCAGAAACTTCTGCAGACTTAAACGTCTCTGTCTGACAGCTCTGAAAATAGCAGTGGTTCCCCCAGCATGGTGTTTGAGCTCAGAGAATGGACAGATTGCCTCCTCAAGTGGGTCCCTGACCCCCCATGTAGCCTAACTGAGAGACACCTCCCAGTAGAGGCCAACTGACACCTCATACAGGTGGGTGCCCCTCTGGGACGAAGCTTCCAGAGGAAGGAACAGGCAGCAATATTTGCTGCTCTGCAGCCTCCACTGGTGATACCCAGGCAAACAGGGTCTGGAGTGGACCTCCGAGCAAACCCCAACAGACCTGCAGCTGAGGGATCTGACTGTTAGAAGGAAAACTAACAAACAGAAAGGAATATCATCAATATCACCAAAAAGGAAATCCACACCAAAACCCCATCTGTAGGTTACCAACATCAAAGACCAAAGGTAGATAAAACTAGAAAGATGGGGAGAAACCAGAGCAGAAAAGCTGTAAATTATGAAAACCAGAGCACCTCTTCTTCTCCAAAAGATCACAGCTCCTCACCAGCAACAGAACAAAGCTAGATGGAGAATAACTCTGAAGTAGGCTTCAGAAGGTCAGTAATAACAAACATCTCCCAGCTAAAGGACGATGTTCGAACCCATCGCAAGGAAGCTAAAAAATTTGAAAAAAGATTAGACAAATGTCTAACTAGAATAAACAGTGTAGAGAAGACCTTAAATGACCCGATGGAGCTGAAAACCATGGCACGAGAACTACATGACACATGCACAAGCTTCACTAGCCAATTTGATCAAGTGGAAGAAAGGGTATCAATGATTGAAGATCAAATTAATGAAATAAAGCAAGAAGAGAAGTTTAGAGAAAAAAGAGTAAAAAGAAACGGACAAAGCCTCCAAGAAATATGGGAATATGTGAAAAGACTAAATCTACGTTTGATTGGTGTACGTGAAACTGACAGGAGAATGGAACCAAGTTGGAAAACACTCTTCAGGATATCATCCAGGAGAACTTCCCCAACCTAGCAAGTCAGGCCAACATTCAAATTCAGGTAATACAGAGAACACCACAAAGATACTCCTCTAGAAGAGCAACCACAAGACACATAATTGTCAGATTCACCAAGGTTGAAATGAAGGGAAAAATAATAAGGGCAGCCAGAGAGAAAGGTCGGGTTACCCACAAAGGGTAGCACGTCAGACTAAAAGAAGTTCTACCTGCAGAAACTCTACAAGCCAGAAAACAGTGGGGGCCAGTAGTCAACATTCTTAAAGAAAAGAGTTTTCAACCCAAAATTTCATATCCAGCTCAAACTAAGCTTCATAATTTAAGGAGAAATAAAATCATTTACAGACAAGCAAATGGTGAGAGATTTTGTCACCACCAGGCCTGCCTTACAAGAGTTCCTGAAGGAAGCACTAAACATGGAATGGAACAACCGGTACCAGCCACTGCAAAACATGCCAAATTGTAAAGACCATCGATGCTAGGAAGAAACTGCATCAACTAACGGGCAAAATAACCAGCTAACATCATAATGAAAAGATCAAATTCACACATAACAATATTAACCTTAAATATAAATGGGCTAAATGCCCCAATTAAAAACACAGAGTGGCAAATTGGATACAGAGTCAAGACCTATCAGTGTGCTGTATTCAGGAGACCCATCTCATGTGCAGAGACACATAGGCTCAAAATAAAGGGATGGAGGAAGATCTACCAAGCAAATGGAAAGCAAAAAAAAGCAGGGGTTGCAATCCTAGTCTCTGATAAAACAGACCTAATCGACATCTAGAGAACTCTCCACCACAAATCAACAGAATATACATTCTTCTCAGCACCACATCGCACTTATTCCAAAGTTGACCACAGAGTTGGAAGTAAAGAACTCCTCAGCAAATGGAAAAGAACAGAAATCACAACAAACTGTCTCTCAGACCACAGTGCAATCAAATTAGAACTCAGGATTAAGAAACTCACTCAAAACCACACAACTACATGGAAACTGAACAACTGGCTCCTGAATGACTACTGGGTAAATGACAAAATGAAGGCAGAAATAAAGATGTTATTTGAAACCAATGAGAACAAAGGCACAACATACCAGAATCTCTCGGACATATTTAAAGCAGTGTGTAGAGGGAAATTTATAGCACTAAATACTCACAAGAGAAAGCAGGAAAGATCTAAAATCCACAATTAAAAGAACTAGAGAAGCAAGAGCAAGCACATTCAAAAGCTAGCAGAAGACAAGAAATAACTAAGATCAGAGCAGAACTGAAGGAGAGAGAGACCCAAAAAACCCTTCAAAAAATCAATCAATCCAGGAGCTGGTTTTTTTAAAAGACTGACAAAATTGATAGATCGCTAGCAAGACTAATAAAGAAGAAAAGAGAAGAATAAAATAAATGCAATAAAAAATGACAAAAGGGATATCACCACTAATCCCACAGGAAGACAAACTACCATCTGAGAATACTATAAACACCTCTACACAAATAAACTAGAAAATCTAGAAGAAATAGACAAATTCCTGGACACCTACACCCTCCCAAGACTAAACCAGGAGAAGTTGAATCTCTGAATAGACCAATAACAGGCTCTGAAATTGAGACAATAATTAATTGCATATCAACCAAAAACAGTCGAGGACCAGATGGATTCCCAGCCAAATTATACCAGGGGTACAAAGAAGAGCTGGTACCATTCCTTCTGAAACCATTCCAATCAATAGAAAAAGAGGGAATCCTCCCTAACTCATTTTATGAGGCCAGCATCATCCTGATACCAAAGCCTGACAGAGACACAACAAAAAAAAAAAAAAAGAGAGAATTTTAGACCAATATCCCTGATGAACATCAATGTGAAAATCCTCAACGAAATACTGGCAAACCGAATCCAGCAGCACATCAAAAAGCTTATCCACTATAATCAAGTCAGCTTCACCCTGGGATGCAAGGCTGGTTCGACATATGCAAATCAATAACCATAATCCATCACATAAACAGAACCAATGAAAAAAAAAACCACATGATTATCTCAATTGATGCAGAAAAGGCATTTGACAAAATTCAACAACGCTTCATGCTAAAAACTCTCAATAAACTGGGTATTGATGGAATGTATCTCAAAATAATAAGAGTTATTTATGGCAAACTCAGACAATATCATACTGAATGGGCAAAAACTGGAAGCATTCCCTTTGAAAACAGGCACAAGACAGAGATGCCCTCTCTCACTGCTCCTATTCAACTTAGTGTTGGAATTTCTGGCCAGGGCAATCAGGCAAGAGAAAGAAATAAATGGTATCAAATTAGGAAAAGAGGAAGTGAAATTGTCCCTGTTGCTGAAGACATGATTGTATATTTAGAAAACCCCATCGTCTCAGCCCAAAATTTCCTTAAGCTGATAAGCAACTTCAGCAAAGTCTCAGGATACAAAATCAATGTGCAAAAATCACAAGCATTCCTATACACCAATAAGAGACAAACAGAGAGCCAAATCATGAGTGAACTCCTATTCACAATTGCTAAAAAGAGAATAAAATACCTAGGAATCCAACTTACAAGGGATGTGAAGGACCTCTTCAAGGAGAACTACAAACCACTGCTCAACGAAATAAAAGAGGACACAAACCAATGGAAGAACATTCCATGCTCATGGATAGGAAGAATCAATATCGTGAAAATGGCCATACTGCCCAAGGTAATTTATAGATTCAGTGGCATCCCCATCAATCTACAAATGACTTTCTTCACAGAGTTGAAAAAAAAAAAAACTATTTTAAAGTTCATATGGAATTAAAAGAGAGCCTGCATTGCCAAGACAATCCTAAGCAAAAAGAACAAAGCTGGAGGCATCACACTACCTGACTTCAAACTATACTACAAGTCTACAGTAACCAAAACAGCATGGTACTGGTACTAAATTAGATATATATACCAATGGAACAGAACAGAGGCCTCAGAAATAGCACCACACATCTAAAACCATCTGATCCTTGACAAACCTGACAAAAACAAGAAATGGGGAAAGGATTCCATATTTAATAAATGGTGCTGGGAAAACTGGCTAGCCATATGTAGAAAGATGAAACTGGATCCCTTCCTTACACCTTATACAAAAATTAATTCAAGATGAATCGAAGACTTAAATGTTAGACCTAAAACCATAGAAACCCTAGAAGAAAACCTAGGCAATACCATTCAGGACATAGGCATGGGCAAGGACTTCATGACTAAAACACCAAAAGCAATGGCAACAAAAGCCAAAATACACAAATTAAACTAAAGAACTTCGGCAAGGCCAAAGAAACTACTATCAGACTAAACAGACAACCTACAGAATGGGAGAAAATTTTTGCAATCTACCCATCTGACAAAGGGCTAATATCCAGAATCCACAAAGAATTTAAACAAATTTGCAAGAAAAAAAGCAAACAACCCCATCAAAAACTCGGCCAAGGATATGAACAGACACTTCTCAAAAGAAGACATTTATGCAGCCAACAGACACATGAAAAAATGCTCATCACCACTGGTCATCAGAGAAACACAAATGAAAACCACATTGAGATACCATTTCATACCAGTTATAATGGCAATCATTAAAAAGTCAGGAAACAACAGATGCTGGAGAGGATGTGTAGAAATAGGAATGCTTTTACACTGTTGATGGGAGTGTAAACTAGTTCAACCATTGTGAAAGACAGTGTGGTGATTGCTCAAGGATCCAGAACTAGAAATACCATTTGAGCCAGTGATCCCATTACTGGGTATATACCCAAAGAATTTTAAATCATGCTAATATAAGACACATCCACACGTGTTTATTGAGGCCCTATTCACAATAGCAAAGACTTGGAACCAACCCAAATGTCCATCAATGATAGACTGGATTAAGAAAATGTGGCACATATACACCATGGAATACTATGCAGCCATAAAAAATGATGAGTTCATGTCCTTTGCAGGGAAATGAATCCAGCTGGAAACCATCATTCTGAGCAAACTGTCACAAGGACAGAAAACCAAACACCATATGTTCTCATAGGTGGTAGTTGAACAATGAGAACACTTGGACAAAGGGCAGGGAACATCACACCCTGGGGTCTGTCATGGGGTGTGGGACAGGGGGAGGGATAGCATTAAGAGAAATACCTAATGTAAATGACGAGTTAATGGCTGCAGCAAACCAAGATGGCACATGTATACCTAAGTAACAAACCTGCATGTTGTGCACATGTACCCTAGAAGTTAAAGTATAATAATAATAATAATAATAATAAACTAGCATCTGAAAGTGCTATGCAACATAATGTTATCGAGCACTTATTTTATTACAGAAGTAGTTTATTCTCTCATCTCTCCAATCAGAGCTCAGTATAAGATAGGAGCTCAATAAATGCTAATTGAAATTAAATGAACCTAACTCAGCATGAGCAGAATTGATGATGTTGTGGCAATCGGAAACTGCAGCAATCCCAGTGTTCCAGATTGCTAAAATTAGTTAAGTGGTAACAACTTTAGCATGTATGCTGAAACAGCTTTGAAAAGTTTCACAGGAATCCTCAATAGGCCTTAATCTTTCTATATCCTCATATTTCTTCTGCTTCAGTGTAGTGGAGTAATAGCTCTTTCAATAAGCAGAAAGAAAACTCAGTACTCTCTTTTGGAAATACCTTATTTTTAACAACACACAGTTGCTATCTATTTTTATAATAATTCTGTATATTCTACATCATGGTCTCCAGTGCATCAAGATCACAGCACAGCTAAACTAGGAAATCCCATCAGTGTAACTAATTGGTAAAGCTCTTTGGCAGAATCTCTCTCATTTTGAAATGCTCACAGAACTGAGCATGGAACACAGCAGCATTGTACATGCTGACACTCAACAAATATTTGTTGAATGCATTTTGGTGAATTTGTGAAATATCAGCTGCCAGTAATAAAGGTTCTTAGAAGGAAAAAAATATCTTTACAAACTATATACAAAGTGACTTTTGATTAAATCTGTGTTATAGTGTATCTGACAAATCTTTAGTAGAGAGACTTGTGTTCTCTCATCTATTGAATGAATAAGAACTCAATGTTTTCAAAATCATCTTTTTATTAATCATCATTGTCTGAATAAAAAGAAAAACTGGATTAGTTTGCCTACATTTGATAAGATCTCTGGTAAATAAGGAAACTATTTGTTGGTTTTGAAATGTATGAGCATGGTTTATGAGCCATCTCTTTATGTTTTTTTTTTTGGTTGTTGTTGTTAAAGAGTATTGTTAAATATCATATTAAGTGAAATGCAAAAAACATCTTTGCATTCTACTCCTCCCATATTGTTCTGAATTTGATTTATCTACCTGTCAGTAGATGTTACACAGTCATTATTAGATATACATGCTTTTCCTCAATTTCTTTTATTGCATTCCTAGGCAGAGAGTTAAGTGTTTGACAGAAGTATCTCCTTATTTCTCATTTCTCTACACAATTTGTACATACCCCTTGGTTCAGCATGGCATGTGATATCAGAAATAGGCCAAAGAGAAGAGAAATGAAGAGCTCTAATTCTAGAGCTACATGGCCCTAGGTTGGTGTCCCAATATCACTACGTATTGATTGTGTCGTTTTGCTCAATTAACTGTCATCTCTATGTATCAGTTTAATAATCTGTAAAAGAAAGATAATAATAGCACTTACATCATAAGGTTGTCAGGAAAATAGGGAGAGTTAATATTTTTAAGGTGCTTAGAACAGTACCTGGCACATATTAAGTGCTTTATAAATGTTATTTTTAAAAATTATGCTCATAGTTATAAGTACAAGTTCAAGCAAATACATAGGACTCAGGAATAAGCTCTAACACAGAAAAATAACTTGGTAAGGGAGTAGAAATTTCAAAATCCTCTTACCCTTTCCAAAAGAAACCAATTGCTAAAAAGGGAACCAAATTAAGGGTGTTTTACTTTTTAAAATTTTATTATTATTATTGTTGTTGTTATTATTATTTATAGAGATGGGGTCTCAGTGTGTTTTCCAGCCTGGTCTCAAACTCCTGGCCTCAAGAGATCCTCCCATCTTCACCACCCAAATTGTTGGTATTACTTGTGTAAGCCACCATGCCAAGTTAAGGGTATACTCCTTATTAAAACCACGCTACAATACAAGAATCCTGTATTAAAACTTATGAAAATGTACTGAACCTGAGATACAGGCTAAGTTATCTGGTGAATTTATGTATTTCCACCCATAATCACTGGATGGTGGTTGGAAAAGAGGTTTGTAGAACATTCTAAGGTTCTGCTTCCCATATGTCAAGGGGAACATTGCGTATCAGGCAAATGCAGCCTTCATACTGTTCCAAGCTAAATTCTTACGATACTATCTTAAACCATACTACAGAGCTGCTCAGTACTTGGAGAGTCTCTTATTTCCTATTACATATAATGCTGACAGATAATGATCTCTATAAATGAATGATGCAATACCCCTGACCCCATCCTATTCAACCATTTCATCACTGATTTGACTAATGACATAAAGGACAGGCTTATCAAGTTGGTGGTAACTGGAAAGGAAGTGAGTAGAGACCCAAAAGTACTACAGCAAGCTGGAGTAAAAATGAGTTTAAAAATATGACATGCCATTTACAAATATCAAGTTAAAAAAGACATCATATTTTCCCCCTTAACATTCTAAACATTTAATATATTATTTCTCCGTCTTAAATTTGAACACTTTTTGCTCAGGGAATTAAATAAAACTTAGCTAGGTTTAAGAAATAATTAGTGATGTGATATATAATTCCAAATTTATTTTATGTCACTTCATAATGGATATTTTACCCATTATGCTGCTTAAGAGGAGCTCAAGTTTTAAGTGATCAAAACTCACTAGAGGATGTGCTTGGCATAGAATTTCTATTTCAGCTTCTGCTTTTCCCTCTAGGTGGATTGTAAAAGGTTGAGGTTAAATTACTTTTACATTTTAAAGTGCATTAACTTCATAACATTTCTGCCCTGAAATGCTACACTAATTTGATATTTGTCCTATATCCATTTTCTATCTAATTTAGACAGAAATCTGAGTTGACCTTAATTGTATTTTCTTTCCTTTTAAACTACAATCTTCTATTAGCAATTCTTGGACTCATAAATGGAAATTTTGTCATCTTAAAAATGATTTTTTCCTTTTAAATTTAGAGGTTTTGGTAAGAAATTTAATAATACTGTTGACTATATAATATATATCATTAGTCTTTTGTGACATGCATCAGTAGAAAAGTTTGGGGCCTGCTTTAACTAGGTGCATGAAAAATGTACTCTCACCTTCACGTAACTCAAAAATGGCTTAAACAATTCAGTTCAAATTCTCAAACGCGTTCACATTTGGTGTAGGTTAAAGTTTGAAAACCAAATGGAATCCTTTCCATTGAAAATGATGATGTAAACCTGGAAATTATAAAATTATCATATTTTTGACATAATATATTACTATTTTTGCTTAAGTTAACACATTTTACTTTTCTTGATGCTTATAACAGAAATCAGTTGCTATTTTTTACATTTGAAAAATCTATTAATTTTTTTGTTTTAATAAGATTAGTGAAAACATTTAATTGCTCTTACCTAAATTAATAATATTAGAAATTAAAGCAAAATGTATACATAGTAAGTGATCCTGTAATTGCTAGAAATAATAAAAATATTTAGTACTCCATATAAGGGTAAATGTGTCTGGAGGTCTACAATTTACCAAATTTATTTGCATATTTGGTGAAGGTTTATTCAGTGTCTGTGCTGTGCTTAGGGCTGCTGGGGAATAGGCTTACATAAGTGAACGTGACATGATTTTTATTTGAGAACTAATAGGCTACTGCTGTTCTATTTAAGCTACAGCTGTGTGGCATGGTTTTCTCTAGTAGTCTTCCAGTACTCTCAGGGTTGCTACCAATGAAGTATTCTAATATTCTTGCAGTTGAACTGGAGTCCAAATGAGCAAATAAAGAAAAAAAAATAGCAACACATACTCTGAGGCATCCCACAAAAAGCAATATCTTTTAGAAAAATCACTATAAGCCTCTAAAGAAATATAGCTGATAGGGAAAATTCTTGAAAATTTGAGAACTATAGTCTCAAATAATTTGCTTTTGAGAATAATATATTATTTAATGGAGAATTGTTACAAATAAAAATGAACAGAAAGTCTGTCTCATAACCATAAGATGAAAGTAAAGAAAAATATAAGAAAATTTAGGATGTCATATGCAATACAATATATAGGTGTTTGTGAGTGTATGAGTGTGTGTGTGTGTTTGAATGTATATAAATATAGTCATAGAGTTCAAATCTCCATATAAACTCACAGACTCTGAATATATGTACTATGTTTTAAATAATAACAAATGTGACATAATGCAAAAAAATTGATATCCTAGTTTAGAACTATGCAATCAGAAAAAAAATAAACATACAAAAGTCTTTTCCTGAAACATTTTTGAAAGGAGGGGAGAATAGAAATACAAAAATTCTGAAAGTACCCTGGGTAGGTGGAGAGTAGAGATAGGAGAATGAAAGAATGAAAAATTAAGACGATAGTATCTTAATGGGCAGGTGGCACATTATGGAATAGAGTTTTTTGGTGAAATATAATTTTCATATTATATCAGAGTAAGAGTTTTCAATTATTAGCATTGGCAAAGGGGAGAAAATTATTAATGAAAGGCAGATGTGCAATTAGATTAAATTATAATAAAAAATAAATAGCAACTTGACTAAATCAATACAATGAATTTAAAAAAAACAAAGGAAAATAAAAGCAAAAGTACTTTTTTGCCATTAAAAGTAATGGCAAAAACCGCAATTACGTTTGCACGAATCTAATAGCAAGAGGTGACACAGATTTCCCACTAAAATAACTAAAATTATGGATTAAAAATAAAAGAATTCTTCTGTGTATTCATAAGTTGATAGGAAGGATATTCTGAAACCAGAATAAAAAAGAAACCATGCAAAGAGGGGACACTGAGATCTCCATAGCATTTGCTGAATCAGATGGATTGAGCTACTTTTGTTTTATTCTCATGTGGCTCAAGGTACAAATGACAAAGTTCAAACTTTGTCGAAGATAGAGTGTCTAGGGGGAACCCATAAATGTAAGACCCCAACGGTCTGTGACCTTGAAATATATTGGAAATGTGTATTGGAAATGTAAGTAGGTAATTTATTTTTTAAAAATCCGTAGAATCATGTCGCGCCAACATGGAATAGCTTGGAGGAGATCATGTTAAGCAGGTTGTCAGGCACAGAAAGGTAAATACTACATGCTTTCACTCACATGTGGGACGAAAAGAAAAAAGGAATTCCTGAAAGTAGAGAGGTAGAGAGTAGAATTGTGGGTATTAGAGGGTGAGAAGTATGGGAAATATAGGGGAGAGTGGAAGATGGGGATAGATTTGTTAAGGGATACGAAGTTACAGCTAGATAGGATAGATGAGTTCTGGCATTCTGCAGCACTATAGGGTGAATATGCTTAACTATAATTTATTGTATATTTTCAAAAATCCAATAAGTACCAATATCTGTGAAATGCAATTCTTCTGTGCAGTTATTCATCCATCAGCATAGACAAAATGCACCATTTCTGATAGCTAGGAATACTGGCACATTGTTACCATAATGTTGACTAATGAAAAAATTACACTTTGGAGTCTGCTTCCTTTTTCTAAAACAAAAATGCATATTTGTAAAGATAAGTTCCTTCCACAGGTATTGCAGGTAAATTATTTTAACGTTTATATCTGGGGAGAATACTCCTGAGGCTCAGGAGCTTCATACTTCTAGTTACACAGCTAGTAAGTGACAAACCTGAAAATATAAACCAGTTTTAAATCTATGGTGTGTTTTTTTTTGGTAACCGAATTGCTTCATGCTCTGTGCTAGAAAATTTAGCATAACAATAGGATTATGTATAATACGGTTATTTGTAACTTGAAATATATAATTTTAAAAAATTTTCAAGTTATTCTTCATAGCTTAAACTATATTTAATATGTCAGAACACAAAAAGGCAAGTGGAGAAGGTGCCTGAGTAATATAAAGAGACTTCATAATTTTCATTCTTTTAGATGTGTGAGATTCCTGTAATTTTTCATTTAGAAACTACTCAGGAACAAATCTACCTAGGTTGCTTATCTGGTTTCTTCACTGATAATAGATTTGTAACAAGTTTTAGAGAGTGATGAAAAGGGCTGCTGGTAGAAGGCACAACAGTTACATCAATAAGTAAAATTAAATTAATGTAGGAAAAGGAGGCAAGCCACATAAAACAGCTAAAATAACAGCTCCTACATTTCATCAGGTTTCATTTAGTTCATGGCAGAAAGCCAAATTCTCAACATATTATCAAAAGTTTTTCCCTCAATAATATTAAGTAAATTAAATTTGAATGAATAGTAATTTTAGTTTGTAGTCTGTTCCATAGAAAAATGTAAAACACATAAATTGAAATATTTACCCAGTGAAGAATCATTTTTCTCCTGTCTGATTTTTTTTTTCTAACTTGGTGCATTTTAGTGTTAAGTGAGCTAACAATCACCTGGTTGTATGGTTAAAGACAACTTCTAGAGACCCAAAATTCATAGACCTGGGGTTTTATAACCGAATGACCCCAGAGCAAATTGTTAGTGGATTGGCTGCAATCTAAGAAACCCTTGATGCCAATTAAAGCTTCATGAAGTCCCAGAGGTACCATGAAGGTACAAAGTTCCTCTGGGATTCTGGTCTCTAGAGGAAATAGTCAAGAAGGTAATGATGTAAGGAGATGAAGATATAGTGGAAAAGTTATAGAAAGAAGAGGAACACAAAAATTGCAGTTGTATTTCACATTGGATTTTAAATTATTTTTAAAATGTTTTTCCAACAAATACATACTTTAAAAATCCCATTACTGGGTATATACCCAAGGATAAAACATGCTGCTATAAAGACACATGCACACGTATGTTTATTGCGGCACTATTCACAATAGCAAAGACTTGGAACCAACCTAAATGTCGAACAATGATAAACTGGATTAAGAAAATGTGGCACATACACACCATGAAATACTATGCAGCCATAAAAAATGATGAGTTCATGTCCTTTGTAGGGACATGGATGAAGCTGGAAACCATCATTCTCAGCAAACTATCGCAAGGACAAAAAAACCAAACACCGCATGTTCTCACTCATAGGTGGGAACTGAGCATTGAGAACACATGGACACAGGAAGGGGAACATCACACACTGGGGCCTGTTGTGGGGTGGGGGGAGGGGGGAGGGATAGCATTAGGAGATATACCTAATGTAAATGACGAGTTGATGGGTGCAGCACACCAACATGGCACATGTATACGTATGTAACAAACTTGCACGTTGTGCACATGTACCCTAAAACTTAAAGTTTAATAAAAAAAGAAAAAAAAATCACTAAACTTCTTGTCCTTTCCATTTTTGTTATTTTTTAAGATAAATAATTAACATAGCTGATGATGTTTCAGTTAAAGAAAACTGGGGGAGTGGGCAGCACTGCATAATATGATTATAATATTGCAGAGAGTTTGGGCCAGTTTATTGTTTTTTTCCCCTGGCACTTAGAATTTTAATAATTATTTGTAATTCATGCACACTATATGTTTCTTCTTTCTCCTATATAATTAATTTGTTCTTTTAATGTCATATTACTGCTGACTTTTACTGATAATAAGTTCCTAAAGAATTTGGATTTGTATTAACTTTTTTGTGAGCAAAGCCAATTTATTTTTCTGAAAAAAAAAAAAGAAAAGAAATGACAGAACAGTTTCTATAATGGCCAGTTGAAACAAGAAATCCACTTCTGTCTTTCTAATTATGCTTGAGTCTGTTGAGTTTTAGTGTGCTGCGCTTTATCAGTTCTCTCGGGTGCTTGTTTAATTGGGTGACAAATGTAAGAATATGACGGCCTCAGTATAAAACTTTAGCTAGTCTGTGCACAGGTATTAGTTGTCCTATTATTTAGGACAGAAGCTTTTGATATGCTTAAGGAATTCAGAAATATTTGATAATGCTGAAACTTCAAACGGCTATAATAAAAAGTTTTAAGTTTTAAGCAATAAGATATGTTTAAATAAATATTTCAGAAGAGTAATATTAAATATGGAATTTCAGAGGAGAAATTGAAAATTTTTGATAGAAGTATTTACTCGAAATAAAATAGTGGGCACTTTGAGATATGTTCTAATATACTATACTGGCTCCTACATTGAGTAGGAGAAAATTAAAAGTAATAATAATGAAATAGTTGTATTAAATGTTAAACAACTAAAATGTGTGTATCTAACGAGGTTCCCTGCTTTAGTACCCTAGTATAGCAGAGAATCTTATGGAAAGACTGTTCGTCGGGATTTTGACAGTGACAGATTGCTTTGTGTGCACTGCTAGCTGTGATTAGCTGTCAATGCCCTGGATTCTGCTGCCATCGTCTTCCAGGATGGTGATAGGTGCTTTTACTTCATTCAGCACTTGACATTTGCACCTGAACATTTTTAGTTACTCTGTCAAAGAAAGCAAAACAGATAATTCAATTTCTAAGTTTTTGTATCATTTGGAGCATCAGCTTGCAGTTTGCTTGACTGAGATGCTAGGTGAGTATCAATCGAGCAGATTGGGTAGATGTAGAAATGTTTTGATAAATAAAATTATAGAGTAGGAAGTAGGAATTAATAAAGGGAGTAGTTCTGTTTAGTGTGACATTTTGCTTCCCAGTCTTGGCAACAGATATTTTTTTTGCAACTTTAGTGGGATTTGCACAATTATAAGTTAGTCTATGCAAACAGTCCCCATCCATTTTGGCACCAGGAACTGGTTTCATGGAAGAAAATTGTTTCCACGAACTTAGTGGAGGGAATGGTTTCAGGATGATTCAAGTTCGTTACATTAAGGTGCACTTTATTTCTATTAATATTACATTGTAATATGTAATGAAATAATTATACAATTCACTGTAATGTGGAGTTAGTGGGATCCCTGAGCTTGTTTTCCTGCCACTAGACAGTCCCATCTGGGGGTGATGAGAGACAGTGACAATTAAAGGCAATGAGATTGAAATGCATAGAAAAACAATAAAGATTAAAAAGTAAAATCAGTCTTTAATGTTTTACTTCTTCAGATAGCTTTCATTTGTAAAATGAATATAATCAACACTGCTTTAGATTACACTTTTTGAATGTAAAGAAACAGAAAATTACCCTGGCTCCTGAGTTCCTTGAAATATCATTTCTCTGGCCCAGGAAAAGTGGCATTCAGGCCAGACAGTGGCTGTAAGAACTGAGGTCGCTGCCTAGTAACTCTCACCAGAGTGCAAGGGAAATGCCACAGCCCTGAACCAGGTTGCAAACTGTACCTATTGTTTGTAACTCCCTGTGGCAATAAAGCTTTACTTTTATTATTATTAATATTGAAAACCTCAGAAAACTCATTAGCCCAGCTAGAGTAACAACATATCCCTTTAGATTTCCTGTAATGAAGTTCAAGTTTACCATTCTTGTAACACCATCAGTTATAGCTGCCACAAATGTAGTTTTTATAAAAATGTCAGTTTTCTAAATGTATATTCATGCAATTAGGAAAGTAATGAAAGCTTTTTTATGGCTACATGTATTTTTTATAGTTGCTGTGATTTTAAGCTCTGTGTTATCTAAAAAAAAAGTCAAAATAACATCTGTGGGAGTGAGTTTACAGACTTGGCATCTCCAAGACCAATCAAGTGCCACACATTTAATTTCCATGGCAACCATGGTTTAAGCACAAAGGGGTCCTGATGTTATTTGGCAACTTTGTCCTAACTAAATTGTGTCCAGTTTTGCTTATTCCATATCACACTAAATCAATAATTTAAGAACCTTAGAAAACTTCTGTTGTCTAGTCACTGTGTAGTTTTATATTTTAATGTGTACTCAAAGAATTAGCATAGTCTCTCTCACTAGGTTTACATGGGGATAGTTGAGGGTGGTGTGCTTGTGTATTATTTTGATAGAGGATAATTTATAGGCTATGAAGAAGTAGACCAATCATTGTAGTCGTGCCTGGCCTCATGGTAACAAACACAAGTGAAAACTGCACTGAAGCAATTACTCTTCAAGAAGACATACTCAATTTTGTTCCTAAATAGAGTGCTTTGTTTTTTGTATTATTCTCACGTAACCTTCAGTTTACTTCAAATAAATATATTTTGCTCTACATTTTTTTCCTATGGTTAAATTTTATAATTCACAGTTATTCTGCATATACTTTATGGATATACATGATATTGTTTGCAATCATACTTTCGATCCTTATGTTTCGAGTATCACTATTTCTCCTGTAAAAGGCAAATAAAAAAACCAAACACTACCTTTTAAAAATGCAGTTCTATAAACTTCTAATATTTTTAAAAAATTGGTTTATTAAAATTATGAGGAATAAAATTAGAGAATATAGTTGTCAGCTTCAAGTAATTTGCATAGATGCATAATTCAACAGTGGTATAAGTTCCCTTGCACTGAATGTGTTTATCCGTGTTTGTGCTTTTTATGTGAAGATGTGAGTCATCCTGGATGAATAATATATCATACACTATTTTAAACTGTATCTATATGTTTGGAGAAGGCCCAAGAAAATATTGACAATGTTAAATATATTTTAAGTCACTATATTAATTATGTATAACACACTAAGTATAATGCTTACTTTTGTGTTGAGATGCAAGAAAATTTTGCATTGATATATTTTTTATTTGAGGACATGTAGCATTTTTATGTGAATTTTCACTTTTCCCACAAAATACACTGTAAATACTAAAACAATTTTGAAAATTAAGAAACATTTTGCTACTGAAATGTTTATTCTGAGACGAACATTTTGTTTTTAATGCATCTTATAATTAATAATATGTTTGAAAATTCATTTTTTACTAAAAATAAGCTCAGAAATATTTCAACTGGGTAAAAAAGTGGAACTACATTGAATTGCAGTCTGATATTAAGTACTTAATAGAATGTTGAAATAAGACTTAATGACTATCAGAGGAAAAATATTAAATGGTAAAATTACCTTTAAACTCAATATTAACATTTGAAAAAATATTATAAGGCACTATCTTCAGTTGAGAAATGAAGGGAAAATATATATTTTCTTATTTTTTAACATCAAAATTTTATAAAGCATTTTGTTAGTTTAATAGATTTAGCAATATGTAATTTTAAAAGATCTTATATGTGTGGTAACAGAAAAGATTGTACTGTTTTAGGAAATAATAGAAACTAATCAACACTTGTATTTTACTCTTCACAATCCTAGTGGGAAGTAATATAAGAATATGCAGGATGTTATATTTCAAAGCATTAATAAATTCATACTTAGAATAAAAGTTAATTCATTTGGCCTTCAATCAAAGTCATATTAACCAGTACATTCATAGCAATATTTTTTGTTCATGAATGACCCAATATACTACACCATTGTAATTGACTTCTACATCAATCTAGACCAATTAAATTGTGTTTTATTGTAACTTTATTGCCAGAGAGAGAGAGAGAGAGAGAATTAATTACATTGATTAAGCCAAGCAAAGTTTCCAAAACTTGTTAACTATAAAGCTTGGAAAGCCAGTGTGTTGTTTAGAATGGGTATTTGATTTATGAGTTAGGAGGTCTAAGTCCCAGTTCTAGCTCTCATTTCATACAAATGATCCTGAAGTAGCTTGATAACTACTTCATCCAGATACAGCATCTCTTTTATATAATGAGATGGTGAAACTAGATGATTTCAAACTTCTGATAGCTTAAAAAATTTAGATATATTGTCTCTTCTACATTTTCTTCAAGAGGTTCCCAAAAAATTCAATAAATTTTCTTTTGTAATAAATATTTCTAACTAAAATTAAAATATTTATCCACCAATTTAATCCAAACATTTTTAATTTCTACCATGTGCCCAGTACTGTGTATAATTATGCATAGAGAGTTTATAGTTAATTAAAGGAGATAATAGAAATAAATTATTGCCCTGCAATTTTATGATGGGCATAATAAAACATAATGGAAACTTTGAGGTAAAATAAAATAAATTAAAGATATTTTTATATTTCTGAGAATACCTTGAGGGTGGTTTTTTTTTTTTTTTTTTTTTTTTTTTTGAGACAGAGTTTCACTCTTATTGCCCAGGATGGAGTGCAATAGAGCGATCCCAGCTCACTGCAATCTCCGCCTCCCAGGTTCAAGCAATTCTCCTGCCTCAGCCTCCAGAGTAGCTGGGATTACAGGCACCCACCACCACACCCGGCTAATTTTTTGTATTTTTAGTAGAGACAGAGTTTCACCTTGTTGATCAGGCTGGTCTCAAACTCCTGACTGCAGATGATACACCCCTCCTCGGCCTCCCAAAGTGCTGGGATTACATGCTTGAGCAATCACACCCACCCCCACTTGAGAGTTTTAATACCCTAATTCTTCATATATCTATCTACTCCTCAGATAATTTTTAACTCTGGGGAAACAGTGCTTTTGCTTTTGTTTAAACAACTGTTTGAAACAAACTGTTTTAAAAGAAATTTTGCTTTAAAATTTTTTTGCAAGTAGACCTATGGGGTCTTTTTCTGATACCCCTATATTCACTAGGATTTGTGTTTTGAATATAAACTATATAAATTTAACAAACTTTTATCTCATTAAATATAATGATTTATTTGAAAATACTCTAAAAAGCATTTCTATAGGCAAAGGAAACCTGCATAGTAATTATAATAATAAGAATTGCATATTTAAAATAACTTGCTTATTTATTCATCCTTTTTATTGCTATTTAGATGTGAACTTACAAGAAAAAACTATTTTTTTCATTCTAGGTAAATATATGGTTTGGAATAGTGCATACTTAAAAATGAAATATGGATATTAACCTGTTAGTTCCTAGTCAAGTTAGTTCCTAGTCTATTATCTATCTAATAAATAGAAGATAATTTATCATCTATATATCTTCAATTATAGAACAGTAGTAATTGTAGCCTTGAAATAAAAAAAAAATGACGTATTCTAAGATGATTTAAAATAGATTGTATTGGATTTTAAAATAAACTCATATTAGTAATTGAAAAAAGTAGTTTGTTTTTCATAATCTTTCAGTGTCAGATTTCAGCATTTTCTTTTTGCGAAACTATATTAGAATATTTATGCATTTGAAAGGATATATGTATGAAAATCCAAATTTGCATTTTATTACATATGCATGGATGATTGATAAAAACAGGTAAGTAGATAGATGTCTAGATATCCATACATATGTAAATATAGATATAGATGATGTGGTACCTTCCTTGATATAATTCACAAGGAAAATTAATATTAACCAATTATTGTTAGCAAATATTAGTAACATATAACATTTATACAGCGAAGTACATAAAGTGTTCAAATTTGAAAACATTTCAGCAACCATGTCCTAGATTAAAAAATAGGATATTTCTAGAACATAAGTATTTATCCTAATGCCCTCTTACCTCATTTCTATATCGAAAGGGTAACCACCATCCTGTATTCTAACACTAGAAGTTTATTTTACCTAATTTTGAGCTTTATATTAATGGAAGTTCAAGATTAGGCAAAATAAACTTCTAGTGTTAGAATATTGAAACATTTATATATTGTTCCTTCAACATTGTATTTGTGAGATTTGTTCATGTTCAGTATTCTGTGGACAGAATACATAAAAATTTATTCTTACTGTAGTACAGTATTCATATCTTCTATGTACTTCCACATTGTATTACTGATTGCCACTTGATATGGTTTGGCTCTGTGTCTTCACCCAAATCTCATCTCAAAATGTAATCCCCACATGATGAGGGAGGGATCTGGTAGGAGGTGATTGGATCATGGGTGTGGTTTCCCCCAAACTGTTCTCGTGATAGTAAGTTCTCAGGAGAGTTGATGGTTTTAAAATGTGGCACTTCCTCGCTCTCTTTCACCTGCCACCATGTAAGACATGTCTTGCTTCCCTTCACCTTCTGCCTTCGGCCATGATTTTAAATGTCTGAGGTCTCCCCAGCCATGTGGAACTGCAAGTCGATTAAACCTATTTCCTTTATAAATTACCTAGTCTCTGGTAGCATCTTTATACCAGTATGAAAATGGACTAACACACTAATGTAATATCCTTCTGTTTGGGGTTACTAAGAATAGTTGATACCAACCTCATTGCAAGTGCCTTTTGTACACACATGTTCACATTTTTGTTGGCTGTGTATCTAGCTCATATAATGTGCCTGTGTCTACTTATGTAGATACTTTCAAAGAATTTTCTAAAGTGATTGTACGAGTTAAACTCCCAGCAGCAGCATATGAGAATTCCAGTTTCTCCACTGTATTGTCACCACTTGGCATCGTCTGGCTTTGTATGCTTATAAGACTTTCTGGTGAATGGATAGTAGTTTCTCACTATGTTTTAATTTCCAGCTCTTTGATAATAAAGTTGAAAACTATTTCAAAATTACTGGATGTTTATATATCTTTTTTGTCAAGTGAGTTTTCAGTGTTGCTCTTGCCATATTATTGTTAGTTTGTAGAATTTATTTATATATTCTAGATATGAGCCATTTGCTGTATATATGAATTGCAACTATGTTAATCAATATTTTTAAAAAACAGAGTATGTAGTGAATAAATTTTTAATACTAATTATGTAAGATTAAATCTTTATTTCTATTTTAATAATAAGTATCAATTCTTATATTAAATGTTAAGATATCAGAAATTGAATACGAGCCAAATATAGTTATTGTTCTCTAGTATAGTTTCTACCTTCTCAACCCAAAGTTTTTTGAATGATTAAAAAATAGAAACACTTATTTCTGGAAAAGGAGACAATTGAAGTGGACAGTATAATAGAGTATATCTAAGGTAAACAGGGGCAAAATGTATAAAATTAAATAACTGGTATAGCAGTTTGTCAAGATGCAGGTATCAGTAACAAATTTCACTACTCCCCCACCTCAACTCCTGATATTTCAGATGTGGTTTTCTTGTTACAATATAGGATGGGCAAAATCCCCTCTTAAATATTAACATTCATTTTGTAGTTGTCCAGATGAGATGTAGGTCTCTAGAAGAGAAAATTGATTTCAGATGGAAAGTCTTAGATTATGCCTGTTTGGGCATAACTCTATTGTAAAAGAGCTAATTGTACTTATCAGTATTCCAGTGTTTTATGTTCATAATTGATGGCTGATAAAATTACTCAGAAGTTACTTTGATATAACCTAATGTAACTAGGAAACAAATAAAATAATTAATGAGAAATACAGTGTGAAAAGGTAAAGGCCATGATATTTGTGTGCTGCGAATAAAGAATAGTCTTGAAGTGCAATTACTCCTAGTCTCAACCATTTTCATGTCTGGCAAAAGGATAGGGGAAACATATAAAAGTAGAAAAAATGGCAATTGCTCCTCTGGCAAAGTATTTTATTTCATTGCTTAAATTTCCATCATGGGAATTTGTTACTTTTATTATTAAAAATGATAGGTTGGAACAAACAAGTAAACTGCTATTCTGTGTTTTGGCACAGTTAGCATCTCTGTAGTAAATTTATTTTTATTTTCTTTACATTTTTATTTATTTTATTATTATTTTAAAGAATTAAATAAGTATGAGCACATTTACTAATGCTGACATTAGTAAGGAATATGGAGGCCTTAAATGGAATACAATTGAAAGATAGATTTATTTCATATAATGTGTGAGAGTTTGTAAAATTTTATATTAAACCAGACAGTGATCAGTGAATTCAGTTGTGAAGAATAGAGAACAAAATAAAATTATAAATATGATATGCTAAATTTATATCATTGTATATTGCGAATGATGAGAAAGTAAAGCAATATATAAGGACAGAGATATTCAAATATTCTCAAAACGTATGTCTATTATTTAATTTTCTTACATGAATTGACAACAACAGAGTAGGTGAATATAAGAGACTCTTTGTAATGGGGTAATATTATTTACCTTCTTTTAAGGATGAAGTGTTAGAGGAGTTTACCTTCCCTTTTCCAAGATCACTATGTCAATGAGTATGAGCTTAATGCCAATTTTACTTAGAAAACTTTCTAAAAAAGGCAGGCGTGTGTGTGTTTATATTCATGTGATATGTGTTGGTTGGCAATAGTGAAACCACATGATAGAATAATATGAAAATTTAAATTATCTTAAACCCTAAGTATTCTCTTTGATGCTTTTATTATTCCCTTTGCCCTTAGGCTGTCACTAATTTATATTTAAATATTAATTATACATACACATATCATATCAACACTATACATTATTTCTCTAAACAAAGTAAGGTCTATTCAGTATCAGTAGTGGGGAATAGTAGGTGGAGAATAATTAAAAGTTGTTGGGGTGTTAAGGAAAAAGTAATTCTTTGCCCATGATAAACCACACTGTCAACTCTGGCTATTTACACATAGTCAATCTTGGTTACCATCAAGGAGTTATCATTTAGAAAATATAATAGAGTTGTCATGACACAAATTAAACACACACTCAATGCATTTGAGTTAATGTGTCTGTATCCATCATTGATTGTCGCCTCTAAGTTGATGACTTCCAAATTAGTAGTCCTGTCATTGACATAACTTCTAAGACATAAACCTGTGTTGCCACTCCTACTAAATATTTTCATCAAAGAGAGTCAACATGTTCAAAACTGAGCTCCTTTAAATATCCTCCACAGTGAGCTTCTTAACTTCATATTTTGAATGTTATCACTAATACTGGAAACCTCAGTGGCCTTTCTCTCTATCAATAAACACTTGCAGTGTTTCATAATGTTGTCATTTCATAACCTTGTTATGTCTTGTTTTTTACAATTGAACTTCTTCAGATAAAGTTTATTGTACCTATTTACTTTAGGCTTTCATCATCTCCATGATGGCCTTAATGTCTTTCCTGCTCCATACTACGAAGTTTCTCCTTATGTTTCCTCCTCCTCTTTCTCTTAATCAATACCCCTCAGCTGATGCAAGAACTTAATATGTTCTGTGGATATGTGAGTGAACAAAATAGACAAAAACTCCCGCATTTTTAGAATGTGGAGCTCTCATTCTAGTGAGAGGTGTCAACAGTAATCATAACAAATGAGTAAATTGTACAGCATTTTATAAGCTGATATCTACTGTGAAAAAGGTAGAACAATGTAAGAAAGAAAAAAATGTTGGAAGAGTTTGGGGTATTCACTTTAAGTAGGTTAGTCCAAGTAGTCCCAAGAGAATGAAATTTGAGCAAAAATTTGAAGGAAGTGAAGGATTCGCTAGAAAATAGTTTGAGGAAGAACGTTCCAGGTACTAGAACAACAAGTCAAATACCCCAAGGCATCAGAATGTCAAGTATGTTTGAGATACAGCAAGACAGAATAAATAAGAGAAGAGACGGATTTAGGGAGGTAACACGGAGCTGGGTAATATGGTGTCTTCCTTGTCCTATAACAGGCTCTAAGTCACACCCTAAGTAAGAATGGGAAACCATTAAATGATTGTAAACATTGGAATGAAGTTATCTAAATTGTGTTTTGCAAAGACCAGTCTGGTTATTAATAAAGAATATCTTATTGAAGATTCTGACAATACTGCTCTGCTTTAAATAGTTTTAAATCTTCAGGATTAAATCTTCAGGATACATTTTCAGCCTCATAAAATTCATTAAATTTAGTCTCCTCATCTCCTAATACTATCCATCCCAAGACATCCATGAAAAAATCAGTCCACATATGAGATTACATATTTAAGTACTAAACCTGTGTGCTGCAGACCAAAATTGGATGGAAATGGTAAAATAACACAGGTAGAAATCATCAAGGAATACTTTGTGTAAATGTTTGAACATGAGCTTAATTTTGAGGATAGATAAAACTGATTAGTCAAAGTTGAGAAAGGAGAAGTTTCTAATCCAAGTGAGGTGGGAGTGGAGGATGTTGTATAAGCAAAGGCACAGAATGAATGTCAAACTGAACAGGGAGATACTGGCATATTGGAAAGAACTGGACCAGATGGAAGGCAAACAGAGAGTTTAGAATTTCATGCCAACATAAAAATGGGAAAAATATAGATTTTTAAGTAAAAGAAAATAATAAAATCAGTTTTGAGAGAGTAGCCTGGCAGATGGCTCTGATTTATTGAGTAAAAACAAACACAAACAATTCTCATATAAGTCAGAACTCGCTGTCTTCCATAAGGAGTGGGCCTTTTTTATATCTTGGGTGAAATCAGTGACTTTATGAGTTATGCTTTTGAACAAAGATGGCATGCATTATTTTCCTGGGATATTTATGCCCAACCAAAGGAAAGAAAATGAATTAAAGACAAAGGGACTTACTGCTTTCCGCTATGTTTAGGTGGGTGTATTGCTGGTGTGTATGAGATCCTGGACCTTTCAGTGATATTTACTGTCAAACGTATAATATTAGTGTGTGACAACTACAGTGAACCAAAAGGACATTGTAAAGTCTGATTTAGATAATAAAGTTGATGTTTTGTTTGCCAGGTAACAGAAACACGGACTGGTCCTCTTGGCTGCAGTAACTATGACAACCTAGATTCTGTCAGTTCTGTTCTGGTTCAGAGTCCTGAGAATAAGATTCAGTTGCAAGGTATGTTGGTAAAATTTCATTAATTCTCTACAAGCCTGAATAGCAATTATCCAGTCGTGATTTCTTTTCCATTTTTTAAAGTAAACTGCATATACATACAGGCTATTAAAAACTCTCATTAAAGGCTAATTTCATAATTTAACTGATACAAGAAAATATGAAATTCTAGACCATATGAATAAAATATCAAAAATTTTCTTTTCTTCTCAAATTAACTAAGCTATAGCAATTGAAAATCTGTCCTAATAATATTTTTCTTACGTATAGTAATCATTGTGTCATTATGTAGCAGTTTCTTCATATGCTTGCCTGAGCTTTGACTTTTTACTTAAAGATTCTTGTGAAAGTTGTAACCATATTTATGCATGGTATAAAATGAACTGTTGACATTTTATATATAACCTAATGTGGCAGTCAAGACTGTATTTTTCTCCTGGTAAATAGAAATGTACTTAAGGATATATTAACAAAATATTTATATTCATATGATTTCCATTTTAAAGATAGATTTTATAAAAATAATTTGCTATTTTCTATTACTACATAGTTTAGATATTCAATAAAGAGTATTTTATTCACAAGAACTTTTAAAAATACAATAATTATGCATACATGCTCATTCTTATAGGCAGGAACAGGTTATGAATACACACGTTTAAACACTACTAGTTGAACAAGTTCAGAGAAGTCTTTGTGATGACACTTTCTGTCAAAATTAAGTTGACTGATCAAAGAGGTAATTTTGAGTTGTTATTCTCTAGTATGCCTTTTTGAATTGCATAACTTAGAGCTGAATATTTACATTATTCAGTTTTACATAAAAATGCTTAAAAGTTTCAGAAATGCTACCATTTTTTCCCTTAACTTTGCAATCTTGAAAAATGTATCAGTGTCCCCACGTGGTGGCTTATGCCTGCAATCCTAACCCTTTGGGAGGCTGAGGCAGGAAGATCAGTTGAAGCCAGGAGTTCAAGACCAGCCTGGGCAACATAGTGAGACCTAAAAAACAATATTATCTGGGCGCTGGTGTTGCAGGCCTGCAGTCCCAGCTACTCAGGAGGCTGAGGCAGGAGGATTGCTGCACCTAAGAGTTCAAGGTTGCAGTGAGCTATGACCACACCACCGCACTCCACTGTCACTCCAGCCTGGACATCGCTGTCCACACCGCACATCACTGTCCATGCGACACTGCACATCATGTTACTCCAGCCTGGGTGACAGTGAGACCCTGTCTCTAAAAAATTAAAAAAAAATTAATTAATTAAAAGAAAAATGTAATAACATTGAATTGTTTAAATTTATCCTAAATAGTGAATGAATGCCTTTTATTTTGAGTTGTATTAAAAGTACAAAGTTCTTAAATACTTTAACAATTTAAATGTTATCCAATTTATCAATATCAATTATAGATTTACATTTATTAAAACATTTTCTCTAATTGAAATAAAAATGTTGTCCACCAATGTTTCTTGCAATTCTCTACTGCTTACTCCTTTTTAATGTATGGATTAACCTTCCCTCAGAATATGAATTGCAATAAAAATGACAGCACGTTTATACCAATTTGTATGACTACTTCAATCAGTTTATTATAAAAATTATTTACTAACAAGATTTATTGATTTGTGTCTGAATTACTATGTTCAGTTTTCAAAATATTAAATTATTTTTAAAATCCTTCAGTCCCCTATCTCTCTGGAAAAATAATTAACACAAGGAATAAATGAAGCAACATTTCTCTTTTGTATAATTATTTCTATTCTCTTCAACTAATGTGCGTAACTCAGAAACCTCCATCTCTTTCACTTTTTTTCTGTTTTCCATGTCTGTATTTTTAATTGTCTATTACAACTTTATTTATACACCTATCGGTACAAAGTCCTTTCTGAAAATACTATTAGGAAGTCAATTTCAAGACCCTCAATATTTCATGCACTCTTTCTTAAATTTAATTGGTATTTACAATCCAAGTATAATGTTGGCTAACTTTTAAACCTCTCCTTTTGTACTACCCCTCATCTACCTTATAAACTAATGGGAACAATTTGTTAATTCTGGATCAATGTTACCATGGTGCATTCCTTTGAAGGGTATAGATATTTCTGGGTCACTGTATGTGGCAATTGAAAACACTGGAATCACTGAAGAATATTTTACTAAGGTAACAACAGAGATCTTCATGTCTTTTGGGGTTAGCTAGTTAGATATTTGGTCTGATAAATGGATGGATATAGGTATAGATGATAGATAAATAGATATAGATAGTTGCTTGTGTGTTGTGTTTTCTTT
Source organism: Homo sapiens (assembly GCF_000001405.40). Taxonomy (NCBI): domain Eukaryota; kingdom Metazoa; phylum Chordata; class Mammalia; order Primates; family Hominidae; genus Homo; species Homo sapiens. The sequence continues at coordinate 190,232,082 of NC_000001.11, read as the reverse complement.
CTAAGTACATGTTGAAGTTTTAGAATCAGAGCGTTTGGCCCATTTTGGAATCTTCTGAATTTAGATATATTATTGAGAGAATCCTGAAATTATCACAGTTTTTTAATAAAGAACTTCTGAAACTCTCCTCTTTCATTAGAAAAAGAAAAATTGTTCCTGAAGTGGAATTGTATCTAAGCAAAGCAAATAAAGCACCAGTAATTGTTGAAGTCAACTGGATTAGACAACTAATTCAGAACAGAACTCTAAGATTTAACCATTGGTATATGAATCAGTATTTTAAAAAATAAGATATATAAAAGATGGACTTTGAGATCTCGTTTTGCTGATAAGATTACAGAGCAGGCATTTTTCAAAAATTAAAAGAGCCATAGCTACAACTTCAATTTATTGATGAAAATATATTTAAGGTAGATAATAAAAAGTAGTTATAAGAAAATATTGGCAAATGCATATTGAAATAATACTTCAATTTTTTTCAATGCCTTCTGAGTATAACACATCAAACAAGGTGCCTCTGAGTGAAAGTATAACCAGAATAATGAAAAGTCATTTATTAAGTTTTGGTAGTAATTTTTTGGTAAAATTGGCAGACCTTGAGAAAATGAATAATTTAAAGGACTGAATTACAAGCACTTTTCCATATTAGCTAGTTCCCAATATTTTATTTAAATGAATTTGACACAGGACTAGGCTATTTTAAGGTGGATGATTAAATGTAATTTTTAATGATGGTTCATGAGTGTTTTGGCTTATAATAAAAATTGAATGATGCTGCTTCAAAAAACTGTTTTTGTTCCTGTTTATTAATTTATTGAATCACATGTTCTCAGTGCTTACATACTTAAAAATGAAGACAGATAATAATTTATGCTGAAGGAAGGGTCACTCTAGACAAAAAAAGTCCTATTAAGTCCTTCAAGCCATGTGTTTTCAAAAAGCTGATTATATTTGCTTTAAAAAAATATTTCTTCATACTTATAATAAGTGTACTTCTATTGAACTGCATATTACATATGATAGTTATAATTTGTCAGAAATATTTTTAAAATTTTTAGTATCAAGAAATCATATATACCATACATTATACTATATGATAATTAATATTATTTAAATTTTCAGTAAATATATGTATACATATTTACATTTCAAGCTATTTACTTTTATAGAAGATAAGTATGACTGTGATTAAGAAAACACATTGATTAATCAAATATATTATATTTGAATAAAAATATTTAGGGATAGTCGAATGAAATAATGACTTGGAGGAAAGAGATATGTGTGTGCCTGTGTGTGTGTGAGTGTTTGAAGAATTTTATTTCAGGAACAATTCTTTTTCCACTTGAGAAGATGTATGAAAAAGAAGGTCATTACTAAAAACTCATAATTCACACAAACATATATCTATACACTCACTATACATACATATATACTTTTTTTATATTTGTATATCTTGTTCAAATTTTATTTTTAAAAGATGTATTAGTTACCAAATCAACAGGAATTATATTTCATTTGTACATATATAGAAGCAGAGTAATATTTTTATTGTAAAATATGCATATTAATAATACCACAGTTTACCAGCTTTGGGCCTCTTTTATGTATAACGAAAATTTTAAACAGGAGCTTACTCATGTCCAAAGTAGTGCTTATGTTTTCAAAACTATTTAAGGTAGTTCATGAGCAAAATAGCATTGAAGAACATTGACCAGCTGGTCATTTTTACTTAGCTATTTGTCTTGCCATAACATATGGTGATATGCTGCAAATTAATTTACAATTTTTTACGTTCCTCATCAATTTTCTAATATTATTTTATATTTGTTTAACAAATATCATTTATTTCCTTTCTTTCCTCTCATTCTGTGTTATATTTAAATGTGGTTTAGGCCTTTCCATCATAACACAAATCTTTTATGCTATTTTCTGTATTTCATATCTTTTTGCCCTTTTATTCCTTTTAAACGTATTCTTCTGCAATATTTCAGTTCCCTAATTATCTCTTAAATGTCTATGCTGCTGTTAAAGCTATCCATTGGTTCTTAATTTCAAATTATGCATTTTTATTTGTAAAATAGCCACTTGATTTTTCTTTATAATTTCTAGTTCCTTGCCATATTGTCTGTTTTGTTATTAAATTTTTGATCATGTGATTGAAATTAATTTATCATTCTTGTTTGACACCCTCTATACCATCCCTTGTCTTTTTATATGTTCATCATATTTTATTGAATTCTGTTTTGAGTGAAAATTTATAAAAATATTTTAAAATTATTGATGGTGCATTTTCCTTCAGAGAAGATTTAGTTTCAATGCTATTTTAATTAATTTTGAAATATGCCAGTTGGAACTATACTTCAGATCTGGTGAAAGCTAGTGGTTTCTTTGTGTGTGTGTGTGTGTGTGTGTGTGTGTGTGTGTGTGTGTGTGTTTTGTTTTGTTTTTCTTTACTCTGGGTATGTAGCTCATCTAGTAACTAAATCCTGAGGAAGTTACTATCTCTGTCATGGTTGGTATAAATGTCAATTTGTACTTTGTTCTGGGCAGAACTCTAATGGAAAAGATATGCCCAACATATTAGTCTGTTCTTATGCTGCTAATAAAGACATACTTGAGACTGGGTAATTTCTAAAGAGAATAGGTTTAATTTACTCCAGTTCCACATGGCCGAGGATGCCTCACAATCATGACAGAGGCAAGGAGGAGCAAAGTCACATCTTATATGGGGGCAGACAAGAGAGAGTTTGTGCAGGGGAGGTCCCATTTATAAAACCATCACATCTTCTGAGACTTATTCACTATCATGAGAAAACCTTCCTCCATGATTCTATTACCTCCCACTGGGTCCCTCCCACGACATGTGGGGATTATTACAGTTCAAAGTGAGATTTTGTGGGGGACACAGAGCCAAACCATATAACCCAATATTGGGCTCACTCTGCCTGTAGGATTACCTTATTTCCAGGTTAACCCCAGAAATTCTCACTTCATTTTTGTCCTTGTTATCTCTTCAGATTATTTTTAATACTTTACCTAGATTTCCTAGTTGGTTCCATGAGAAGGTGGGTTGAAAACAAACTAGTCCTTTCACACCGGAAACATTCATATTTTACTCTGTGGTTCTCAGCTTGTAGCAGTTGCCCTCACATCCTGGCTTTTACAGGAAGCACATAGGCTCAAAACTAAGCTTTGTTAAGCATTGTTCCAGCACTAGGTAGACCTGGTCTAAATATAGTGCTGTCAGTATTCCTGCTTTCCTGTTTCTGTACATAGCAGAAAAAAAAAGAAAATTCCGTGGCCAGCCCTGAACCACTCCGAGTTGTTTGTCAGAGCAGGCCAAGCTATCTCTCTAGGAACCAACTAGTTCTTATCGGTGGTCTGGTTATAAAATTCAAGTGTTTTGAGCGCTGCGTCCCTAAACCTCTTTTCTCAAAACTCTTTAATTTTATAATGGTTTTACAGAATGTGAGTTTCCTTCTTTTAGCAGTGTATGTATGTATCATCATAGCAGGAGTATTTGTGTTTCTAAAGCGGAACTCACCATTTCTTGCCACCAATCATTCCTCCCCAAATTACTTCTCCTGCCTTCTCTATTTCTCCAAAAGCACTACCGTCTTACAGATTCAACGTTGTAATGCAATGATGTGCTTTATGACTATGAAAATGGTACGCGAGTTCTTTGGTTTTTTTGTGTGTGAAATTAAGATTAAAATGGATAAGTAGTTTACAAGTATCTAGTCCACACTCAATTACTGTTACCTTAGGTCTTTTAATAAATATATACTGATTCCTGAGTTCCTTGAGCAAAGACTCTGAATTATTCAAATTGTTTTTAGCACTTTAAGTTTTCAGAAAAAAAAAAATCACTAGGTGTATCTGAAATGTGCAGTAATTTGGTAAACCATAGGACTAGACGATTAAGAAAATTTCTGAATGTATCATTTTATGCCTCTAAGTATTTTAACACTTTTTACTTGCCTTAGATCAAATACAGTACTATCTAGCAGATTCTCACTATTCCTCTATTACCTTAATTTCTTTCCCTAGTGTGGATTTTTTCAGTCTTCTTAAAGATCTTAAATCTAATCTTAAAAATTAGTCAACTCTAATATATTTCTTTACCTTCTACTTCCAAATGGGTACCACTCTTAGTATCCCACATGGTAAAATTAATTTAAATCTAAATGAATTAATTCTATATTCCCTGACATAGGAATCCCAACAACATGACTCCTCATTTATGTGTGTAAGCACCTCTTTCATTGTATTCTTATAGCCCATTTGCAATGAAACAATATTACTACTTTCATTTCCAAAATATATTAATATATAACCCAGCTTTTTATCTGTGTGTGATGCTGTTAATGTATCACTCTTCAGCACAGTCACTCAATATTGAAAACTATACATCTGTCAAATAATGTTCAATGCCTAACTTTTTAATAAAAAGTTTTTTTACTTTTGTGAACTTAATATAATTGTTTAGCCAATTAATTATATTTATTGAATCACATGTATCTTATATAGTTGCATCTTTTATTTTTCTTAAATATACTGCAGATATCTCTGTGACAAATAAATTTCTCAGTCACCCTCATATTTGTATCTTACCTAGCAATTTTATTCAAAATGAGACTGTTCAATAAATATTTATTCCAGGTGAAATGAAAATTAATATGAAATCGAATATATAAGTTCTAAGAGTACTTTTTCCAACAATTTGCAAAGGAAATTTTGCAATTTGTCAACATATTTGTAAATTAATTTTTTTCTAAATGTTAATCAATGATTTTTATTAAATCAACCTCTAAGATAATAGTCAAGGGTCAACATTGATTTTTTTGTTAAACAGAAAACATGTGAAATTATAAAAATTCAGTTTTCTGGTAAGTAACACTTTGCTATTACCAGATTTTTCCTTAGCTTTGTATTCATTTTTACCTACTTATTTGTTTAAATATTTAGTATTTAAGTATTCTTAAGTAGCCAGACATACTGAAAAACTACATTTTTGAAATATCGTAATAAATGCTACACCCTGAGAAAAGCCCAAATCTTAATTTTACAATATTTTGGACAGTTTTTTAAGAGATAGCAACTTTACTAAACATGTTTCTAGAAAACTAATGAGTTATATCACTAGGACTGTTGACACATGGCAAAAAATAAACTGTGAAATAACTAAATCAGTCCATCTGATTCCTGTAGTTATTTTTGGTACTCACTCTTGAAAAATAGAATTATATAACTTATATGTTGTTAATGGCATGAGATAAGCCTTACCATCAACATTCAATATGTATTTTATCAATGGCACAACCCATTATATGATATTTACATTGATGTGGGCTGATAGTCTGCAAACAAAATGAAAATATTGAAAACCATTTGAAATCAACTGGTAGAAAATAAATGCATATGTGTATTTTCAAAGGTTTAGAAAGATAGGCTCCATCTATATTATGTAAAAATAACCAAATATTGTGATAAATTACATCAAATAGTCTGAGTTTTCAATCATCTCCATGATTAATCATCTCTATTTCTGAAGTTTCATATTCATGGAGTCAGAATATGTTGAAAGAGTTATAAATATTTGCAGCATATAGACTTAGATATTTTTCTGATAGTTTAAAAATACATAATTCAAAATTTAATACACTAAATTATTTACTGTTTTGATTGAATATTATAAATAAGTATTTTAATTTTTTCTTTAACAAAGTAAATTTGTTAATTTCTTTGTTTGTTCTTCAAGGGCTTCAAGTACTTCTCCCAGACTATCTTCAGGAACGTTTTGTACAAGCAGCTTTGAGCTACATTGCTTGCAATTCAGAGGGAGAGTTTATCTGCAAGGAAAATGACTGCTGGTGTCACTGTGGTCCCAAATTTCCAGAATGCAACTGCCCCTCCATGGACATTCAAGCCATGGAAGAGAATCTTCTTCGAATAACTGAAACCTGGAAAGCTTACAACAGTGACTTTGAGGAATCAGGTAAGACATGTATTTTAATATAACACTTTTAAATATTGACAAAAAATATATTGAAATGGCTAATTTGTCCTTTTTCAAGAAACTATTACATAGTTGGAAAGATTTTCATTTTTTTATTCTTTCAAATGGACATTTTCATTGCTTTTACTACTGGTTATTAACTAGTGCTTTGTGTATTGCTATGTACTATTGGCATTAGAGTTTAGCCTGATCCTAAGTTGATGTATTAGTCACTTAATAAATAAAGTTCTTGCTTTTCTCAGTACAAGAAATTTTAAGTTATCATCTGATACCTCTGAGGTTTTTCTCTACTTTTCTAGTGTCTGCTTTTCTCTTGTGCAGCAAAATGAAGACAGCATTTGTTCTATACCTTTTTCAACATGATTCTCATTAGTGCTTATTTTCACTTCACTTATTTCTACAATGAAGTTATCTAAATTTTAATTTTATAGTGTTTTGTGAGTTTTGTTATGATTGTTTTATTTTTACTTGGTTAAAACATACATATAAAATTTACTATCTTTGCGATTTTTAAGCACACTTAATAAATACATTTTTATTCTTTTATTTTCCCTGCATTTTCTCCCAGCCCCCACTACCCTTCCTGGCCTCTGGAAACCACCGTTCTACTCTCTATCTTCATGAGTTCTACTTTTTTTAGCTTCCACATATGAGTGGGAACATGTGGGTTAGAATATTTGTCTTTCTGTGATTGACTTATTTCACTTAATATAAAGGCCTCTTGTTCCATCCATGTTGTTGCAGATGACAAGATTTCATTCTATTTTATGGCTGAATAATATTCCATTGTGTATATATAACACATTCTCTTAATCTATTCATCCACTGATGGGCAGTTAAATTGAATCCGTATTTGGTTATTGGGAATAGTGCTGCAATAAATAAGGGAGTGCAGCTATATATTCAATATACTGATTTCCTTTATTTTGTATATATATTCAGTAGTGAGATTAATAATATGGTACTTCTACTTTAGGTGTTTGAGCAAACTCCATAGAGTTCTCCTTAGTGGCTCTACTAATCTATATTTCCACCAACAGTGTAGAAGGGTTCCCCTTTCTCTGCATCCTCACCAGCACCTGTTATTGCCTGTCTTTTGATACAACCCATTTTAAATTGTAGTTTTGACTTGCATTTCTCTGATAATTAGTGATGTTGAGCATTATTTCATATATCTGTTTGCCATCTTTATGTCTTCTTATGAGAAATATGTATTCAGATATTCTGCCCAGTCTTTAATTGGGTTATTAGTTTTGGTTTTTAGTATTTTGTTTTGGTTATTTAGTTGTTTGAGCTCCTTATGTATTCTGGTTATTAATCCCTGGACAGATGAATGGTTTGTAAATATTTTCTCCCATTCTGTGGGTTATCTCTTCACTTTGCTGATTGTTTACTGTACAGAGGCTTTTTAGCTTGATATAATTCCATTTGTCTATTTTTTGCTTTAGTTGTCTGTAATGTTGAGGTTTTACAAACAAAAAAATCTTTGCCCAGACCAATGTCCTGTAGTGTTTCCTAAATAATTTCGTTTTTAGTTTTATATTTTTAAGTTTTAGATTTAAGTCTATAATTTATTTTTATTTGATTTTTGTGTATGGTGAGAGATAGGGGTCTAGATTTTTTCTGCATAAAATTATCCATTTTTTCCAGCAATATTTATTTAAAAGATTTTCTTTTCCCCAACGTATGTGTAGTCTTTGTCAAAGTTGAGTTGGCTGTAAATGTGTGGATATATATATGGTTCTCTATTCTATTCCATTGGTCTATGTGTCTGCTTTTATCCCAGTACTATGCTGTTTTGATTGTGATAGCTTTGTAGTAAATTTGAAGTCAGGTGGTGTGATGATTCTAGCTTTGTTCTTTTTTGCTCATGATTACTTTAGTTATTTGGGTATCTTTTGATGTCCTGCACATATTTTATAATTTTTTTTTTCTATTTCTGTGAAGAATGCCACTGTTTTGATGGGGATTGTGCTGAATCCGTAAATTGCTTTAGTAGTATTGTCATTTTAACAACATTAAATATTCCAATCCATACATATGAAATATCTTTACATTATTTGTGTGTTTTCTTGTACTTTTTGCATAAGAATTTCATAGTTTTTCTTATATAGATCTTTCCATTATTTGGTTTGATTGCTTTGAGGTATTTTATACAGTTGTAGCCATAGTAAATGAGGTTGCTTTCTTGTTTTTTCAGATTATTTGTTGATTTCTGTAGTTTATTTTGTATCCCGCAACTTTACTGAATGTTTTTATCAATTTTAACATTGTTTTTATTGAGGTTTTTTCTAGGTATGAAATTGTGTTGTCTACAAACAACGCTAATTTGACTTCTTCTTTCCAGTTTTTATGCTTTTTATTTAGTTCTTTTCCCTACTTGTTCTGGAGAGGACTTTCCATGTCATGTTGAATAAAAGTGGTGAAAGTAAGCATTCTTATCTTGTTCCAGTCTTTAAAGAAAAGGCCTTTCTCATAAGAAAAAATTATTTTTCTCATTCAGCACAGTGTTAACTGTGGGTTTGTCATACATGGCCTTTATAATTTTGAAGTGTATTCTCTCTATACCCATTTTGATGAGAGTTTTTATCATGAACTGTTGTTCAATTTTATCAAGTGCTTTTTTGGCATCTATTGAAATAATGATATGTTTATTTTCTTGATTCTGCTAATGTGATGCATCACGTTTGTTGATTTGCATGTGTTGAACCATCTTTGTATCCCTAGGATGAATTTCACTTGATCATGTTAATGTGTTGTTGAATTTGGTTTGCTAGTGTTTTGTTGATTATCTTTGCATCTCTGCTCATCAGTGATATTGATCTGTAGTGTTCTTATTGGTTTCTTGTCATGTTTTTGTCTGGTTTTAGTATCAGGGTAATGCTGACCTCATATAATGAGTTTGGAGTATTACCTTCCTTCCAAATTTTTGGAGAATTTGGGTAGAACTGATATTGGTTCTTCTTTAAATTTTGGTAGAGTTAGCAGTGAAGCCAATGATCCTGAGCTTCATTTTGATGGAAGACTTTGAATTATCTCTTTGATAGCCATATTGATTTTTGGCTTGTTAATTTTTTTTTTATTTCTTCATTGTTCAATCTTGGTAAGTTGTGTGTGTCCAGGAATTTATTCATTTCTTCCAAGTTTTCCAATTTGTTGGCATGCAGTTGTTCACAATAGTCTCTAACGATTCTTTGTGCTTCTGGGTTCTCAGTTGTTATGTCTCCTTTTTCATTTCTGATTTTATTTAATTAGGTCTTTTTTTTCTTAGACAAAGAATTTGTCAGTTTTGATTATCTTTTCAAAAACCCAACTTTTTCTATCATTGATCTTATGTATTTTTCTAGTATAAATTTCATTTATTTCCCTTTTTCATTTCTTATTTTATTTATTTGCCTCTTCTTCCTTTATTCTTAATCTGGCTAAGGGTTTGTTAATATCTTTTCAAACATGCAGCTTTTCCTTTTGTTGATCTTATGTATTTTTTTGTCTCAACTTTATTCATATCTGCTGTGATTTTTATTATTTCTTCTATTAATTTGGGGTTTGGTTTATTCTTGCTTTTCTCGTTCGTTGAGGTTCATTGTTAGGTTATTTGAAGTCTTTATACTCTTTTAATTTAGGCATTTATTACTATAAACATCCCGCTTGATATAGATGTTATTGTATCTCAAGTTTTGGTTTGTTGTATTTTTGTTTTCATTTGTTTTTTTTAATTGCCTTCTTATTTTTTTAATTGACTCATTAGCTGTCCAGTAGGATGTTTTATTTCTATGTGTTTGTGTATTTTCCAAGGTTCCTCTTGTTTTCAATTTGTGGTTTTTATTCCATTGTGGTCAGAAAAGTTACTTGATAAGATTTTTATTTTTTAATTTATTCAGACTTTTTTGTTGCTTAAGATATGACCTATTCTGAAGAATGTTCCATGCACTGAAGGAAAGAATGTATATTCTGCAGCAGTTGGGTGAAATGTTTTGTTAATGTCATCTAGGGCCCATTAGATCTAGTGCGTAGTTTAACTGTGCTCTTTCTTTCTTGATTTTCTGTCTGGATGATATGTTCATTACTGATACGAGGGTGTTAAATTCCCCTGCTGTTATTTTATTATAGTCTTATATATATTTTTAGCTCTACTAATGTGTGCTTTATATACTTATAGGAAACTCTGTTGTTGGGCATAAAACTATTGATAATTGTTATATTATCTTGCTGTATTGACCCCTTTATCATTTTATATTGACCTCCTATGTCTTTTTAAATCTTAGATTTTTAATCTATTTTGTCTGATATAGGTATAGCTACTCCTGCTCCTTTGTTTTCCAGTTGCATCGAGTATCTTTTTCCACCCCTTCACGCTCAGTCTATGTGTATCTTTCTACATTAAGTGGATTTTTTGAAGGCAACATATAGTTGGGTCTTACTTCTTTATTCATTCAGCCACTATACACGTTATAATTGGGGAAGTGAGATCATTTACATTCAGTGTTATTATTGATAAATAAGTGCACACTACTGCCATTTTGTGGCTTGTTTTCTGGTTCGTTTTAGTCTCTTCTTCTCTTCTTACTGTCTTTCTTTGTGATTAAGTGATTTTCATTGGTAGTGTGTTTTAATTTGTTGCTTTTCATTTTCCATGAATTTATCTCAAGTTATGAGGCTTACAAAAATCATCTTATAGATATAGTAAGTTATGCTAAAGAGAAGACAACTTACCTTGGATAACAAACTAAGAACAGAAACAACAAAGACAAAAAGCACACAAAAAATTTTACACTTTAACTCCACTCACCCACATGTTTACTTTTAGTTGCCCCAGTTTACTTTTTTTGTTGTTTGTTTGTTTGAGATGGAGTCTCACTCTGTCGCCTAGGCTGGAGTGTAGTGGTGCGATCTCAGCTCACTGCAACCTCTGCCTCCCGGGTTCAAGCGATTCTCTTGCTTCAGCCACCCAAGTAGTTGGGATTACAGGCATCTGCCACCATGCCCGACTAATTTTTGTGTTTGTAGTAGAGACAGGGTTTCACCATGTTGGCCAGGCTGGTCTCGAACTCCTCTGTTTACAGATTTTTATACTATCTCTTAGAAAGTTGCTATAGCTATTACTGTTTTTGACAGATTTTACTTTTGGGCTTCATATGAGGTTACAAGAGAATTGCACACCAAAATTAAAGTGACAGAGTATTCTGAGTTTGTCCTTGTACTTAATTTTACCAGTGGGATTTATGCCTTGAAAACTTTTTTTTGGCATATTTGTATGTTTTTACTTTCAGACTGAAGAGCTTCCTTTATCATTTCTTGTAAGATGAGTCTGGTGGTGGTAAATTCTCTCCATTTTTGTTTATTTGGGAAATAGTTTATCTCTCCTTCATGTTTTAAGGATGATTTTGCCTAATACAATATTTTTGAGTTGCAATTTTTTTTATCTTTGAACACATTGAAAATGCCATTGAGAAGTTTGTCGCCAGACAAATTGAAGCTCCTTTTATGTCTTTTATGTTATTTGCTTCTTTTTTAAAAAAAATTATACTTTAAGTTCTGCGTTACATGTGCAGAACGTGCAGTTTTGTTACATAGGTATACACGGGCCATGGTGGTTTGCTACACCCATCAACCCGTCACCAACATTAGGTATTTCTCCTAATGTTAACCCTCCCCTAGCCCCCAACCCCTGACAGGCCCTGATGTGTGATGTTCCTCTCCCTGTGTCCGTGTGATCTCATTGTTCAACTCCCACATATGATTGAGAACATGCAGTGTTTGGTTTTCTGATCTTACGATAGTTAGCTGAGAATGATGGTTTCCAGCTTCACCCATGTCCCTGTAAAGGACATGAACTCATCCTTTTTGCTTCTTTTCTCTTGCTGCTTTTAGGATTCTCTCTTTTTCATTGATCTTAGGGAGTTTGGTTATTATATGCCTTGGAGGTAGTCTTATCGGGATTGAATCTGACTAGTATTCCCAGATCGTTCTATACCTGAATATTTCTCAAGCTTTGCACAGTTTTTCATTATTTATTTGACTAAAATTTCCACTCCTTGATCTTGCTCAGCTCACTTTTGAATACCAATAATTCTTCAATTTGGTCTTTTGAGGTAATTTTCTGTATCTTATAGGTGGTCTTTGTTCCTTTTCATGTTTTTCATTTGTTTGCTTGTTTGTTTCCCTCTGACTGTGTATTTCCCTTTTTTTAAAATTTATTATTATTATTATTATTTTAATTTTTTTTTTGGAGTCTCACTCTGTCACCCAGGCTGGAGTGCAGTGGTGAGATCTTGGCTCACTGAAACCTCCACCTCCCAGGTTCAAGCGATTCTCCTGCCTCAGCTTCCTGAGTAGCTGGGACTACAGACATCCGCCACCACATCCAGCTAATTTTTGTATTTTTAGTAGAGACAGGGTTTCACCATGTTGGCCAGGATGGTCTCGATCTCTTGACCTCGTGATCCACCCACCTCGGCCTCCCAAAGTGCTGGGATTACAGGCGTGAGCCACCATTCCTGGCCCTGACTATGTATTTTCAAATAGCCAGTCTTTTAGCTCACTGATTCTTTTCTCTGCTTGGTCCATTCTACTGTTGAGACCTCTAATGAATTGTTCAGTTCAGGAAATGTATTTCTCTATTCCATGATTTCTGTTTGATTTTTTATTATTTTAATATCTTTGTTAAATTTCTCTAATAAATTTCAGAATTGCTTTTCTGTGTTATCTTAGAGATCACTGAGTTTCCTGAAAACTGCTGTTTTGAATTCTTGGTCAGAGAGCTCACAAATCAGCATCTTGTTTGGGTCAGTCACTCAATTTTTGTTCTGTCTTTTTGAGGAGGTCATGGTTTCCTGTTTGCTGTTGTTTCTTATGGGTAAATGTCTGTGAATTGCATTGAAGGATTAATTATTAATTCCAGTTTTATCTGTCCAATTTTTTTCATTTATAGTTAAATATGCTTGCTCCGTGATTCTTTACTGCTAGGTCTGCTTTATTCTTGGCTCTTAGTTGTGCCTGAATCCCCTATTTGCATTGCCGTTGTAAATAATGAGAGCACTGGCAGTCCTGAATGGAGTTGGTCCCAAAGGAATTATCCTAGTACTGTGTGAAGGTGACAAAACATGTTCCAGACAAGAGAAAACACAATGATGGCTTCAACAAAATATTTTGCTTTTGTTGTTGTTGTTGGAAATAACACAAATTACACAATGAAAGGGTAAATAGATTTAGGAAGAGTTAGTAAATGTAGGCTCCCTTAAGATTTATTTGATCAAAATAGAGCATTAAAAACAACCAAAATAATGGAAGCAGACATTGGTGAATAGAGGGGACAAGGAGGGTGGGGGGAGGTATGAGGATGTGATCATCAAATGTTGCAAAGTTTCAGTTAGACCGGAAAAATAGGTTTTGAGATCTATAGCATAGCATGTTGACTTGTTAATAAAATGTATGTTTCAAAATTGCCAACAGAATATATTTCTAATATATTTCAAATATTCTCACCATAAAAAAATAAGTATTTGAGGTGGTAGATATGTTAATTAGTTTGAATTACTCATTCTTCATTATATACATATATAATAACATCCAGTGTTACCTCATAAATGTATACAATTATAATTCTTCAAATTACAATAAAATACACATCAATTAAAAATGATTTTAAAATCATGGTATATTTACACAATGGAATTGTATAAAGCTTGAAGGAATGGACTATCCAAAATATGAATAAATCTCTGAAATATCACATTGAACAAAAGAAGCCAAACTTAAAAATACATATATGATTCCATTTATATTAAGTATAAAACAAGCAAAGCTTACCTGTACTATTATGAATCAGGGCAATGATGCCTTTGCCTAAGCAAGGGCTGATGTGATGGATGAGAGTCTGGGAGGCTCTTTTGGTACCAAAAATGTATTATTTCTTTATCTAGGAGCCCGGCTATATGGTGTATATAGTTTTTGAAAATTCTGAGTTATACACTTACAATATTTATATTTTTCTGTATTCGTGTAATTTAATAAAATAAAAAATTAGCACTTTGGCAACTAAATACTCTGAAGGACATACTGACAGAATAATTGAATAGATTAATATTTTCAAAGCTCACTACATGTTATGTGTTTAAATTAGTAGCAAATTGGTAAATATTTGATCTGGAACATTCATTGACCAGAGATTTTGAAGTACTGATTAGAAGCCAGTCCTAACAAAAGTCAGACTTCTTAATCTTATCTCACATTTGGACTGTTCATCTTAGGTTTATAACCAAAGGCTCTTGCCATAGTGGATGCCGTTATGTCGATATTGGGAAAACAGTGATCTACAGAATAAATCTATTTTCTGATATAGTATCCCTGAAACTATTTCTAATATTGAAAATTACAACATTGAATTATTTGCTGTAATCAGTGGTCAAATGTATTTAGCTGATTCATATTTCACTTGAGAAGTTGCCCTACTTTGCTGTAAACTTAAGAATTCATCACAGAAAAATATTTATATTATTTTTAATTTCAGGGTATAGATAGCTAAATAATGAACCCAAACATTTTATTCATAAATTATATCTTCAGTAAAACCACATTCACTTTTCTTGGAACTAAACAATTGGTAAAATACTGTATTTATATTGGACTCTTTTTAAAACTAGTAAGATATATGAAAGAGCACATGTAATAGTTTTGAGAAAAGCTTTTGGTTAAGAGAAACATTTTTTTTTTGCCTCATAACAGATAAACAAAATATAAGAAGTAATGAGGCAGCTATTACATTGGGAAAATAATTCTAAAATATTATCACCACTCACAGGCTCTTGTAAGTTGATGGTCTTTATTCTAAGTACCATGATTGTAAGGAAATGCACCAGCTTATTTCATTTCCCTGATGGTTGGGAAAGCTTTGGAATTATGTGCAAGTGCACTCTTTACATGTTTCTGCTGGGAATTCTTCACTTTTAGGTGCAAGACATACTAATTTGTCTATTCTTATCTACAGGCTTGAAATTCAAATCCTGTTATACTCTACATAGACAATAAAAATTGGAATGGAGTTTTAGGTTACTTTCAAAGGCTGATTCAATGTAATGTGAAAAATTAAACAAATGCAAGTAAATAACTTATCTAAAAGTTATTTTTATTAAAACAGAAAAAAAATCAGTTTATGTTTGCTATTTTATTAAAAGAGAATATTCATTTGAATTTAGGAAATCTTCCTTAAATGTAAGTAGCAACATGAAGTGTGTCAGAGTGCATTCCACAATAATAGAGAATGCTAATAACTGGTACCATACAAAAAGAAGGAAGTAATTTGCATATTTCATTAGGTCAAGATAACCTGTTTGTAAATGACTTTCTGTTGTGTATGTTTCCTATTTTCACTGAATATAAAATTCAGTCAGTAGATAGGATTAGCACAGAATGCTAAGCCATTTTATATTTGATTATATTTGATTCATTTTGTTCTGTAATGGGCAAGTCCTGGAAAACCCACCTGTTACAGCCTGCAAATAAAAGTGTCAGCGAATTTTAAAATAGAAATATTTCTCTTTTCATGTCTTGCAACCTGAGAAAATTTCTCACTCTAATAACAATATTTATAGAAATCAATTTATCTCTAACTTTACATTTTTAGAAAATAAATTTATGTTGTTTAATAAGAAATATTGGTAGCATATACATAACATTAATTACAATAAAAATAGTATAGAATAAAGATATATAAAAATATAGAGGGAGAAAAAATGAAACACACAAAACCTCACAATAGTAGTAACCACATAAAAACCAATTTATGTGTTACAATTAATTAGACAAAGATCACAATTTTGTTGGACATTACTTAGACAATGTCTACCCAGATGTGGATCAAGGATTCAAACTTAATGAGAAAGCTAGAAATACAGTTTTGCATGCATATTTTAATGATTAAAACCAAAAGACTTGTGCAAATAATTACCAAAATTGCCAGAAAAAATGAATAACTACTACATAGTTAAAAATAAATTATCTTTTCCAAATAACTTTCTGAGTTATCCCCAGTTGTTTTTTTTTTTGGATAAATAAAAAACTTCATTACTTATAATTATGAAATACAGCAATCTTCATGCAATTAATAATCCTAAGGAAAAATAAAGAGATTGGTCTATATAAAGAACGGATATTTTACAAATGTTTTGGCATGACATTTTACTCTTTGGAAAAAATGTGTTACCACTTGGCATATAGAATATCTAAGGTGTATTGTATGCTGTCAACATATGTCTTTATCAGCATCGTGTCCTATTAAATGTAGAGACATTTATTTGATGATCTAAGAATGACAGTTGGCGGCCATCTTGTATTGGCAATCATCTAGGTGTAACTGTTAGAGAACACTATCCATTTTGACACTACATCTGAAAATAGATAATCTTTCTAATGCTACAAAGCCAAATAATTTGAATACTGCAGTATTGCAAAGATTGGGTTAGCTAGATTTACAAACTGTTTTGCAAGAAAAAATAAATTTTTTTAAATTTTATGTAAACTATTAATTTTCTTTATCAAAAATAGTTTTTCTCTCAGATGATATTTGACCATCAGTTTATGGAAAGAGGACATTTTCTAGGGAAAATAAGTATATCCAAATAAAATATTTGAATTTTAACTAACATGCTACTTTACATGTTATAATCTTTAATAAAATCTGCTGTCGGTTGCTCAATGTTCATTCTCCTTCTTTGACAGTAAAGTATCCCATATTTTTGGGGAGTAAAACCTACATTTAAGTTTTAGTAATGCACAAAGTATGGGATTGAGCTTATATTGATATCCAGAATTACTCTCTGATTAATGTAAGACAAGCACAATAATCTGTTTCCATGTCTATGAAGATCGGTTCAAGATATATAAAAAATCAGGTCAATGAGGCCTAGAAATATATTTCCTAGGGGTATTTGGGGGAGACGCAAGATTTCATTTCTTTTTTTTTTTTTTTCATAATAGCTACATGGATTGCTATTATCTTTTCTTCTTAAATGGAAAAGAAGAACATACTTATAAAAGCATTAATGAGCTTTCTTGCATTTATGAGAGTTGTAAGGCATTCAAGATAGAAAAATGTTTCTTTGGTTATGTCAGTGAGTTGTTGAATCACTCCTGCTTCAAGTTTACCTTGCCTCTAGAGTTTCAATTACATTAGACAATAAATGTCCTTCACTGTTAAGTCAATCTGAGATGGTCTGTCATTAAGGACAGGCTAGGTAATCCTGCAGTAGTAAAGAATTCCCCAAATCCTTGAGTTACAGCGTGAGTTATACCATTGACTTCTTCCTAATTTGTTCCTTGTAAGTTTGCTGTGAGTTTTGCTATGTCTTCTTCCAACACTCAGGCTGACAGCAACCCCTAAAGGCAAAAGTGATCACGATGGCAGAAGGAGAAAACACCACAAACAATGCATACACTAAGTCTTAAAGTTTCAGCCAGAAAAATGACATATGCCACACCTGCCAGGATTCCATTGGCCAAAACAAACAACTCATAGTTAATTCAAGGAGGGCTTTTTTCCCTGAAAGAAAACCTGAAAATATGTGAGAAGTTCCAATGACTCTACAGTGCACTGTTCTAAATCACAAGATATTCAGTTTACTTCTCTTCCCAGATGCAGGACGCATTCACCTCATCCCCAAGATAAACAGAACAAAACTCCCATGAATAACTGAGTCCAGCACAATGAGTGAGGCTTGACGGCCTCCTCATCAAATCCAGATATAGTTTCTTTTGATATCAAGTCATGAACCAAAAGCAAGTTATTTATCCCAGACATATTATATACCAAGTGAGAATTTCTCAGCTTAACTATAATAAGCACTTCCAGTCAGAAGAAAGAAAACAGGACACACAAAACAAACTCAAGTTGGAGCAGTTCTGAAATTTTGAAGGCCTGAACCTGAAGGTGGGGAATGCTCTTTGAAGATTCCTCAGTTTTTATTTCTGAGAGTGGCTCTCTTGTCTTCTGTTTTTCGGGGACTCAAGCTCCAACCTATGAGTGATTCTTTCCATCCCATTATCCTCCTTAGCCACATGGGAGATGAGAATTGGAGAATATGCCTGGGGGATAGTTTTCTCAGGTTGCTTTCTGCCCAAACACTGGGACTCACACGTCATTTTAAATTTTAAACTTCATTATTTTTAGCAGTATAACTCATGTAAAAATTAACTGATCTTTTGACTGAGTTTAGTCAGTTTATGCCAATAGCCACACCCACAGTCTTTCCTAAATATGTTCCCCCATTTGCTGTTTTTCCACCTATTCCTCCCTCCTTTCTCTCTCATTTCAATTGTGCAATTTTATTAGAGTTTTACTTGGGCTTTGGAGTTCAATGGAGAGTCTTTTCTGGGTACCACAACTTTTATTGGACATTATCCCTAATGTCCAACAAATTAATTTATTCATGATCATGGCAAGGGGCATGAAAGCCAACCACGTACCATCCTTGCTATGAGACTGAATTTTAATTGGCCATTGTAACTCAGTTCGTAATTTTATTACTGGCAGTTGAGAAGCAGTTGCCTCTTTTAACTCTACCTGATTCATAGTCTCTCAATTCTCTTTTATTCATGCTGTCAAATTCAGCAATTATTTTCTAAGTTTGAGGTCGTATGTCAGACAAGTAATATAGGTAATTCCACAGAAGCACACCTTGAAATATTATCTTTGGATGAGGACACTGAAGTTCACTTTGTTCATATCACTTGTCTGTTGTGTATTGGTTGTGAAATCTTCTCTATGTGTTCTCACTACAGGATGGGGGCTCACGGTGCAGCCATCATCTGGAGCTATGTGTCACTATGACAGAGTGCAATACCTTGCCATACTTTGGCATAAACAGTTACCAGCAAAAGAACTAGCATTCTTTTTTCTGACATCTGAGTGTGTTGGGTATACAGTATTATTTCCTAGTTACTGCTGGTAACAGTTTCCCAGCTGTTTCCTCATGGCCTAATATGGATTGTTATCATTCCCATTTCAGCCTCTTCTAAAGGGTACTTGACACCTTCATGATCCACTGAATCCATGCCACAACTGTAGGGTTTTGCTTTTCTTAACACTATCCCCTCCCTCCTTTCCTGGGTCCAATTTCTATATAAGTTAAAATCAATTTGCAATAATAAACAACCATAAAATCTTAAAATAATATAATCAAATGTCATTTCTAGCTCACATTACGTGCCCACCACAGGTTAGCTGGAGTCTCTTCTCAGCATTGACTTCACTCCTGGACTCAGGCTGATGGAAACATCACTATCTTGAATGATTTGGTAATGGAGGCAATGGGAAAGCATACAGATAATCGTCACTGGCTCTTATGTAATGTGTGTCTAGCTAATTCGCATTACTTATGATCACATTTTATGGCCAAATCTAATTTGAAAGGAAACAGAGAAATGCCACTTCACATTGCCTGGAGGAGAAGATGATTCAGAATATTTGCAAACAGTTAGAATGTCAGCCACAGTTGACTTTTCAGATACAAGAAACTGAAAACATCATAATCTGTATCATCTATCCATATAATCTCAGATGAGGATATATAAATTTTTCTCTTGCTATCTCATGTTTTCCAGTCTTCTATACTTGCGGGAAAATGAGATGTATCTGTAGTTTAAGTGACCTTTGAGGCATTCAATCCAGGGTATGTATCATTTTTTCCAAACTAAATAGCTGAAAATAAGATAAACCAAGCTTTACTAGAAGGAAGCATTGTGATCATTAGAAAGTCATTTAATCTCTTAAAATTTTGGCTACTTCATTTGTCATTCAGTAACTTTATTTAGACTTGATGAACTGGATATAAAAGTCTAATTCTAAATTAACAGTCATATAATTGCCTTCTCATGGGTAAAGGTTTTTGACAATCATGCTTGTATTTATAACATAGCTCTTTTAAAGGAATTGGTAGTTGGAATATAAAAGTAAAGGAAATAAAACAAACTTTTTGTAACAACAGTCTCAATCTTGATTTACATGATATCGTTATGGTTTTAATTTATTGTGATGATATGCTCATTGCACTATACTGTAATTTGTAGCTATCTCCAGTACCAGGGAGGGTATTTAGCTCCAAGATTGTTATGCAAAACCAGTTTGATTTCTGCTGCTATTTGTTTTGATTGGTCACCGTTTCCATTATGACTTATCAATGCCTGACTGTACCAGTGTTTAAAATATTATGAATATCATCCTTGCCATTACCAAATTTTGCTCTGAACTTCAATTAATTTTTAACATCATCTGACATAGATGGCTATGGAGTGCCAAACAGGTGTTTTATATAATGATTTCTGATTTAGATCTCAAATGAATTTTTGCCAAATGCCTTCTCCCTGTTCCAGTTGGCCTGATGTTTTTTCTCTGTTTAGATCAGTGCCATCATTCCAACTATCAGAAAAGAGTTTGACATTTTTTGATGGCAGAGAACAACATATTTATTTGCATTGTTACATAAAAGCTATTGCAATGTGCTATATATAGAAGATACATTACCTATCATATTATATCCTGATTGAGTGATGAATGAGATAACAAAATATATCTGTGTCCAGACATTGTCTATACATTCGATTTGATTTACTTCATTAAGTGTCTCTAAGAATGTCATTGTAACTGTAATCCTATTCACCTTTTCAATAGGCACAGTCTAAAGATCAATTTTAAAAAACAAAAATACTACCTGTATTATCCAGGGTTCTCTAGAGGGGCAGAACTTGTAGGATATATGAATATATTAAAGGAAGGTTTTTTGTTTGTTTGCTTGCTTGTTTTTGAGATGGAGTCTTGCTCTGTCACCCAGGATGGAGTGCAGTGGCACGATCTCAGATCACTGCAACCTCCACCTCTTAAAGGCAGTTTTTTGAGGAGAATTGACTCACATGAGCACAAGGTAAAGTCCCACAATAGGCCGTCTGCAAGTCGAGGAGCTAGAAAAGCAGTGGTGGGTCAGTCCGAGTCCAAAAACCTCAAAAGTAGGGAAGCTGACAGTGTAGCCTTCAGTGTGGCCAAAGGCCCGAGAGCCCCTGGCAAATCACTGGTATAAATCCAAGAGTCCAAAAGCTGAAGAACTTGGAGTCTAATATTCGAGGGCAGAAAGCACCCGGCACAGGAGAAAGATGGAGGCTGGAAGACTCAACAAGCGTAGTCCTTCCGCATTCTTCTGCCTGCTTTATTCTAGCCATGCAGGGCAGCTAATTAGATGGTGCCCACCCAGATTGAGGGTGGGTCTGCCTCTCCCAGTCCGCTGACTCAAATGATAATCCCCTTTGGCAACACTCTCACAGACATACCCAGGAACAATACTTTGCCAATCAAGTTGACAATCAGTATTAACCATCACACTAACTCATTGTTATTTTAAATTTTTATACAGGTATTTTGAGAGCTTTTGTTTTGTATTATTCTTTGTCATTCAGGTATGAAGAAGAGCATGAATGACTGCCCTGCCATAGTCTTCATAATAAGATGATAGAATATATATTTATACCGGAACACACAAATGCTTTTTCTATTGGTTTCAATTTATTTATTGTAAAGGATTGTTTTCATTATAAATGTGCCTGTTTGTCTAATATAGTTTGTATTTATTTGAACTCATAATTCACTCAAAGATTCAGTTTAATCTGAAAAACATTAAAGTCTTTGATTCAGCATCATAAAATCAAAACAAAAAGTGACTTTGATAACTTTTTTGTTTGCTTTTTTCATACACATGCTATAGTGAAGAGATATCAATAAATAATACAATATATTCAGAGAATTTTTACTTGATACTCTATTGTCAGTTTTACAAAAATATATGTGATGACTTCACTAAATTGTGTATACTTTATATTACTATTTGGATAATTTTGATAAAAATACTTATTCACATCAAACACAAACTCTTAGAAGCCATGACAAGGGTTATCAATACTGAGTACATTCATACCTTTTACAGTAACCTCATAATGGTCACATAGACTTTGTTAAAATCCTCTAATGTTGTATACCCAGTAGTTTGTGTATTACTTCTTCCATGTGTATATAAATTTAACTTTTAAGCAATACTACCTTATAATGACAAACTAACAAGTAGTTAAAGTACCAAGTACACATTCATTTTCAAAGAAATGTACTATTTTTCAAACTTCATTTTTCTACTAAAGCATACAAGTGGACTATTCTTATAGGTGCAGAATTAATGTGTAATTTATATAAACTGCTTTGCCAATTATTGCACTGAAAAATAAAGACAGCAATCTATAGAATTTGGACCTAAAGTTTTGGATGCATGACTGAACTTTTGGATTTTAGACCATTAGAAATTAATTCAAAGTCAAGATATATTATGTGAAATATTTTCTATTTGATTATCAGATCTCTCAAAGCAGATATTTAAAGATTTAAAGTACTGAGCAAATATTTTATGAACGTCAAATGAAATTGATACATAATACAAAGTTGTCACTCATGCTCTTCAGCAAATATTACTGGTTCTCATTCTTACAGACACATAAGAAAGTCGACCTTCCAGCACATTTGAAGTTAGGTATGGCCATGTGACTTGTTTTGATAAAGGAAGCTTGAGAAAAAACTGTATGTATCACTGTCTAGAGGAAGGCTTTATGAACCTGGCAGGCATGATATGCTTGGTGTACTTCCTCAGCCAAAGCAACTGATGATGTTCTAGATGTTGAAAACTCACTGTTTGTGTTACTGAGATAGGACAAAGGAAAGCAGAGCCACTCAGCCAACCTTAGGTAGATAAATAATGTGAGTTGAAACCTAGAACTTTTTAGTTGTGGTTGAAATCAGAAAACACTTTGGTTGTGTTTGTTACTTTGGCAAAACTAGTCTATACTGAATTATGTATAAGAAGATTAAGCTTTCTCTTTCACTGTGAGTAAAACAGATTGGTGATTATAATTTATTTATTCAGTAAAACAGTAACATTATGAAAATTTAAGTTTGATTTTCTACAAAAAAATCATAGTAAATATTTACTGTATTTTCCAATTGCATAATATAAGGAGTTTAATGAAACTGTAATGAACCACTTATAATGGATCAAGTTTAAAGGACATTTTAGGCATTACCCCATTTATACTTTAAAGTAATCCTTCAAAGTGTTAATGTTATGATTGTATTTTTTTTTACTTTAAAGATAAGAAAGCTAGGGCTAACACATGTTAAGTGACTTGTACAATAGATATATTAAGTAATAAAGCCAGGATTTGAGCTCATACAAAAGTAGGTGGTTCTGATTGGGCATGGTGGCTCATGCCTGTAATTCCAGCACATTGAGAGGCCAAGGCGGTCAGATCAATTGAGTCCAGGAGTTAGAGTCCAGCCTGGGCCACATGGTGAAATCCCGTCTCTACTAAAAATACAAAAATTAGCTGGGCATGGTGGTGTGTGCCTGTAGTAACAGCTTCTAGGGAAGCTGAGGATCAAGAAACGCTTGAACCGGGAGACAGAGGTTGTTGCAGTGAGCTGCGATTTTGCCACAGCACTTCAACCTGGGTGACAGAGCAAGAGACTGTCTCAAAAAATAAATAAATAAATAAACAAACAAATAAATAAATAAAGTACATGGTTCTCACACCATGTGGACCTCTTTAATAAAGTGCTATTATTACATAAGGAAAACCCTTACCTGCTTTTTATATCTCTTAATATCTCTGCATGCATTAAGTAGTGGCATGTTCTGATCCAGAGGTTATCATTAATGCCTCATGATAAAAATAAATATATGTAGGCAGTGCACAAAAACACATGATATAAGAGTATGTATTACAGGGCCGGGCACAGTGGCTCACACCTGTAATGCCAGCACTTTGGGCAGCCGTGTTGGGTGGATAGCTTGAGTCCAGGAGTTCAAGACCAGGGAAACATAGTGAGTCCCCTAGCCTTTACAAAAATAAAAAAAATAAAAAAAAAAATTAACCAGGTGTAGTAGTGCTTACCTGTAGTCCTAGCTACTTGGAAGGCTAAGGTGTGAATATCCCTTGAGCCCAGGAGGCGGAGGTTGCAGTGAGCTGCACTCCAGCTTGGGTGACACAGCGAGACCCTGTCTCAAACAAGCAAACAACCCAATATGTATTACACAATATGTATTACACATTTTACCTAGAGCGAGTTCAACTCTATACAAGATGCCTTCAGTCACGGTTAATATTTGCTATCAACTTCTTATCAAGGCTGTGAGTTACTTTTAAGGATCATAATCTAGGCTGTAATACTAATTTTAACAATAACATGTCTGTATCTCTTCTAAAAATCAATTTGTTCATTATCATTATGTAATTCAATATTTTATATGCATTTGTAAATGGAAACTTTGTGAAGTGTAGCCACATGACTCATAGCAATTATTAAATCTGTTTGTAAAATATATATTTCTTTTTGTTTGAACAATGTCCTTTCGACCTTCTCCATTCTCTTCTAGTGACACCTATATAGCATGCACATAGCAACTGACATGAGGCTAAATGGCCTGTCACTGAGAGTCTCATTTAATTTTTGTTATGTTGCTAGTATGATCTTAACAGCCAGCTTTAAAGAAAAAATAACCCTGCTGTTGGCAAAAATCAGTACTTCATTTAAGGAATTGACAAAGTGCTAGTGTAAAGATCTCGGAGTTAATTGGCAGCAAAACAAACGTGTGGTGTTATGTCAGGTTGTCAGGTAGTTGTGTTGTGTGAACTCTGAACAAGCATCAGGCTAGAAAGGTTGACCAAATTTGTCGCACTGGCTATGCAAGTTAACACAGAGAATAACAAGATAAATTTCCCCAAACACTATTGAAGCATGAAGTCTTGCCTCAATTGTTAAAACTGACAGACAGACAATTTAGCGGTAAGCTTGTCAAATGTTGTACCTGATGAAGAATCCTCTCCTTTATACAATTTAGTATTGATTATTTAATTTCTGTTTCCAGTGACTAGGAGCTCAGTGTATCACAAAGTTGAAGAGTGTAAGAAATAACATCTCTAATATTAACATCACTCTTACTTATTTTGAATTTTTTTTTATTTTCCACTTTTCTGAAAAAAAAAAACAAAAAAACAAAACAAAACAAAAAAAAAACCCAAACATGATATTGTCTTGTGCTGAAATATTTATTCTTTCTCTCTGGAGGCCTACTGCCTCTACTAGGTCAGCCTTCAGGTATTTGCCTACAACTATCATATCTTCTTTGCTTTTTTATTTCTGTAAATTTAATATTCTCATTTTCTTAGATTGTAAATAAATATCTTAGAAATGAAAAGATGACTCTTTATTTCACAAAATTTCTAAACCCTTAACCATTTTTCATCTTCTAGGAATAATCTCAATTTGTCATTGGAATTCAGAACTGAACAAAAAGCCGTATTAACAGATATGGTTTTATTCATTAATTTTACATCCTTTATTCTGAGCACAATGCAAACTAAGATTCCTCTAACTTTCTGGCAAGAATCTCACACTGTTCATTAATATCGAGTTGTGAGGAACAATTCTTAAGTATTTTTTCATGAAGACTGCTCTTAGTAAGAGTCCCTCTTTTTTTATCATACACATACACGTTTTTTTTCTAACTTAATGCTGCACTTTACTTCTTAAAAATGTCTTGAAATTTATATTTATATTTCTACCATTGTCACACACCTTGAGCTTTTTGCAGATCCTCAATGTATTATAGATTAAGTTTTTCCTTACTGCTCATTGACATTTATTTATTTATTTATTTATTTAGCAGAATAGGACAAATAGAAACCTGTCATAAACTACTCAAGCATTTCCTTGGAATCTCAAGAGTTCCATGTTTATTTTAACAATTTATATTCACCTCTCTTCCTCTTCCTTCATATACCTAAACTAATATGCCATGAAGTCTGTGTTGTTACATTTAAGTCATGTAGTAAAGCAGTGAACCCCAAGTTAACCTTAATTTGGCAACGGTGTACTGGCAAGTGTCTTTTAAACAATGGATAGTTTGGCTCTAGACCATAGGTAAGATTTCCACCTAAGCAGCAATATAGTAGGATTTCTTTTTTAAGCCTGGTAACATTCCCCAGTCTCTTGTTCTGCACGAGGTGATTATCTAATTGTAATTTGTCATAACATAAAGTTTTCCTTTGGGAAAAAAAAATAAACTCTCATAACATTCCTGTCTTATTTGTTCTTAAAGCATGTGTGACTCATAATAGAGGCCCATGGTACCTCTATTATGGGGTTTATCTTTGTTACGGGTTTGGAAACAGAGGGTAAGGAAGCAAAATGTTTGAGAGTTAAAGGGAGATAATGAAGAAAAGGACTATCTTTGTATTATTTTCTTGGCCTTTTGTATCATTTTCTTGTACCTTCTTCTGAGTGTAGGCCTGGCCCTAAACATATTTGGAAGTATAGTAAACATGAATCTGAAATTTTCTTACACATTTTCTTAGAGTCATAAGTAACCAACACTCCAGTTCTGGCCCAATCATTTCTTTTCTCTAATGATGAGTGTAGTCTGCTTCTGACCTGCTTAATGGACAGAATTTACTCAATTAATGCACCTTTTGCCCAACTCCCATATTAGAGCAGGTTAGATAACTAATGACCTCAGGAGATCATGAGTTTTAAAACATGGAAAGCTTATTCATCCTCTATAGTACATGGATGTTGCAGATCAACTGTTGTCTGCCTCCTACCCATCTGAGATCAAGGCTGACAGAACAAACTCTCATTTGAACATGGCAATATTTCCATGTGTGGCGGGTAGAAAAGAGAACCATATCAACCGCTTACTGGCTTGCGAAGATTCTGCTCAGAAGTTGCATACATCTAATGACCTCAGGAGATCATGAGTTTTAAAACACGGAAAGTTTATTCATCCTCTATAGTACATGGATGTTGCAGATCAACTGGTGTCTGCCTCCTACCCATCTGAGACCAAGACTGACAGAACAAACTCTCACTTGAACATGGGAATATTTCCATGTGTGGCAGGTGGAAAAGAGAACCATATCAACTGCATACTGGCTTGTGAAGATTCTGCTCAGAAGTTACATACATCGTCCGGGCTGATTTTTTTTTTTTTTTGCCAAAGGAAATGATATGTTGAATCCAAAATTCAATAGAGAGGAAATTTATTCTTCTTCTATTTGGAAGCATAACAAAGAAGGAACCAATAATGGATAAATATTCATTAAATCTATCACATTTCCTAGGAAAATTTTGATTCACTAAGTTCAGCTGATCTCAGTATTTAAGAAAACAACTATATTGAACCATTTTATATTTAACTTGTAATGATAGTTCTCAAACATCGTTACAATTATTATTTGAGACTCTGAAATCCTCTCATAGTATCACAATATTTAATGTTAGAAAATATATTAGAGATTCTATAGTCTGACCTATCCATCTGATATTTGAATTCCTCCTGTATAATACTTGAAGCATTGATGGATGAGCTACTCTGGTGATCAGATTATTCATGTTTTCTGAAGGCAGGACATTCAATTTTTAGGTAGTATTACTTTTTTTTTCTTAATTGCTACCAATATATATCTCCTAGGTTTCCATCCACTCATGTCGGCTTTAACCTCTGAAGCTACACATAATGAATCCTAGTTTTTCCATCTAGTTTTTAATATATTTGAATGAGTCAATTTATTTCTATAGTCTTATTTCTACCAAAATAAATATTTTTTATTATTAATCCTTTCTTTCCATTTTATAATTTAATATTTCTGCGTTTTTCTATCAACTCTATGTTCCATTTTCTTCTTAAGGTTTCCTCTTAAAGTTACTTCTTAAAGTTTACAGACACTCCAGGTATAACCAACTATCTACAGAAAGATGAAAATCAGCTCAGGTCTTATTTATTTTACAAAGTTTTTCTGGAGTGGGTAAGTCTTGATAAGGTCTCTTTCATCAAGGCAAAATTTAACCAGCTCTTATTCAAGAAAAATTGGTCATCATTACTTTGCCTTTTATTTGAAATCAATACAAAATCTGAAATATCTATATGCCCAAATGTTTTAATAGCTTAATTTTTAGAAGAATTGGTATCATATAATGAAATTTACAACTGTAAATATCCTCAAGGCCAATATTTGTAACAAATTCCAATCTACAATATATATGGTCTTTCTGATTGGGTGTTCTTTCATTTGTGATAGATGTTTATCATTATTTCAGTTTGAAATACATTTCAAAAGATGCAATAATAACACAATAGATAAAATGCCAACGTGCCCTTTGTTTTCATTTATATATATATATATATATATATATATATATATATATATATATATATATATATATATATATATATTTTCTTTAGTGATATCTTGCTTTCTGCTAAAATGCACACTTATATTTTGAAGTTCTCAGAAGGTATTTACTATTAGGGAAATCTCCTAGGGGAAACTACATCTGTTCAACAATCTTTAAAACAATGTTTGAACTTTCCAGCATTTTAAAATTTTGAAACAACTTTGATGATAACATTCTAGAAGGTATGTGAAAAACCTTCCCAGGAGCATAGAGGGCTATAGAGACATCCAGTCAATTGGAGTTGTAAGATATATGTATATATATATATACACACACACACACACACATATATATATACACACACACATACATATATATATATATATACACACACACATACATATATATATTTGATAAGTACTTTTGCAATGTGCCTCTTTTAAAAATATTTTGTTCTCTTTTCATCCCAACTGCATCTCATGGTCCTTTAGAGGCATATGTTTTAAAAACCCAATCCATTTGTGAATAAATATAGATTGTTCTCAATGAATTATAAAGCCTTTAAAGTACTATGTTGTCATATAATATGGAAGTTATAACTACACTTCATATTAACAATAAAATCTATGTGTCTTACTTACTCTTTGTGAAAGAGAGTAATACATAACTTTAACTAATAGAATTTTACAGAAATCATCTTGGTACAGAATTGAAGAAAATTGAATGCAAGTCAAAATGGTAATACATTTTCCATGGATTAAGCCCATTTGTAAAAATGACAGCTTCCTAGGCCATGTTTATTATTACAATAACCTAAATGGAGCTCAAGTATAGGGGATCTGTTCATGCATTCTGTATTTGGTACTCTGTGCTGGGCAAATGACCCTCATGGTTAACTAATCTTCTGTATTAGGCCATTTTCATGCTGCTGATAAAGACTTACCTGAAATGGGCTATTTACAAAAGAGAGGTTTAATTGGACTTACAGTTCTACATGGCTGGGGAGGCCTCACAATCATGGCGGAAGGCAAGGAGGAGCAAGTAACATCTTATATGGATGATGACAGGCAAAACTAGACTTTTTTCAGACAAACTCCCATTTTTTAAAACCATCAGATCTCATGAGACCCATTCACTATCACAATAGCATGGGAAAGACCTGTCCCAATGATTCAATCATCCCCCATGAGGTCCCTCCCACAGCATGTAGGAATTATGGGAGCTACAATATGAGATTTGGGTGGGGACATAGAGCCAACCCATATCATTCCACCTCTTGCCCCTCCCAAATCGTGTATCTTCACATTTTAAAACCAATCATGCCTTCCCAACAGTCCTGTAAAGTACCAACTCATTTCAGTATTAACTCAAAAGTCCACAATACGAAGTCTCATTCAAGACAAGGCAAGACCCTTCTGCCTATGATCCTGTGAAATCAAAAGCAAGTTAGTTATTTCCTAGATACAATGGGGGTACAGATATTGCATAAATACAGCCATTCCAAATGGGAGAAACTGGCCAAAACAAAGTAGCTACAGGCCTCATGCAAGTCTGAAATCCAGTGGGGAAGTCAAATCTTAAAGCTCCAGAATGATCTCCTTTGACTTCATGTCTCACATCCAGATCATGCTGATACAAGAGGAAGGTTTGCATGGTCTTGGGCAGCTCTTCACTGTGGCTTTGAAGAGTACAGTCTCCCTCCCACCTGTCTTCATGGGCTGGCATTGAGTATCTGCTACTTTTCCAGGCATATGGTGCAAGCTGTCAGTGGATGTACCATTCTAGGGTCTGGAGGGTGGTGGCCCTCTTCTCACAGCTCCACTAGGTGATGCCTCAGTAGGGACTTTGTGGTGATCCTCTGACGCCACATTTCCCTTCTGCACTGCCCTAGCATAGGCTCTCCATGAGGGCCTCACCCCTGCAACAAACTTCTGCCTGGACATCCAGGCATTTCCATGTGTATTCTGAAATCTAGGCAGAGGTTCCCAAACCCCAATTCTTGACTTCCGTGCATTCACAGGCCGAAAACCATGGGAAAGCTGGCAAGGCTTGATTAAGGCTTGCACCTTTTGAAGCCACGTTCCGAATTCTATGTTGGTCTATTTCAACCATGGCTGGAGCAGCTGGGATGCAGGACACCAAGTCCCTAGGCTACACACAGCATGTGACCTTGGGCCCAGCCCATGGAACCACAGTTTTCTCCTAGGTTTCTGGGACTGCAATAGGAGAGGCTGCCATAAAGTCCTGTGTCATGCCCTGGAGACATTTTCCCTATTTTCTTGGTGATTAACATTTGGTTCCATGTTACTTATGCAAATTATGCAGCCAGCTTGAATTTCTTCAACTAAAATGGGATTTTCTTTTCTATCGTATTGTCAGGCAGCAAATTTTCCAAATTTTTATGCTCTCCTTTCCTGATAAAATTGAATGCCTTTAACAGTACTCAAATCACCTCTTAAATGCTGTGCTGCTTAGGAATTTCTTCTGCCAGATACTTTAAATCATCTCTCTCGAGCTCAAAGTTTCAAAATCTCTAGGGCAGGGGCAAAATGCCAGTAGTCTTTTTGCTAAAACATAACAAAACCTGCCTTTGCTCCAATTGTCAACAAGTTCCTCATCTTCATCTGAGACCACCTCAGCTTATTGTTCATATCACTATCAGCATTTTTGTCAAAGCCATTCAACAAGTTTCTAGGAAGTTCCAAACTTTCCCACATTTTTTCTGTCTTTTTCTGAGCCCTCCAAACTGTTCCAACCTATGCCTGTTACCCAGTTCCAAAGTTGCTTCCCCATTTTTGGGTATCTTTTCAGCAACACCCCACTCTACTGGTACCAATTTACTGTTTTACTCCGTTTTCATGCTGCTGATAAAGACATACTCAAGATTGGGAAATTTACAAAAGAAAGAGGCTTTTAATTGGACTTATAAGTCCACCTGGGTTGGGAGGCCTCACAATCATGGCAGAACAAGTCACATCTTATGTGGATGGCGGCAGGCAAAAAAAGAGCTTGTGCTGAGATACTCCTGTTTTTTATAACCATGATATCTCATGAAACCATCCACTATCCTGG
Organism: Homo sapiens; assembly: GCF_000001405.40. Taxonomy (NCBI): domain Eukaryota; kingdom Metazoa; phylum Chordata; class Mammalia; order Primates; family Hominidae; genus Homo; species Homo sapiens. Next base: position 190,200,736 of record NC_000001.11, on the reverse strand, counting down.
GAACAGCATGGGAAAGATCTGCCCCATGATTCAATCATCTCCTACCGGGCCCCTCCCACAACATGTAGGAATTATGGGAGCCACAAGATGAGATTTGGGTGGGGACATAGAGTCAAATCCTATCATCTTCCATCATCACATGACTAATTGAACAAAATGTGTATTTAGGATTTGGGAGTTATATCTGTGGCTAAGCTGATATGTTTAATTTCCTAAGTCTCATATATAAAAATAAAGGTTATATGAAATTCTATGTTCCTAGTGAGGTTCTTTGACACCAGTCATCCATTTGTGTAGTCTGCTTTCTGTGAATAGAGAATAATATATGGTCTCTAAGATCTATTGGTTCATGTTCTATATGTTCTATTCCCATTCAAATTCTAAATTCATCTGAAGTCTAAAATTATCTCAAGATGGAGCTAATAATAGTTTTCATAGCCAGGCATAAGACAATAGACTTTGGCATAATTCACAAATTTAGCTATTTATTGAGGAAGAGGTGCTAGTAGCCATAAGAGTTATAAAATGATCAAGATCGTGTCCTTGAAGAACTCAAAATCTGTCTTTCCAAACAAATTCCAATATAAATAAGGCACAGGTAGACTCTGAGTGGTACTGTTACAAAGAAGGGAAACAAAGCTTGGTGTATCGATGAGAAACAATAAGGAAAAGCTTCTGAAAAGGTCAACACTTGAACTACATCTAGGAGAATAATTAGGCAATAGTGAGGCCAGCTCCTGTCATTACCAGGACTGCAGTATCATAAACTAAGAGGGAAAAATGGTAGAAAATGAGTCTGGCAATTCAGGTAGTTGTCACATAGACAAGGTGAATATTTTATATTTTGTTATTTTTGTTTTTTGCCATTTTAAGTTTTATACTTAATGAAGTATAATTTTCCCTAGAAAAAAGAAAAATGGTTAGGTTTTTTTTTTGTTTGTTTTTGTTTTTGTTTTTTTTTTTTTCCTATGCCTTGACAAGAATAGCAGATTGCAATTGTTAGGAATGTGTCACTTTAATTATTGTAACTTTTCTTTGTTTTGACTTCTATCTTGGCTAATTTTCTCCTAACTTGTGACAAAGATGGCTTTTGGCATCATCAGAATTGTATCCAATAACCTTAGACTACACAAGAAAATGTTTTGGTTTTGGTTTTGTTTTGTTTCCAAATATTACAGAAAAATAAATAGTTTGGAGCCTTATTGCTCTGGTTTGGGTATCTGCATAATACTAAACTAACCATTAGAGCCAAAGGGTTGAGGTTGGAGGTAAAATGTTCTGGTCTATCAAACGTTGGACATTTGTTTCTCCTCTTCCTTAGATTCAGATTTTGTGGTGGATGAAGTAATATTTCAGAATTATTATCAAATTCATTGTACCTCCAGGAAAAATGGAATGAGAGAATAAAATGGTTATACAACCAGGGCAAAGAGATATGTGTTTGATAATTCATATGGTTTAGCTCTGTCCTTACGCAAATCTTATCTTAAATTTTAGCTCCTATAATCCCCACAAGTCATGGGAGGGACCCAGTGGGAGGTAATTGAATGATGGAAATGGGTGTTTCCTGTGCTGTTCTCATGATCATGAATAAGTCTCATGAGATCTGATTGTTTCACAAAGGGGAGTTCCCCTACACAAGCTCTCTTGCCTGCCATCATGTAAGATGTGTCTTTGCTTCTTTGACTTCTGCCATGATTGTGAGGCCTCCCCAGGCATGTGGAACTGTGAATCCATCAAGCCCCTTTCCTTTATACATTATCCTGTCTCTAGTATGTCTTTATTAGCAGTGTGGTAACAGAGTAACACAGTAAATTGGTGCTAAGAGTAGGGTGCTGCTGTTAAGATATCAAAAAATGTGGAAGTGACTTTGGAACTGGTTAACAGGGAGAAGTTGGAAGAGTTTGGAGGGATCAAAAGACAGGAAGGTATAGGAAAGTTTGGAACTTCTTAGAGACTTGTTGATTTTGTTTTTACCAAAATGTTGATAGTGATATGAACAATAATATCGAGACTGAGGTGGTCTCAGATGGAGATGAGGCTCTTGTTGGGAACTTGAGCAAAGGTGACTCTTGATAAATCCTTGCAAAGAGACTGGCAGCATTTTGCTCCTGCCCTAGAGATTTGTGAAACTTTGAACTTGACAGAGATGATTTAGGGCATCTGGTGCAAGAAACACATCTGGTGTGTTTTTAAACAGCACAGTATTCAAGAGGTGATTTGGGTGCTGTTAAAATCATTCCGTTTTATGTATATATTCACAAATATATGGTTGGAATTGGAACTTATATTTAAAAGGGAAAGCAGAGCATAAAAGTTCAGAAAATTTGCAGCCTGATGATGCAGTAGAAAAGAAAATACCCATCTTCTGAGGAGAAATTCAAGATGGCTGCAGAAATTTGTGTAAGTTACAAAGAGCCAAATGTTAATTGCCAAGACAATGAGGAAAATGTCTCCAGGGCATGTCAGAGGTTTTTCACAGCAGTCTCTCCTATCACAGGCCTATAGGCCTAGGAGAAAAAAATGATTTTCTGGGCTGGGTCCAGGGCCTTGCCACTTTGTGCAGTCTTGAGACTTGGTTCCTTATGTCACAGACATAGCAAAAGGGGCCAACATACAGCTCAGACTGTTTGCACCCTTCAGAGGGTTGGTAGCTTCAAGCCTTGGCAGCTTACAGGTGGTGTTGGGCCTGTGGGTTCACAGAGTCAAGAACTGAGGTTTGGGAACCTCTGTCTAGATTTCAGAGGATGTATGGAAATGCCTGGATGTCCAGGTTAGAGGTATGCTGCAGGGATGGAGCCATTATGGGGACCCTCTGTTAAGGCAGTGTGGAAGGGAAATGTGGGGTGGGAGCTCCCACACAGAGTCCCTACTGGAAAACTGCCTAGTGAATCTGTGAGAAAAGGGATACAGTCCTCCAGACCCCAGAATGGTAGACCCACCAACAGCTTGCCCTCTGCACATGGAAAAGCCACAGACACTTAATGCCAGCTGTGAAATCAGCCAGAAGGAGGGCTGTACCCTGCAAAGCCACAGAGGTGGAGCTGCCCAAGGCTATGGGAGCCCACCTCTTGCATAAGTGTGACCTGGATGTGAGACATGGAGCCAAAAGAGATCATTTTGGAGCTGTATGTTTTGACTGCCCTCCTGAAGTCTAGATTGCATGGGGCCTGTTGCCCCTTCGTTTTGGCCAATTTCCCCGATTTGGAATGGCTGTATTTACCCAATGCCTGTACCCCCATTGTATCTAAGAAGTAACTAACTTGCTTTTGATTTTACAGCCTCATAGATGGAAGGGAATTGCCTTGCTTCAGGTGAGACTTTGGACTATGGACTTTTGAGTTCATGCTGAAATTAGTTATGACTTTGAGGAACTCTTGGGAAGGCATGATTGGCTTTGAAATGTAAGGACATGAAATTTGGTAGGGGCCAGGTGCTGAAATGGTATGGTTTGGCTCTGTCTCTTTCCAAATCTCATCTTGAATTGTAGCTCCTATAATCCCCACATGTCATGGGAGGGACCCAATGGGAGGTAATTGAATCTCATCAGATCTGATGGTTTTATAAAGGGGAGTTCTCCTACACAAGCTCTCTTGCCTGCCACCATTTAAAATGCACCTTTGCTTCTCCTTTGTTTTCCGCCATGATTGTGAGGCCTCCCCAGCCTCACAATGTGGAACTGTGAGTCCATTAAATCTCCATTCTTTATAAATTGCCAGGTCGCTCCTATGACTTTATTAGTGGCATGAGAACAGACTAAAACAATAATATATAATTTATTATGTATTTTATTATATTATAAATAATTTATTATTTATAATAACGATGAGCTTATTTCAAGTCTACCCTTATTTGGTTGGTTTGAAGGAGAAATATCAATGTTAAATGTACCCATGAAAGTTTCTCAGTGACTATCTGGACTCCACTCATAGATGACCCTTATTAAATGAGACAAACATGGATCTCAGAAAAACAGTGGCTCAAATTAAATTATTGTTTCTAAAACACAAAGGGTAATTTTTCATGAAAATTTTCTTAAGAGTTACATATATTCAGAACAGAAACAAACAAAAAAAAACCTATCAGTTAATGTGGCCAACCACTGTGGAAACAGGCAGCAATAATGACCAAAGTACCTGAGTTCCTGATTATGTTTACCCATTGCTTTATTTTAATGTCTCATTATTAACGCCTAGATATGTGCTTCTCTCTTGGATTTCTGGCTGAGGAAACTGTTATTATAACTGTTTACTTTGGAATGCAAACACATGTTTAAATGTTTTTTGGAGGAAAAATGTATACTACAGATCTAAGGCCATATCAAAGCACATTTGAAATGTCCAGGAAGATAGTAAATGTCACATTAGCAGAACCATTATCTGGTGTTGAACAAGCAATTTGACTATTTGATTTATAGCACCCAAGAAGTCTAAATCTATCTGCCACAGCTGACTAATGATTGTACTCCAAATGCAGAAGGCAGGGTGCTATTGGTAGGTGAGTGGAATTGTAGCAGTCCTAAAGGAACTAAATCTAATGTACAAAGAAGCATAACTGAGACCTGGAAGCCAGGGTTGGGATAATATATTAGTGATTGATGGCAATGTCTGCTTTATAGTGATAGAAACTGTAACACTTATAAATCTTGGTTTTGAAAATGTTACATGAGAATCACCACAGAAAATAGGACAGCTTCTATACAATCTAGCTCAAAAAGCTCATGCTTACAACATTTGAACAACTGCCAACAGTTATCTTACATGTAATATTTTGGACTGAGAAGGTGTGCCAAATATGAGGTTTTTGATAATGTGTAGCTGAACATGAGTTTAAGAATAATTGAATAATTGAGTGGAAAGAAAGTGGAGATAACAAGCTTTTTTTTCAAGAACTCCAATTATGGATATAGTTATAAATTTAGAATGGTGACTTGAAGAAAATACAGAGTTCAGTAAAAATTATTTAATTAGCAAGTTGCTAATCATATTTTCCCACTGAGAGGAAGAAAAAAATGAAGAAGAGAATGTTAATTAGTTAAGATAAAGCCAATTTAGATCACATTAGAAAAGCTTACAGCTCTGGACGAAATTAGGCATAGGTATGTATGTACCTTTCTATGAGAGACAAGAAAAGGAATTCTTCATACGTATAATACATAGGAAAATTTGAAGGAAAAGTGAATAAATGTGTCAATGTTAAATCTTTTTTAGGTAGAGTAAAAAAATAAGATTATTTAGCAAGGGATATATAAAAAGTTTGCTATAAAATTAAGGTACCTATTAAGATTACAAAACTGCAGGGCTAGGATTACATTTTCTTCACCAAGGGAGTGCCTTCAGATTTTTAATCTGTAAAATAAAGTCAAATAAGACAAACTATGTACAAAAGTACTAGCAAACTCTTTTTAATTATAAAAATCGGTCTTATTTTATAGATGTAATCTTTTAAATTATAAAAATTGGTCTTATTTTATAGATGTAATCTTTTTAATTATAAAAATTGGTCTTACTTTATAGATGTAACCAAAACTATACATAAGTCAACATCAATTTAGCCTTAACCACATTTACACTGATGGCATAGATATATTTACTTGTGATTGCATATATAAAATACATCTAATGCTCTTATGTGATGCATTCGATATCATAGGCCGTATTGATTTTAGAGGACTAACCCTTAAATGCTTATAATTTTTTTTTAAACTTCATGTTGAAAGAAAGCATGAAAAGGAAATAATTCTTTTTTCTAAAGTTCCAAGTAACCTTGTAAACATAGTTTAACATATTGTTTTTCCCAAAACAAGTGACTGGAGAGCTCTTTTGAATTATTTATGCTAACCATCTGTTCCTTGCTTATCATATCTTCCAGAACAGACAAATCTCATGGCCTTCAGACGTTAGCTACTACTACTTCTAGATGAGCAGCTGCTTTCTTATTAAAAATCCATACTGAAGCTGCTCATTCTAAATTGGTAAATTTCATTAGTATCTCCAGGGCTTCAGTTGAATTAATCTACATAAACAGCATTCTTCTTAAAAACAGGTGCTCAAGTGGCTTATCCCAATTCTATCATTTTAACAATAGTAAATAGGAAAAAAAATCAGGTTTCTTGCTAAAACAAAATAGTACGATTGGTTTTATTCACTACTGCTTTTCGTTTTGAAAACAAAGTGTAGTTTTCAACATATGGTACTCTTATGATACTGCCCTAATCAAACAGTGATCTCAATATAGAAAGTTTCAAATGGAATTAATATTTTCACAGTAGTTTTTCTATTATAATATTAAGATGATGCACTCAAATAAAAATGTTTTCTGATCAGTCTATGTGTCCTAGGGCTGTTATAAAAATTGTCACAAAGTTGGTTGCTTGAAAAAAAATATTTTTTCACAATTCTGGGGGCCAGAGGTCCAAAATCAAGGTGTCAGCAGGAGCACTGTCACTTTGTTCTACAGGAGAATACTTTCTTGCTTCTTCCAGCTTTTGGTGGCTTTCTGCATTCTGTGATTATGCTTACAGCAATCCCTGCCTTTGGGGTCATGTTGCGTCTTCCTTTTCTCTGCATGTACTTCTCCATGGACTCCCTGTTATAAGATTACTTTTCATAGCCTTCAGGGAACATCTGGATAATTCAGGTTAATCACTCCATGTTGTCAAGGAAAAAAATTGCTTTGAACAACTTAGACAAGGAAAGCTTTATTTAAGACTATTGCAATAGGGAGGAGAGATTTACCTCAAGTCATTTAAACAAAAGGTGGGGTGAGTTAGTGGAAAATACCGGAGGATAATTTAGGGGAAAGTTGGTTAGTGTTATTAGGCCATCTGTGTTTGCTTCTTGTTACCCACAGAAGATTGGCTCTTACCCTGGGAGATAGGAGCCCTATATTTTTTACGATTACATTTTAAAGAGATGGCTCCCTGGCCCTTGAGAAAAACGTTTCTGATTATAAAACTGTCCAGAGTCTGGGAGTAGATTTGCATCTCAAAGGAACAGGGAAAGAGTTTACAGTTGAAAGTTTTCTAAAGTAAAGGCTCTAATTAAAGGGAGGTCAGGAGTTTATAATCATTCATAAATCTGTCTAAAGTTTAGTCAAGCTGAGGGGAAGAGTAAGGCTTCTAAGTCAATGTTGAGATCCTTAACTTAATCACATCTGTAAAGATGTGTTTGCTAATTAAGTTAACATTTGCAAGTTCCAGGGATTAGTACATGTATTTTTTGGGGAGGGGCATTTTTCAGCCTACCACAATCACCAAAATAGTAAATAAAACTGATAACTCTCTTTATACTCATGGCTCTTAAAAGCTCTTAGCAGTTGAATACTTGAGAGAGTAAAAAAATTACGTATACTTTCACAACAGACCAAATCAGTTTCTTTATCTTTCACAAAACTGAATTGCAGAAATTCCTGCTTGGGCTTCACACATTACCTCTCATCTCTTCTAAAACATCATCTTGTTCTTTGTCAATTTACTACTTTGTATGACTATTTTTTTTTAATATCACAAACACCTCCTCATTTCTTCCTCCATATTGATAGTTTCTTCTAAGGAAGCCCATTAAGTCATTCAGTGCCACTCATAAACCATTCCACTCAGGATTTTCAGAAAGAGTAAGGAATTCACAAATCTAAAATAATTTAAAAATAAATCAAATTAACAATAAGAACATTTGGATTGCCTTGGAGTCATTCATCTTTACTTTCTGTACAAATATTGCACAACTGACTTCTGCATAAGGCAGACATGTTTTGAGGGGCATAAAGTTTACTATATCACTCACCAAATGAAAATAAAAATATAAAAGTTTAAGCAAAACATAAAACAACAAATTAAACAATACATTATTACCCCGAATATTTCCAATCTCGGCTTTTGGCTGTTGTAATTCAGTTACATCAGTTCTTCCTCATGTGAATCAAAGCCCAACCAGTTTTATTGAGCCTGGTTTGCAGAAACAAATCTCTATCTCTTTATTTATTACTATGTATTTATCCTGTTGTCACAGTTTAATATTTTTTTCTTGCATCTAGAAAATACACTGCTAATTTCATTTCACCCTTTTCTTCACCTTGGATCAGTGTTTTTGAGGGTCATAGAGAACTTCTTGCATAGGTAATAGTTATCTTTACTGAAAGTTTTCATTTTGGGAGACTTTATTATGCTTATGCCAATTGCAAATCTAAAGAGCAGGCTTCCTTGAAAAAAAAAACTAAACTAATATCAAACAGGACATGTTGGCACATGCTGGTTCATGGAACATATAACAAATGAAGAATTATTTAATTTTTTCGATTACATTTTATTTAAAGAACACCAGTTTAATGTTTCTTGTTTTACTAATAGCATTTTTAATGTTCCTTAGTGATTCAGTACACTAATCAACACTGTATAGGTTTGTTTTAAAGAGTACAAGATTGATTTGATCTAAAATTATCATTTGAAATCAAACATGAAGCTTAGGACTTTAAAGATTATTTTTACTTCAAATTCACTTTAAAATATTTTTTAACATGCTTAAGCCTTTTTTAAAAGCAAAGAGATAAACTGCTTATTTGCTATCTACTTTGTTTATAAATATGCCCTGTGAAGTATTGGACAGCAGATCAGATTGTAAAAGCATTCAGAGCCCGTATTTTTGGAACTCAACTTCAGAGCATGTTTGCAATAGCAGTTGTTTGTAGCTAAATTAGTGAAATAATAAGTCAATTTCAGCAAGGACAGATTTTTTTTTAAATCTTGAAATGTATAAACATTAAGTATATCATTTGATTTAACTAACATATTAATTATATGTTATACTTCTATTTTTAAACCTGTTTTATTCCCTTAATGCAGTAACAAGAATGTAAAAATTGATTTTAAATTGGGGAGCAATGTTGAAAACTATATTTTTTCCGAAACATAAATGCTTATAAGAATATGTAAGATTTCAATGCAAATTATGCCTTAGGACACTGGTTCTCAAACTTTACTTCATTTGCAACTCATTGAGATTATTAAAAACACAGGCACACATACGTTTATTGCAGCACTATTTACAATAGCAAGGACATGGAACCAACCCAAATGCCCATCAGTGACAGACTGGATAAAAAAAAATGTGGCACATATACACCATGGAATACTATGCAGTCATAAAAAGGAATGAGATCATGTCCTTTGCAGTGACATGGATGAAGCTGGAGGCCATCATCCTCAGCAAACTAACATAAGAACAGAAAATCAAACACCACTTGTTCGCACTCATAAGTGGGAGTTGAAAATTGAGACCTCATAGACACAGAGAGTGGAACAACACACACTGGGGCCTGTTGAGGGGTGGAGGTGAGGGGAGGGAGCTTAGAGGATGGGTCAATAGGTGCAGCAAACTACCATGGCACACGTATACCTGTGTAACAAACCTGCACGTTATACACATGTATCCATTTTTTTCCTTTAGAAGCAATAAAAAAAATGCCTGTATTATAGCTCTAAATTTAATTTGTATAGGATGAAACCTGGAAATGGGGTTTTTAAAGTCTCCAGGTAATGTTAATATGTACCTAAGTCTGAGAAGAGAATCATTGTTATAGAAAACTATTTTTCTTGTTGAAACTGAATGATTGATGATTGTTAAGTTTTATCTGTCAAGTGAGGGAGGTTGCCTCTTAGAAACTAGTGTGTCTGCTTTATAAATGCAGTTAAATGCTTTAGCTCTGATTTCCAATGCAATTGACCATAAAACTATCCTCATTATCGCTTTGCTTACAGATCACTAGTTCATAATGCCTATAATATCTGCTATTTGCATTTAAAAATCATTTTTCACTGAAGTTGATATGTAAAAGATTGTGACATACCATCCTATTCTATTTGGTGAAGTGAATAAATTTGTGGAAAGAAAAAATATATTTTAGTGGAATTTGATGATGACCAAGTAATTTTATAAATATATAGGTATGTAATATTAAACACAAAGTTAACTGTTGAGGGTGTTTTTAATCTTAGAGACCCCAATACAGTAAGTATTTTATTTCAAAAAAAAACACTTTGATTTTCCCTATGTCTTATAATTTACTTTATTTTCCTGATTAACATGATATTCTGAATTCTGATAGGCAAGAATCAGTATGCTCTACAGTAGAAATATGTAGTTATTGGTGAGGAGAGTATTTTTTTGTATTATCAAGACTTCACAGAGGGAGCAGAGCAAGGTGGCAGAGTAGGACTGTCAAGTGATTGTACCCTGCAGAAACATCAGTTTGAACAACTACTCATGCACAAATGTACCTTTAAGAAGACTAAGAAAACCAAATGAGAGATCATAGTACCTGGTTGTAGGAAAGTATTAAGAAAATATGCATTTAAGATGGGAAAAAGAACACTTTCACATTACCCACATCACCCTTCCTCCAAAACCAAGCAGTCCTGTGTGAAACGGGAGGCTGTCTGCTTGGGGAAAAGAGAAGGGAAATGAGCATAGGACTTTGCATTGAACCCAAATGCTGGCCTGCCAAAGTAAAGCCCAGCATTTGCAAAAACCTGATAGCCCCCTATTCCAAGCCAGTAACTGTAAACTAAGTTTCTGCGCCCTCCCTGGTGCCAGGAAAGACCAAATAATCCCAGGATGAAGGCTTGCTTGGTGAATTCAGTCTCCAGCCTTCATCATCACCAACTAATATCATTCGCCCAAGGTCCCAGGCAGCCTTCAGCACAGACAGAACTCAATGTCCCTAAGCTTCTGGCTCTCCTCAGTGCCACAACTGTTGTAATGTATCCCAGACTTTTGGCAGTGCCACACTGACTGCGATGCATTTGGCTTCTTATGTGCCCCAGTACTGAAATAAATGCAGGGCTTTTCTAGAAAAAGCTAGTCTATAAAGTCTAAGTACCTGTATCTTACAATAACACAAACATTGACAAACAACCGCAAGGATCAAGAATATCCAGGGAAACATGACATCATGAAATGGACAAAATAATATGGCCTAAAGAAATGGTAATTATAAATTGTCTGATAAAGAATTCAAAATAACTCTTTTAAGCAAGATCAGTGAATTTTAAGAGAATCTAGATAAAAAAAATCAATGGGAAAAATTAAAAAAAGTGAGTAGAATGAGAAATTTAATAGATTTAAATTAAAAACAAAGTTAAACATAAATGTTGAAACTGAAAAAATACAATTAACACAATGAAAATGTGAAAAAAAGTATCAACAGCAGAATTGAACAGGCAGAAAAAATTGTAAATTTAATCACACTTTATTTGAAAATATATAGTAAGAGGAGAAAAAGAAAAAATAATAGAAGGGATGAAGAAAGCTTACATAATTTTTGAAACAGCATCAAAAGAGAAAATGTTCAAATCATTTATACATTAGACCTACTAAGACTGAATAATGAACAAATAGAAAATCTGAACAGACAAATAAGTAAGGAAATTGAATCAAAAATAAAAAGTCTCCTGTCCAAGAAAAGCCCTAAACCTGATGGTTTCACTGTTAAGTACTGTCAAACTTTTAAAGAACAATTAATACAAATTCTTCTCAAACAGGTCCCAAAAATTAAAGAATAGAGAATAATTCCAATCACACTTAACAAGGCCAGCATCATCCTTATAGCAAATCCAGGTAAAGACACTAAGGAAAACAAAATTATAGGCCAGTATTTCTGATGAAAACAGATGCAAACATTCTCAACAAGATACCAGCTCACGCCTGTAATCCCAGCACTTTGGGAGGTCGAGGCAGGCAGATCATGAGGTCAGGAGTTCGAGACCAGTCTGGCCAATAAGGTGAGACCCCCATCTCCACTAAAAATACAAAAATTGGCCTGGCATTGTGGGAAGCTCCTGTAATTGGAGCTACTCAGGAGGCTGAGACAGGAGAATCGCTTGAACCCAGGAGGCAGAGGTTGCAGTGAGCCGAGATCGTGCCATTGCACTCCAGCCTGGGCAACAAGAGCAAGACTCCACCATGTGAAAAAAAAAAAAGATACCAGCAAGCCAAACATGACAGCACATTAATAAGATCATCATTCACCATGATTAAGTGGGATTTATCCCAGGGATATGAGATAATCCAAACAATACAAAGCAATAAATGTGATACAATACATTAGCTGAACAGAAAAGAAAAAAAAATGATGTTTTCAATAGATGCAGAAGGTGCATTTGACAAATTTCACATCTTCTCTCAGCTCTCAACTAATAAGGTATAGAAGAAGTTACCTTAGTGAAATAAAGGCTATATATGACAATCCCACAGCTAGCCTTGTATTCCATGGGGAAAAATTGAAAGATTTTACTCTAAAACCAAGAAAAAGACAAAAAGACTCTTGCAACTTCCATTCAGCGTATTACTGGAGATCTTAGCAAGAGCAATTAAACAAGAGAAATAAATAAAAGGTATCCAAATTATAAAGGAATATGTGAAATTGTCCCTATTTGCAGACAACATGATCTATGTACAGAAAATCCTAAGGACTCTACCAAATAAATGTTAGGAATAATAAACAAAAGATTAAGTTGCAGGATACAAAATCAACCTTCAGAAATCAGTAGCATTTCTATTCAATAACAGTTAATTCTCTAAAAAAGAAATTTTAAAAATCACATTTACAATAGGTACAAAAATGTTTAAGAATAAATTTATCCAACAATGTGTAATATCTCTACAATGAAACTATAAAACACTGATAAAAGAAATTGAGAAAGACAGAAATAAATAAAAAAATACCCTGTGTTCATGAGTTGGAATACTTAATATTGTTAAAATGTCCATACTACCCAAAACAATCTATAGATTAAATCCAATTCTTATCAAAATATCAATAAGATTTTTCAAAAAAAATAGAAAAAAAAACTGAAATTTGAACGATACTGCAAAAGCCTCTGAATAGCCAAAGCAATCCTGAGCAAATAGAACAAACCTGGAGACATCACACTATCTGACCTCAAAATACACTATAAAGCTGTAGAAAAAAAAGAAAAACACAAAAAACATGGCACTGGCATGGAAATAGACCAATTGAATAGAAAAGAAAGTCCTGAAATAAATCCATGCATTTACAGTGAACTACTTTTTGGCAAAGATGCCAGGAACATACAATGGAGAAAAGACAGTCTTCAATAAATAGTGTTGGGAAAACTGAACATCTGTACAGAAAAGAATAAAATTAGAAAATTTTGTCACGCCATATACATAAATCAAGTAAAAATAGATTAAATAATTAAATATAAGACCCAAATTATGAAACTAATAGGAGAAAACACAGAAAATACCTCCATGATGTTGGTCTGGTCAATGGGTTTTTGCCTATGGCTTCAAAAGCACAGGCAACAAAAGCAAAAGTATACTAATAGGATTACATAAAAATAAAAAAATATTCTGCACTTAAAGGAAACAAATCATAGAATGAAGTGAAAACCAGTAGAATGGGAGAGAAACATTTGCCAACTATACATCTGATAAGGAGGCAATATGGAAAATATAACAGTAACTCAAACAACTTAATAGCAATAAAACAAATTAGCCAATTTAAAATTGGGAAAAAGGGACCTAAATGAACATTTCTCAAAAAAAGACTTATGAATGGCCAATAGGCATATGAATTAAATGGTCAACATCACTGATCATCAGGGAAATCCAAATACATATATAATAGTACTTCACCCAGGGGTTTGAAAAGCCCTTGCCCTAAGAATGTTGGAATCTAAGTTCTAACACAAACTCTGCGTTTTCACTGGCTGTTATTCTAGATCACACAGTTTAATACTGGTTAATTATTTGTAAAAGGAAGATACAGATCTATTTCAGAGTGTCCAAACCTAACCAGACTCATCTAGGAAGTCCTTTAAAAATATAGAATCCTGGTTCCCTAGGCACAATAAATCTTGAAACTGGGAGAATATGATTTTTCTTAAAAAGAGTTATTTTTTTTTTCTATTTACCATACCACTTTACCAAGCACCACTTCTGAATTTGGAGAAGTTATATTCCTAACATAATGTGAGTTTCTGCCCATGAATTTTTAAATGAGTAAACTGAGTTTAATTAACCATTTTATTTATTGAGACGTGAGGTGCTAAAGATTAAAATGTGAAATAAATAGGGTTTGTGTTTTGGAAAGGCACTCAGGCTAAGTCTGGTAAAGGAAACAGAATGAATGAATACTGTGAAAGTACCAAGAAGAACCTTTATGTTTATTGACCTTTTGGCTCACAAACTCAGACTTCACCATGCACTGTTGTGAAAAGATGTGGCCTTTATTTTCGTATTTTAAATCCACAATATATTTTATTTCCTGGATCTAGGCAAAAAAAGGTGTTTTATAAATATACCTGAACTAATTTTACTTTTTTGTTTGTTGGTTTGTATGTTTGTTTTGAGATGGAGTTTCACTCTCGTTGCCCTGGCTGGAGTGCAGTGGTGCCATCTCGGCTCATTGCAACCTCTGCCTTCTGGGTTCAAGCCTCAGCCTTCCAAGTAGCTGGGATTACAGACACCTGCCACGATGTCTGGCTAATTTTTTTGTATTTTTAGTAGAGATGGGGTTTCAGCATGTTGGCCAGGCTGATGTTAAACTCCTGACCTCAGGTAATCCACCCGTCTCGGCCTCCAAAAGTGCTGAGATTACAGGCTTCAGCCACCGTGACCAGCCTTTACTTTAATTTAAAAAATATATATATAAATGACCAAGTTGACAAACAATAATTGTATATATTTATGGGATACACAGGGATATTTTCATAAATATAATGTATGGTGTCAGATCAGAGTAATTAGCGTATTCATTATCTCAAACAAACCTCTTTCCTTTTTGTTGGGAACATTCAGTAATATATAGTTTCAAATAGCTAGAAGGATGATATTGAATATTCCCAACACAAAGAAATAACTGTACTTTTAAATATCCTTTTAAAGTCTATTCCTTTTGCTTGTAGACTAGATAATTATTTTATCGTTGTACATCCCTGATAGGGTAACTCTATTGCCTGCAGATGTTTTATTCAGCTATTATACATTTTTAGATCAAATATTTGTATTTGAGTACTATAATCTAGTAGATGGCATTATATACATTCAAGATAGAAATACATGCAGGAGACATGGATGTCTACATTATTTCTACTAATTTTGCACCTTTGTAATCTATGCAATTATAACTTCTTAGAGTCAAGTGGGTAGATTTCTGTGCCAGCTTAGCCAATTTTCTATTTATGTATAATTTACAAATATGATAATATCTAAGAGATTCAATTTATTCTTAAAATGTGGGTTTGTGACTTCTTGTTCTTTGTTTTTTGGTCTGTTTTCTTTTTTGATAATAGCTATCCTGAGAGATGTGAAATGTTATCTCATTGTGGTTTTGATTTGCATTTCCCTGATGACCAGGGACTTGAGCATTTTTTATAAACCTGTTGGTCATTTGTATTTCTTCTTTGGAGAAATATCTATTCGAGTCCATTTTTCAATTAGATTATTGGTTTTTGACTATTGAGTTGTATGAGTTCCTTATTGATTTTGGAAATAAACCCATTATCAGATATAAAATATTTGCAAATATTTTCTCCCATTCTATGGCTTGCATTTTCAGTCTGTTGATTATTTCCTTTGCTGTGCAAAAGCTGTTTAATTTGATGCAGTCCTACATGTTCATTATGTTGTTGTTGTTACCCAAGCTTTTGGTGTCATAACTACGAAATAATTGGCAAGGCAAATGTCATGAAGTTCTTCCTCTGTCTTCTTTTAAGAGTTTTAAAGCTTCAGGACTTAAGTCTTTAATCCACTTTGAGTTTATGTTTATGTATGGAATATGGTAGGGATTTCATTTTTTTTCTTTTTAAAAAATAATTTCTACTTTTACTTTAGATTAAGAGAGTGCATGTGCAGGTTTGTTGCATGGGTGTATTGCTTGATGCTGAGGTTAGGGTATGATTGATCCCATCACCCAGGTAGTGAATATAGTATATGATAGGTAGTTTTCCAAATCTTGTCTCCCTCCCTCCTTCCCACTTCTAGTAGTACTCACTATCTATTTTTGCTACGTTTATGTACATGAGTGCCCAAAGTTTAGCTCACACTATACGTCTATACGTGAGAAGACAAAGTATTTTTTTTCTGTTTTTGCGTTAATTTGCTTAGGGTATTGGCCTCCAGCTGCATCCACATTGCTGTAAAGGAAATGATTTTGCTATTTTTATGGCTGTATAGTAGACCATCATTTATTTGGACCACATTTTATTTATCTAATCCATCATTAATGGGCGCTTAGGTTGATTGCATGTCTGAGCTATTGTGAAAGGTGTTGTGATGAACATATGAGTGCATGTGTCTTTTTGGTATAATGAGCTATTTCCTTTTGGGTATATAAACAATAATGGGATTGCTGGGTGGAATGGTAGCTCTGTTTTAAGTTCTTTGAGAAATCTTCAGATGGCTTTCCACAGTGGCTGAACTAATTTATATTCCCACCAACAGTGTACAAGCATTCTCTTTTCTCCATATCCTTGTCAGCCTCCTTAAACTAAAGAATTTTAGCTAAAAACTATTACAATCTATGTAAAAATCAACATGAGACTTTAAGAAGTGCAGAGACATTCACATTCTGGAGAAGGACTATAGGACATGAGAAGAAATACAGCTATCAATTCTTTGGAGCTTTGTTGTTGCTTTTTTAAAATATTTTTTGCCTCATATATCATGCACTATATATATGGTACATGCTCCAGAAACTTGAAAATACCAATGGGAACAGACAAAAGAAAAGTCTGCTCTCTCTAGGCACAGAATCAGGAAAGTGGCAACCTAGCAAGATAGACAACAATTGTCCTGCTCCTGCCAAACACCACATAAAATGCTGCAGCCCTAACCTACTCCTGTCATTAAAGGTCAAGTAGGGAGTCTGGGTTTCTGCCTTTATCAGGCTATCCTGAAGTGCTCCAAACCACCCTATTGTGGTGGTATGATAGAAAGCCAAGTGGGGAGCCTGGACTTTCATCCCCACCGAGTGGTAATGATTACAGCCATCTACACTGTGACAAAGAACTTCTACTGGAAAGTCAGAAAGTCAGGACTTTTCTCACAAGCTCAAACCCCAGCAGTATCAGTGGAGATATCTGCAGAGCATTAATGAGGCATCCATCCCCCATTATCAGGATGGTATCAGCAAAAACCTCATGGGAAAACTGACCTAACACCCATCCTTCCCAGCTGTAATGAGAAGCTCTGTTCCCCAGGTGTTTCAATGGAAGACAAATTTGGAACTTAAAACTTCAATGCTAACCTGCCTTTAATCTGTCATTATCTTTATTCCCCCTTTGAGCAGAGTCAGACATGAGTTACAAAAACACATTTAAATAAGACCTAGTAGTTCCCAAATAATACCTAAAATTTGGGAATTTTAAATTCCCAAATTTAATTTTTTTAAACTTAAAATTTAAATTCCCAAATTTCAATTTAAAATTAAATTGAAATTACTTACATGAAATACCAAAACATCTCAACTGAGAAAAGAGCATCAAAAGATGCCAATGAGAAGGTAATACAGTTGCTAGAATTATCTGACAGAGATTGAAAAAGAGCCATCAAAAACATGCTTCCTTGAAAATTATGAACATGCTTGAAAATAAAGAAAAAATGCAAAGTCTCAATGTGACAAGTTAGACTGATTGCTAAGTCACAGGTAACAGTTCTCACAGTGTACTTCTACGCTCATTTATGACACCAACTGCAACTTAAGGAGTTTTCCAAAACCCCCCTCAATTTTGATAATTTACTTGAAGGACCCACAGACATCACTGAAGGTTATTTCACTTACAGTTATAAGTAATTACAAGAAATTGATACATTTTAAAGTCAGCCAAAGGAAGAAGTGTATCCCTCACAAAGGCGTAATTGATTATTTTACTGTCCATATGATTGATCTTAGTCTCCAGGTCAATGGATACTGTGTGAACCAAAGCTCCCACGCTACATCACATTGTTTGTCTTTCTGGTAAGGGTTTTCCTCATGCTAAATATTATCTGATGTGCCTAGCCTCTTGCATAAATAACTCTGTAGACTATTTTGAATAACTCAAATCTTCCAACAAAGGAAAAACACTACTATCATGCAAGCCAGAGATTACCTCGCTGAGCTGAACACAAAGGCCATACCTGCTGTGGACAAGGTTAATTTTTTTAAAATCAAGCAGTCAACAAAGAAATACATGTTATAAAATAAATGCCAAATTGAGATGGTAAAAGTAAAAATTGTAACTAAAACAGAACAAAGGATAAGCTCAACAGAAGAATTAATAAGACAAGGAAAGAAATATTTAACTGGAAGGTGGAACAATAGAAATTATTCAATCTGAACAGCAGTGAGAAAATATTCTGAAAGAAAATAAATAGAGCCTGGGGAACCTGCAGTACTCTAACAAAAGATCCAACTTTCTTGTCATCAGAAGCCTGCAAGAAGAGGAAAATGAAGAGGCTAAAAATTAGTCAAAGACACAATAGCAGAGAATTTTCAAAATTTGGCAAATAAATACATAAACCTAAAGTTTATGAAGTTGAAAGAATCCTAAATAGGATAAACACAAAGAAATCCACACCAAGACACACAACAGTATAATATTTGAAAATACAAAGAAAATAAATCTTGTAAACAAGGGAGAACCAACATTTACCTATAGGTAGAAAATAATTTTAATAATTTTGATCAAATACTATGAGGATGAGAAGGAAGTGACATTTTTCAAGTGCTAATAGAAAATGCTAACTATGATTCAATATCAAGCAAAAATCTTCTGAAATTGAATGGATTTTAGTAGGTTTCCAATGAAGGAAAACTAAGATAATTTTGTCACTAAAGACCTCCCTAAATTAATGGCTAGCAAAGTTCCCTAAACAGAAAGAAATAACAGAAGGTTAAAAAAACAAAAATGGGTAAATAAAATCAACTTTCATTTTCATCTTGTGTTTTCTAAATTACGTTTGGTGGCCAAAGAAAACATTATAATATGGTCTAGAATGATCCTCAATACATGTAGAGGGAATATTTAAGGTAATTACATTATAAATGAATGAGAGTAAAGGAACTTAAAGGGGAGGTAAGTTTTCTACAATTTATTCAAACTGGTAAAATACCTACACTAGTCCACCATGATAAGTTTTGTACGCATAGTGTAAAACCTCAAACAGCCATTTAAAACAAATACATACAAAGGGATACATTCTAAAATACTACAGGTAAATCAAGTAAAATTTTAAGAAAATTTTATGCATAGAAAAGCAGGACAAAAAGAAAACGGAAAGCAAAAACAAGGAATGACAAGAGAAAAAAATAAAATGGCAGACTCAAGCCTTAACATATCTAAAATTACATGAAATGGAAATGGTTTATTTTATTTACGGTAGTCAAAAACTAGAAACAACCAAAATGTTCCTCATTATGTAAATTATTACACAAAGTGTATTGCACATACCATAAATTTATATTCATCAATAACAAGAATGAACATTTTGAATGTATACTGGTACAGACAATAACTTTGATGTATCGTGAGGGCATTATGATAAGTAAAGAAAAAAGCCAATTAGAGAAAACCATGTATTGTCTGATTTCATGTGTATTACACTTTCAAAATTAAAAAGTTATGAAGATAAAAACGATTGGGTAGTGTTTGCCAGGGGTTAGGTACAGTTGGAAGTGGAGGGATTGTTGTAACTGCAAAGAGGTGGAACTGAGCATATCTTTGTAGTGATAGAATAGTACTGATCTTGACTGGTATATAACTATACACATAAATTATGCCTATTAATTTCCTGTTTCTGATATTGTGCTTTACTGATGTAAAATACAATCATTAGTAGAACCTGGATGAAAGGTACAGAGGATTATGTCTGTACTTTTTTTGTAACTTCCTAGGAATTGTTGTTATTTTAAAATAAAATGTTAAATAAAGACAGCTTAGCACCAAATAATGACGTGTTATATAAAGTTTTTTTAATATTTAAATACTATGGCTAACACACTGACTTCTAAAGTCTTTGAAAAATCCATTGGAGTTAGAATTTGTTGGTACTATAATTTTGAGTAGCTAATAATGAGTGACTTGTTAAGCAATTTATTTATCAATTCATTTAAACATCACAAACCTTCTTAGGTGGCTACTTTATTACTTGTGAGAGTACATAGCTTCCCTCAATTTCTTCATATTCCTGTAAAACGTCTTACTTATTATCCTAAAAATATATCATAAGTATTATATCTACAGCATTTTTTCCCTATATTGGGAATGAACTTTTCTGATCTAAAAGGATACTAAAACTTCTTTTCACCACACTAAGTCCACATAGTTGTAGCTCACACTCAGTTTCATGCTTAAACCCCAAAGTGCCAGAAAGACAGTAACAGCTATATCTATAGAAGTGCACATTTGAAGGAGGAATAAAGATTCTGAATTTGGATACACCTCTAGGTTGTGAAACTGTAATGTAAAATGTGAGACACATGGGGTTATCTGGTTCCTAGAGAGAGTTCATTAATATACCAAACAGGTGAAATTAGGATTTAGGCCCATTAGATCCTTTGAAGTAGGCAGCAGGCACGTGCTCTTTCCCTTTTGTGTGCAGAACAATTATTTTCTCCTGTCCCCAGGTCAAAGGCATGTTGGGTTATTTGCAGAAGAAAAAACAAACGGCATCAACCCTTCTTATGACACCACAGCAGTAAAGATTAGGGAAAAGGAGGGCTGACACATTATTTACCAGGAATACCACGTGAACTCATTCCAGTAAAATGAGTAGTACAAACCCAACATTATTCCACTTTACAGAAAAGGAAACTATGTCACAGATAGGACAAAGAACTATCTTTAAGGTCAGATGGTTGCTGAGTGATAGTGCAGAGACTAAAGCCTAAATGGCTCAGCTTGAGAGTCTGTTCATTGAGCCACTACCCCATAATGGAGAAAGGGGAAAAAATAAATTTAACAGATCACAAGCTGATAGTAGATAAATTGTCCTAACTATTTCCCACAGCAGATGCATTTTACTGGAAAGACTATTCACTTTATATGCAAAGCAAATTTTATCTTGTTTTCATTGAGAGACTCCTTGGAGAATTTTAATTAGACTGCTGAAAATTCAGTATTCATTTTAATAATTTAAAATAATAAAATAGAGCATTAATAATTACTGCTTTTTGTTAGGGACAGACACTGGGTTGACAAAACAGTGTAGAAAAAATGGAAAGTCAAGACCTCGGTTGACAAAACTATAAAAAGAGACTTGGGAATATCACATTTAAGATTACAAACAGTCTTTTGGGGTTCTCAATATAATTATGTTTTCTTCATTATTTTTCAAGAGTGTTAATTGCCTACTAGTAATTAACTTCCCATGTGACTGTCAAGAAATGTAATCAATAGTAAAAGCAGAGGGACCAAGCTGTCATTGCTTCTGTGACCAATATCTTTTTCTCACCCCTGGCAAGGTGTTTCTATTTTAATAAAATGAACAGGTGCAGATGTGGGAGATTTCTCCAGAAAGCCACTAGCTAAATCAGTTCATCTCATAGTTCTAAAATTAAAATGTAGCCAATCAGAACTTTGAAATATAATTGCCTCATTTTCCAACTTAAATATATTAAGGGCCTCCTGCTAGTGCTGCACCTGGCAAATCTACTTATTAAAGTTATGAAGGAAAGAGTTTGCTGAGACGTTTTAAATATTATGCTGACATTGTAATAAAAGAAAGGAGAAAGGTAGGCGTTATCTAATTCTACTGATGTCTGCTCAGTTTAGAATATATTGTTATTTCTACCAAGCTGATAATCAAATTTCATTCATGGAAATATTTCAAATAATTCTGTATAAAATAAAACCTACTGAATTTAAATGCATTACCTCCCTTATAGTTCTTCAATTTCTCTTGACTTTTTTCATTACTGAGATATTGTTTTATCATTTAACTCACCCAATTTTTTAAATATTTCTTTTTTAGCAAGTCTGTTTCCTTTCATCTCTATAGTGGTTGCCTGTATATTTATAGGTACTTATGTAAGTGATGAGTAGAGGCTGTAAGAAAAATGGAATTCAATTTCTATCACTCTGCTGGCAAAACAGTCATGTATGCTCTGAGATGTGATTAATCTTCATCAGCAAACAATAAATACATAGAACCAGTATTCAGGTTTTTAGCATCAACATTTTTACCTAATTTCTTAGATAGCTTTCTCTACTCTTCTAGATCCTATACAGTAATAAAACATTGAAGTTTTGACTGGCAAAAAGGTGCATTTATTTGTGTGTGGCATTACAACCAGCTTATACAAAAACAATTGCACTGGTTAAGTATATTTAAACTGCAAATGTTTATAACACTAACAATAATAACAACATAAACTAATATTCAGAAAGAAAAATCAACATATATTGAAAGGGAGATGAGTTAAAAATATAAATATAATAAATCCAGAGAAACATATTGTGTACCAAAGCAGTCATCTATGATATCCTATCTTTCTACACGATTTAGAAATTATAGGTCCATAGTACTACGTACAAAACCCTTGGGAAAAATGTGTTACATAATTTATAATATTTCATCTTTTAGAATGAAAATATGATACAAATACAGTCTCTTGGTATCCAGGGGTTCCAGGACCCTGAAAGGTACCAAAATACATGGATGCTTAAGTCTCTTATATAAAATGGCATAATATTTGCATATATCTGACACAAATCCTCTTATAAGCTTTAAATCATCTCTAGATTATTTATAATACTTAATACAACCTAATGCTATGTAAATAATTGTTATACTCTATTGTATAGGAATAATGACAAGAAAAAAGTTTGTACATGTACAGTACAGATGCAACCATTTTTTAAATTTTCTATTTTCCACCTGTAGCTGGTTAAATCCACAGTTGTGGAACACAGTTAAGAAGGGCCAACTGCAGTGCGTGTGAAATAACATTCCAATTTGTTTGAGATTGCATCATAATGCATTAGGAAAGATTTATTCCCAAGAGAACTTAGGTAAAATTAGCCTTGATTGTCAAATTAATTATAAATTTTGGTTCTGTTTTTAGAGCTTATGGGGTATTGGTATTGTAAATATCGGATTGTAGAGTTTGCTAACAATACATGCTCTTTCTTTTTTTCAATAATTTGGTAAACTATTTTACCTTATTTGTTTAAATAATGCATTTAGATTTGTTATCACTACGTAACCTTTTCTTTCCTGACTATTACAGAAATTGTGCTAGAAGTAGGTGCTCCCGGGCCGGGCGTGGTGCCTCACGCCTGTAATCCTAGCACTTTGGGAGGCCGAGGCGGGTGGATCACAAGGTCAGGAGATCGAGACCATCCTGGCTAACACGGTGAAACCCCGTCTCTACTAAAAATACAAAAAAAAAAAAAAAAAAAAAATTATCCAGGCATGGTAATGGGCGCCTGTAGTCCCAGCTACTCAGGAGACTGAGGCAGGAGAATGGCGTAAATCTGGGAGGCAGAGTTTGCAGTGAGTGGAGACCGCGCCACTGCACTCCAGCCTGGGTGACAGAGTGAGACTCTGTCTCAAAAAAAAAAAAAAAAAAAAAAAAAAAAAAGAAGTGGGTGCTTCCATGACAAACCAACAAACAAAACCATGAAGATTTTGGCCTAGTAGTCAATTGGAGATGTAGCAAAAAAATATGTCAGCTCATGTTATCCTGTGGTAATACAGTCATCTGCAATTACTTGCAAGGGAGGCCATTTGCCCCATGCAATTTTAGCTCCATAGAAAGAGGTTAAGAAGCAAAGCCTTTGTGTTTTGGGTTGATGACTAATGGCTGTGTTTGGCCATGTGTTAAAAGAAGCAGATGAGCTCTCTTTGGTACATGAAACAAAGTCAGAGATTTCATTTCTCCAGAGTTAAAAGAGCTAACTGCTTCTTGACCCCAAGCAGCAAAAGTAAGAATGAGAAAGCCTAAGGGACACATGTTCTGCAAAGGATCACAATAAGGGTGTGGTCTTCATTTAAAACCTTGACAGCTTTAACGTAGCCCGTCCCTTCAGGTTTAAGAGAAGCAGAGATGAAAAAAAGGTAAAGAAATGTAGCAGATCCAGGAACTATATCTGCAAAATAACTGGAAGTGGGGTTATTAGTAAAGGGCCATGATTAAAAAGAACCTCCCAGAAAGTAAAACTACTTCCAAGTGTTTTTGACTGTTAAATTAATTACAAATTTTGGTTAAATCCACTTCCAAGGTACTTTTCATGTACCTGTCACATAGGGTTTCAGGATGGCTACTAATAGTGACTTCGTATCTCCCATTTGTGTCCTTTACAAAGGGTTATGTTTGTTGTGGTTATTCTATTCCTCCAACATTAATATTGGTATTGGAGGCAAATAACTCATCTTTTAAACTTTGTATTCTAATCAACTTGCAGACCAATGGGAGCCATAACTGAAATTGATTAACATACTAGCCCACATCTCTCAACAAACTTGGCCTTTGCAGTTGATACAGTTATGGTACAGTTGGGTCATCTTTCCTAGGGAAGTGTGGAGTATGTTCTTTATGTGCAACAATGAGAGGAAAGGAATATTTGATATCATCATGGTGAAACAGAATGCCTACAAAGTATTATACTCTTTTATTGTTTTCTAGCTTTCTTGTTGTTATATGGTGCAACGTGTTAAGTTCTGAAAAATAAAGGGTGAATACAAGTAAAGGGCATCATTTACAGGCTGAGGCAGTAAAACAAAACAAAACAAAAACACATGTTACTGTCTCTTCCCAAGCTGTGAAAACCAGGAGGGCCTTATGTTCCAGGGCATGAAGTTAGAATATAGAGCCTCCATGATTCAAGATCCTGCAGAGCTCAACACTGATCCACTAAGGCATGTGATGTGAGAAAGAAATAAATTGTTTTAATCACCTAAGGGGTGTTTTGTTACTGCAGCAAAATGTAGCATCTCCTGAAAGTCACAAGAAATGTGACAGATGTTGATATACGATAGATAGATAGGTGATACATAGATAGATAGGAGACAGATTTCTGTTTGTTATGCTTTTCATGTCCTATAAGGAGTAAAACCTATATAGTAATTAATTCTTTTTTAATATACAGTAACATAAAGTTTTAGTTTTTAATATATTAAGAATCATTTCCAAACCTATTGACTGTTTATGCTTGTACAGAGAAGCAGCAGCATTTCTGGCTAAGGTCTAACGTTTGTATGGGCTCCAATATAAATAAACACAACATTCCTGGAAATTGAGAGTCTAGTTTTTAGGATGAGTTAAGTAATATATTGTGAACTACTAAAACTCATTGGAATGTAAAAATAACTGTATTTTCATTTTCGTTCTTTTTATTGTGCCCCAGTCTATGAAAGAATATGACTTTTTTAAAGTAATATATTTTTGGTAAATCGCTATTATAATGTTTGCACAATAGTGAAGTATTATTTTACTGAACATTTATTTGGAAGCTAAAAATATTGGTTCTACTCTAGATCAATCCCTCTGATAACAATTTCACTCGCTTTGCAATTTGCTATTTCAATTTAATATTGCCAGTGGTGTTAGACCTGCTATTACATTTATTGCCTAGATTACTACTAAAAATATTGTTGTGAGAAAGGAGTAATATTGCCATGATTTTATTATTGGAACACTTTTCTTATACACAATGCCAGGAGTCTGCAAAGCATCGGGCTCTCAGGCCATGCAGTATCATTTATATCTTTTATGACTGGCTCTCAGGGTTCTTCACAAAGGATAGTAATGGTGATTTTCAGAGCTATGGTCAGAGAAGCTCACCTCTACAGCAGATAGGATAAATATGATTCCTCAATTTTAATATGTGGTGGCATATTTCAGGGGAAAAATCACATGATAACTGTCAAAGTTTTGTTTCTCTGCCTCATGAAATTCCAAGACAATCTGTAGAAAAAAGCAAGATTATTGGGAGGATCTACAGCTGTTAAATATGAACTAACATATGATTTTCTCTTTATTATGTTAGGTGGTTTGAAAAATGAAACATTACATATTAAACTCTTAGGAATATCACAAATTCCTTTTTCTTTGATTAGGTAGCATACTATAAATACTATGAAATTGGTGCTGCATTTTATTATATTATTTCAATGCTATTATATATAAAACTACACAGGTATTTTTAAAATTAGCTACATATTATTACATTCTAAACAAAATATGTAAACTTCGAGTTTTGCCGTTTATACATATAGACAGGCTAATGTATACAATATCTCATATATATATCATATTTATGTGTTTATAATCCAATGTACATGTGTGTATGTGTGTACATGTATATGTGTGTATATATACGTATGGATCTATATACTCAGAAGAACTACATTTTTCAGTTTTATATTTTTTCTATCCATCCTTTCAATATTACTTTCCACAGAGAATAACTACATAGTGGAAAATAAGACACATTAATGACGAGGCAGAGTAGGTACCAACTTAGATGTTGGAGAAAATGTTATCACTTTGAAGCTAAGTTCCCTTGACAATAAAAGGGAGTCAATAGAGCAGAGCTACTCTTATTTACTTCATAGGACTGATGAGGATTTTAACTGAAGTAACATGTAAATTATAAAGTGACTTACAAGCATGAAAAGTGATTATTTTGTTATTCTTTGCAGCCGTACTTCTCAAAGTGTATCAGGAGAAATCTGCTGGTCCCTGAGATACTTTGAGGAAGTCCACAAGATCAAGCCTCTTATTATAATAAAATAGATATGTTGTTTCCTCCAATTTTTACTTTTATTCTCTAACAAGTGTACAGAGGACAGGTCTAGAATCTACATGGTGTGTAATACTGTGGAAAATTGAATACAGAAGCAGATATGAGAAGCCAGATGTTTTCTTTTATTCCAGACACTGAAGAGGTTTGCAAAATTTGAAACAATGCTAATCTCACAAAAAATTGGGGGGAAAATAGTTATATTCATAAAAATGTGTTATTTATGTGTATTTCATTCATAAAATATGTTACTTATATGAAATGGTTTACATTAATAAATACGTATTTAATATCATACATGCTTACAAAATATCTTCACAAACAAAAGCTCTTTGGAGTCTTCAATAATTTCTAAGAATGTAAAGGGTTCTTGAGATAAGCAATTTAGGAATTATTGCTTTAAAGACTTCCATTCTTGCTCTTTATTTCTCATTTTCAATGACAACTATCTGCATATAACAGCAATGAAGTGGTAGTGCCAGTGCTGCTTCAAGGGCGTGAGGAGATGAAGACCAATGTATCTCCCTTTCTCTTGACTTTTTCCTCATGGTTACAGTGTGGCTGCTCCAGCTTTGGGTCTGCATTTTACTCCAAAGGACACAGGAAAGCTCAATAAGGAATAAGGACAAGATCTAAATCATAAACTGAAAACATTAGCCATGAATATATCCCTTCCCCCACGTACAGATTCTTGCTTTTGTCTCATTGGCCAGATGGTTGCTATGTATACACCAGATGCTGCAAGTAGTTTTATATCTGGATCCATTGCTATCCACAACAGAATCAGTGTTCCGGTTGTAATGAGTGAAGAATGTGTGTAATAGAAAACTAGCCGCAGCTGCATTACTTGATTTGTTCATCTGTTTTTAAACAGGAAAATAAAATAACCAAAAGTATGATAGAAACAAGGGATTTTAAATGGGAATTAGTGCTCACATGAAGATGTAGAGAAGATGAAGGAAAGGAAGAAGGTAGAAAGAGAACTGAAGAAACATTCTTAATCCACTTAATCTCAAAGCCCTGTCATGAATAGAAAGCTTAGTTTGCAGACAGGTCCGAGAGGTTGCATGCATCTGGCCATTGTGAAGTTGAAACCTTGGGGAGGTATTTGGAAGCTGCTATTTCTGGGAATGCTGCCATTTCTATGGAAGCTGCTGTATCTGTTCGTGGGAGCCACCATATCACTGCATTTTGGGAAAGGCTATGTTCGATTGTCGTATGTTCAGTTATCATAAACTTCTGAGGATGATGGCTTCCACTTCCTGTCAGCCTTCCACGTCCCACATGACTTTCTGTCACTGATAAAGTCTAAACTGGAATTTCCCAAGGAGGAGGGTTTGGGGAGAAATGTACCAGCTTCAGACTAATGACAATGGTGCCAAGTTCATAATAAACAAGTTAGCACAGCTACCAATTATCTGTAAATTATTAATGCCACAATCTGAGATGTTTTAATTTGGGAATCAATAAACTAAACATGACCAATTAGCAGCATCACATGTAGTTTTTATTCAATAAAGTCCATTTTCTGACAAATTTAAGTAACATTATGAAAAATGTATGGGAGAGTATAACACATAGCACATTTGGTTAATTCAATCCGGAGGAAAAATGTCTTCAACAACTAAGAAATATGGTAAATAATTTATAAACATAACATGATAAAAATAAAGAGTATAATAGCTCTTATGTACATAAAAGCCAATATTTAAATATTTGAGGGAAAATTTAACTCATATATAAGGAGTTAGGCATTTATTTGTCACCCAAATCACTGATATTAACTTATTAAAAATTTAATCACATTGTTTTTATTTTTCATCTAGTAGGCAGTTCCACTATATGTAAAACTACTGCAAGAAAGAAAGACCTTTTTAAATTTATTTTTGATATAAGATCTTGCTCTGTCACCAAGTTGGAGTGCAGTGGTGCAATCATAGCTCACTGTAAACTCGAACTCCTAGGGATAGGCGATTCTCTCACCTCAGCCTCCTGAGTAGTTGGGACTACAGCCACAACTGGCTAATTAAAAAAAAAAAAAATTATAGAGTTGGGGTCTTACTATGCTTCGCCGGCTGGTCTCAAACTTCTGGTGTCAAGCAATTCTCCTGCCTTGGCCTCCCAAAGTGTTGGGATTACTGGCGTAAGCCACTGTGTGTGGCAAGAAGACAACATTTTTAAAAATCAGATTACAGCTGAATGTCATAGAGCAAAATAACTGACAGGTTTCCCATTCTTCCTAGTTATGTGTAGAGATACTCAATGTGGCTAGTGTATAATATATTTTATGCTTGTTCTTAACTTTCCTAATAGTTAAATAATATGTGAATTAGTGTTATTTTAATAATTATTATACATTTTCATTTAATATATGTAACACTTCAGTAGCAACATAATATGAAAGACAAATTATGGATGAAATTTCTTAATTTAAGTACTAATTCAACTTTTCTGTAGATCTTTATTCATAAGGAAATCACTAAACTTATTTGGCCTCCATTTACATTGACTGGTGAAAAGGAATAAAAACTAATGCAAAAATTAACAATTGGCCTACAAGAGGAGAGTAGTGGCAAGCAAGTGTTTCCTGTTTAAAAGAAAGGGTATTTTTCCTTGAAGGTATTATTACTTGCTCTTTAAAGGGTGTGAAGTGTTTTCCACCAATTCTCTCTCCATTAGATGTTGATCAACATACTGTTGGCTAGTTAGTACAAGTAAACAAGCAACCAAACAATCAAAAACAGCAATATGCTTGTGCATGTATGCTGATTTCTTTATGTCCAATAAAGAAACAGGGAACTATGGGTGGCATCTCGTCAACCACACTGACCGCTTAGGCCAGGGTAAAAATCCCTCCTCTGAGATTATCTCTCACCACCTTCACTTTAGCTCTGGATTCCTCATCTGCCAGTGGGTACATGGCTTCAATTGAGTTTCAGTCTCATAGGCAAATATTGCTTGTGTGTTCAGCAACTTTTCTCCAGGCATTACATAGCAGGCATCACACTTGGAAAAATTTACTCAACATATCTAAGTCATGGTTATTGTTTCAGTGCAGCAGACATTACAGCAATAACTAAGATAGAGAGTTAAGAGTGTTAAGGGCCTATAAAAATGCTTAAGACTTAAAAGGTACTGAATGTAAATTTTACTAATGTAGCCATGAATATGTACTACTAATTTTGCTTATAACTAATGATCACAGGTTATTGCAGGATATTTTGACTAGTAAGTCATCAAGCTGCAATTTACACACATTATAATTTTTCCACCTAAATTTCATTTGCCATTTTCTCATCCATAAGTTAAGAAATGTATCTACATTTTTATCTTGCAGTTTTGCTTTCAACCTGACTTCTCTTTATTCATATTAGTATTAAGTCTTAGAATTGTAAAACATATGTTATTTCAACTGTTTTTTACCCACTTGAGTCATTCGTGGTCATAAGATATAAAAAAATGGCTTCACGTTTTATATGACTAAGCTCTAACTGCTTTTCCACATGAACTAGTCTGTAGATGTTTATATTTAGGTTCAATCATTTCCTTCTGGAACTTGTTAATTGGTTACGACATTTAAGAAATATATACTTAATTCATAGTATATGTAATATGCTGTCTTAGGGCTTTGGAAAGGGAAAATACAAAGAAAAATAAAACATTGTTCTCACCCTCAGAGAAATATAAAATTCTTTCCTTTTATATTTCCTCAGGTCTATTATTTTCCTATTTTTTTTCTCTCATAGGTTGGTCTGTCAATAATCCTATAATTCAAATTCATTTCACACCACATCTCAACAAAACCAGACTGTCCTACCTCATGGTTATTATGAGATTGAATATGATAATATTTATGAAAAGTCTACCAAACAAAAGCACTCTTTAAGTGTAGGGAATAATAATTTTATTTTCCTGTCAACTCTACAAAAATTTATATTTATTAAGGCAGGAGCCTTACTTTTTTCAGACTTCGTTTGTTCTGGGCTTTAATTAATAACTGTGTCACTTTGAACAGCTTGCTGAAACTTGCTTAGGGAAATTTTCTCATCAGCAAAATGTAGATTATAATGGGACCCACCTCCTAGGACTGCTGTAAGGATTAAACGGGCTAATCCATGTAAAGTGCTGAGCACAGCACATATGGAAACACTAAATAAATTATAAAAGAAAAATAATAACTAACAGTTATTTATGACTAATTATATAAAAGACATTTTATTGTTTTCATAGTAATTATATAATTTCATCAACACAGAATTCCTGATAAAGTTGTCATTATTATAACAGTAATAATTATTATTACTGTGGTTTTAACACTCAAGTAGCACAGTGATTGGTACACAGTAGACATTCAACAAATATTTGTTAAAATCTTGTTGAACTACAAATTATAATTGCCCTTGAGGCCTCAGTTAGCTGTATCAGTCAGCATTCTTGTAAGAACAGCATCTGATTGCAGCAGAAAGGAATTTATTTAAAGACATCGGATTGGATAGTTCACAGAATCAACAAAAGGATTGGAGATGCTGGCTCAGATGCTATGCCAGAAACAAGCCTCAAATCACAATAGCAGAAGTAATCTCTTGAGGGCATCAAGGAGCAAAAGCATTGCAGCTGGCACATCTGCCACACCAATACAGATCACTGAAGTCATCATTATCAGTAATGTCACCAGAGAAAGCATTTTATGCAACTTCCAAGATTTGTACATCTTTCTTATTAAGGGGATATGAAGAAGCAGTTACTTGTTCTTCATTTTGAAGAGGATATCCAAATGTGCACAGAATCACCAGACTCTCAATATAAATAACGTTTATTTTCAGTCCTCATGCATACTTAAGGTATAGGCCAGAAGCTAGAATACCTGCTAGTCGTGTTTTTTTACATATTTCACATTTCATATTTTTCAGAGTATGTCATTAACAAAATATGTCCTGTGGCACAGTGAGATGATCTACGTCCTTGTAAAATAAATTGTAGCACAGATGCTGAGAAATTACTTAAACCCAGAATACAATGAGAATCTTTAACTCTTGTAACTGACATATGAAAGAAAAATTGTGCCTGATATTCTCTGTTTACAGTTATAGAGAAAACAATTTATGCCAGAGAGGAAGCATTATCCCCAGTGCCAAGAATCATGCCAATGGTAAAGCTACCACATCAGGAATAGCAGTTTTAATTAGAATGACTCTATGTTGAAGCTTTAGCCAACATTTTGAGTTAATTGGAGATGGAATATGAATACTCTCTTCACAATTTTCAAGTACTGCATGCATCCCAAATTCCTGGAATTGTGTCAAACATGAAAAACAAGCAATGTAACTCTAGATTTATACTTTAAGCAGAAACAGGAAGCTTCACTTTGTATTTTTGTCTTAATTGATCTTACTCCATAATAGCTTATGAAGTCAATGTTCTTCCATTACAATTTTTTACTCAAGTAATTGGAAACTAAACATCTTATGGGTTACAGTCTTTATTGGCCTAATGTGAAGAGCATATAGGAGAAATTGAATTTATTACCGGATTTTTATAAGACCACACTCTGATTTCCAGAATATTGTAGCATACCAGGGCCCCAGAAATTATCACTCACCATTCGAGTTGAATATTTGCCATACTTACTAACCTGTGATACAAGAGATGTGGTCTTTGAAATGATTCAGGAATGATTCAGGGCTGAGAATTTGATAAGACAACTTTCTTCTCATGATGACTCAAACCAGGCCTTTGTTGCCAGACCTATGTCTTGCTTTTTATATATATATATATATACAAATTAAATAGGACCTCAAGGCACTGGTCATGTATTTGTCAATGCGCATGATCTGATTAGTAAACTCTAAAATTTCTACAGGTTAAACATTTCTAAGTAGCACATTGAACTATCTGTGTATTACAATACCTATGTTCACTGTGACTCTGATGGCTAATAGTTGCTACTGGGCCTCAGTACAGAGGGTAATTATATATTCATTGAAGTCAGAGCTGAACTGATTTCACACCGATTTTCACTCTGATGTCCCTATCCTATAGACAAATGCCAATACAGCACTCGGAGATACTAGCATTCCTTTTACCCATGCATTTAATGCTTTTTCCTCCAATAAAAAATGAGCAAATTCTTGGTAGTCTGTTGGAAAATTATCCTTCCCTTTGAATATTTTTAATAAGCTCCCCTGGGGCATAATGGGCATAAGAATTGGCTTCACAGGGGTGGGAAAGCAAAAGTTTATGCTTTAGATTATTTTAAATCAATTCCAGTCATCCTACATATCTACCCTTCAGTTCCGAGGTTCCCATGCCTCTCCAATCACGGTTCTTTGTAACTTTAACATAACAGATCTGAAAGGAATTTAAATTCAATCCTGGGGTCAAAGCTTGTTTTGAAGCCCTACAGCTGCAAGAGGTGAAAGATTTATTTAGCACAGGCTTTGAAAGTCTCACATTCATTCTGTACTTTGAATGGGTAGGAATTGGGGCACTTTAAGCAAACCATCTCTATTAGTAGTAAACTCACCCACAGTCTTTGAATTTTTCATGCTCTTCATTCAATTATATGCAGGCATATAGGTCCAAATGCCATTTCTGCAACACACACTTCATTCTAGGTGGGCAGAGGTGGAATTTCTAATGTCAAAATTCTACCCTTAATGCTGTGTAGGTTTATAAAGCTTTTTGTCCCAGCCAGTAGGAAACAAACCACATATGCTCTCAATTTTCTTTGGAAGCTTTTACCAAACCACTTCTGGTATCTGTACCTGTATAAGCCCAGATTCTTTGATGTAAATAAGACAAACAGGCTCTAGCTCACTTAATCGGATAAATTCAGGGATTTTGGATGACACAACCAAAATCCAAAATCGGATAAAGGGATTCTGGATGGCACATCAAATCGCCAAGAAAAGTAGGGAAACCTACTCATGTGCTACACAGGAAACAGTAAAAAAAAATTTCATAGGCCCGGCGCGATGTCTCACGCATGTAATCCCAACACTTTGGGAGGCTGAGGCGGGCAGATCACCCGAGGTCAGGAGTTCAAGTCCAGCCTGGCCAACATGGTGAATCCCCGTCTCTACTAAAAATATAAAAAACTAGCCGGAAGTAGTGGTATGCGCCTGTAATCCCAGCTACTTGGGAGGCTGAGGGACGAGAGTCGCTTGAACCCTGGGGGTGGAGGTTGTAGTGAGCAGAAATCATCCCACTGGACTCCAGCCTGAGTGATAGAGTGAGACCCCATCTTAAAAAAAAGAAATGCATAAGACGTATTTAGTGAGGTCAACACTGCTAACTGCAATGAACAACACCATATGGAACTAACCAACTAACCATTACCATTACTGCTGCAAACATTATCTCCTGAGAAAATTTCTCTAGGCACTCTCTTTGTCTTTGCATTAACAACTTAAGATCAAAATCTGGGTGGTACACCTGTTTCTTCTAGTTTAAATGATACACCCAATCCCTCCGTAGTTGCAAGGACACTGGGAGAGTGAGGACCTGGGTTTTCCAGCTTCTAAGAGATAAGGCTGTATTTGAGTAATTTCTCAAACAGATGAATGGGGTCATAAACAGGGCAACCCAGTGAGGGACAGATTAATTGGCTTGATGTATTGAAATGCTTTAATATAAAACATGATGCATCTTTCAGAGAAAAATAAAATAGTGAGAAACAGCATACCTTATTTCTGGCAGCTACTAAGGAATTAGAATCTGTTTCTGATTTATACCCTTATGTACCCATCACTTTGTAGCCTCATAAAATTGTCCAGTTCACAAGCTATTGAACAGGCTTGCCATTTACTTTATGCAGCATTATAGTATTTTGTCAGTTTCCGTATAAACTCTATACCCATGGCTTATAGAATGGTTTGAATAGACTTACATTGATGTGTGGCTACTCAAAGTCATATCAGTGATTTACTGTAGATATTGGGAAATTTCAAAACCAATACAAATCATTGAAATAGTCCCTTAGAACCGTTAGGAGAAAAAAAGTTAGCAAAAGTAAAAAATCTACCAGTTCTACTAAGGGTTATAGCGAGGGTCAAAATTTGTGTATTAGTAGTGCTCCCTGGAGGAGCAGGTGCCATTTCAGCCCTTGGTAACTTTCTGCTATTCAGGACACTGTCTGGAATTTCTCTGTCTCAACTTTTCTTGCCGTGAGTCTTTCTTCTCACTCACATTCCCACTTCTTTCATATCTTGCCAATTTTGTATCTTACTGACTTAAAGCTAGTATTTCTGTAGTGTCGAGGTTTTTGATTAACTTATTTGCTAGAATTTTTTTTTTTTTTGCCACTGAAAATCAGAAGACAAAGGAACTCATATTCCAGGAAAATGTGGTTCTCAAGAAACAAGAAATAGCTTTATTAGAGGGTGTTCTGGTTGAGCAATAACATTGAAAACATAGTTTCATATTTATTTGTCAGCTTTGGAATTAGTACTTAGTATTGCGTCTAAACCAACTGTAGACTAAACAACAGCAAAACACACACACACACACACACACACACACACACACAAAAAAAAAAAAAAAAAACAGCCAATGAAACAGAGCATACTTGCTATGTGTTCATGTATGGAAAGCCCCAAAGTTTTGCATTTAGTGTGAGAAAGTAATACTTTTTTTTTTTAGTTTATTGCTTACAAAAAAATTGTGTTACTAGAATTTGTTATGAGCACTTATTATTTTCCAAGAAATCCTATGTTCACAAACATAAGTAGAAGAAATGGATTTAAAGTCATTGGATTGGTAATATAAAATCAGAAATGATCATTTTTTGTGTGTAAAAACAAATGTTTGCATGGATTCTTTATATATATATCAGACATATGTTTTTTTCTATTTCTCTTTTTATTTTATGTGCCCTGTGATCATCCTTTATGTATTTCGTTAGATATTATGTATTTTTCTATCATTGTACTGAAACTGTTGCTATGCTTTCATAATAAATTTATTATCCATATTGCATTGTCATTTCTACTGAAATACTTGAATTATACCAATATATACATTGATTTAAAAAAACACATACATAAAATGTGAGCCAGTAGAGTTTTACCTCATGTTAACAAGTAATTAAATAATGTCATTTTATTTAAATGTCTGAAGCCAGGCACTGTAGGTCATACCTGAAACTCCAGCGTTTTGGGTCGATGAGATGGGAGGATTGCTTGAGCCTGTACAATATGGTAAGACCCCATGTCTACAAAAAAAAAAAGAGATAAAAGATAAAATATTAGCTAGGCATGTAATCCTACCTGCTGGAGTGGACGAGGCCGGAGAATTGCGTGAGCCCAAGAGCTCAAGGTTACAATGAGCTATGATCATGCCACCCTACTTCAGCCTGGGCAATAGAGTGAAACCTTGTCTCTAAAAAATAATAAATAAAAAATCAATGTCTGAAACAGAAGATATGTACTTGGTGTATTGATAATTCTGTAGTATTGTGCTTATATTTTATATGTATTCACAATATTAATATAAATTGTAATATAATTAGCACAATAATATGAATTAATAACAATCATAAAAGCAAGCACAAGTTTCCTCTTTCAATACTCCCTATCCATAGTCCTGCTTACCAATGACAGCAGCTTCTGTTTTGAGTTATTTTAGTTGATTTATAACTCAAGAAATTACTTACAAATAATGAAAAACTGATTAATGTTTTACATAATTCAGGAAGTAAATTATATACCCTCAAAACTCTAGAAAACTTAGAATGCTTTAGAATATCTTTGAAAATATATTCTAAAGCAGTTCTGAATAGAGGTTCTGAACATTTGAAAGTACACAATTAACTGCATTGGTCAAAGTTTTTTTACGTTTATTAGTAAGGGCAAAAATTCCAATCGGGGGTATGTATCTGAGTCTGATTCTTTAACATCCCCAAAATTTTCAGTTCCCCACTCTCATCAGTTTAATTCAATTGCAAAGCATGGAAATAAATGCCAAAGACATAAATACATAAGATAATTTAATATAGTGGTGTTAATAAAACTTTTTGCTAACAGAGTTATGAAACCAAGTCTTACCTGTGTTTTGCATATAAAATTGCTCCAATAAAATCTGCATGAAGGATTACTGGGATAAATAATTGAATTAATATTTATAGCTATTAGTTTCAAAATTAGCTAATTGGTTATCAAGTGTTAACTAGATTTTCTATTGACGGAAAAAGGATAAAGGCACAACAAACCTTGTTTAACTATTTTCAAAATTACTCAATTTTTAATGGAGAAGTAGTAGTAGTCCAGAGAGTTAACATCATGCCTCATTATTCATCTATAATTTATTAGAAAGTTGTCACCCAGTCTAATTCTATTTATTTCCACAGAATTCATTAATATAATACATTTCACTACGTATTATTATTTGCTTCATGTGAAAAGTTTTAAGAAGACTGTGACTGACTATAAATTCCTGCCAGCTTAGATGATGTTTATTCCCATTATTATTGTTTTTGCAGTTGGTTACTTTGTTTCTCCATTGTCCTCAAAATTATGCCATGAAAAGTACTCACTTGATACATACTTAACACAGAGATATTTGTAGAATAAAATCTCTCTAATTACCAATATTTTAGATTAACTTTTTCTGGGTAATTTTTACATGGTATTGATTTGTTTTCTTTTACAGGCTTATTTATGTATCCCCAAAAGTAGGGCTGTTGTGTATTTTCCACTTTAAAAGCAAATAATACTTTATTTTTTACATAGCTTTGGTAATTCCTATAAGATAAAATGTTATCTGGCATCCCTAACAATTGTGTTTTATTTCTGTAGTTATGTAAATTGTTGATTTATATTATAATACTAATGCATCATTCAAATTTTATTTCTGTATTCTATAAATATAAATTTTACTAATTGCCAACAATAAAAGAAAAGATATCCACAGGAATATTTCCGGGGGTCTTCTAAGTAGAGTGAATTTCAGATACTGAAGATGTTAGTTTTAACATCTGAAAATATTGCACATCATTAGTCATTTTTTTAAATAAAAAGACAGGTTTATTCATATTTGTTGTCATAGATTGAAACATCTGTATGTACTGTGCACAACAGGTGTTCAGTAAATGTTTTGGGTGACAGTGGTGACTCTTAATGATTTCATAATGAAGTAATTATTCAAGTGTCATATTAAAACCCTATTTCTTAGAAATTACATACTGGCAATTTTCAGCTGCCATACATTGTTATACTCACTTTAGTTCAGTTAAAATGTATTTAAAGATACTCCTTATCTTCAATAAAATTTATGAATTTAAATCCCTTCCCAATACTATTATAACAAACAATGAACATAATTAAACTATGTATGCCTACAATACAATAAAGGATTTTCAAAACTATTCAAGTAAAGATGACAATGAAATGAGTAATTAGTTTTGAAGATAGTGGCATCTGCTATGTAAATAATCCAAGAAATGCTTTCCAATTTCCATGCATTAACTCTTTATTCAAAAGAGGGAATTTAACAAAAGACACAAATGGGACCAAATAAAATATAGGATATGATCAAATTGGAATTATAGGCGAGGCAGAGTGGCTCTACTCCTGTAATCCCAGCACTTTGGGAGGCAGAGATGGGGTTTCACCTTGTTGGTCAGCTAAAAAATTACAAAAAAGTAGCTGGGCCTGGTGGCACGCACTGTAATCACAGCTACTCGGGAGGCTGAGGCAGGAGAATTGCTTGGATGTGGAGGTTGCAGTGAACCGAGATGGCACCTTTGCACTCTAGCCTGGATAACGAGCAAAACCCCATCTCAAAAAAAAAAAAAATGCATCTATTATTTAAACTCTGCTTACTTAAAAAATGGTTTGAAGCATATTGGACAGATACGCCCTATAAAATGTTTTCTCTTTTCTTTTTTCTGTAAAAAGTACTGTTACCTTGCTTAGTTTTCCTTCTTTTTTCAGATAAAAGTCTATTCCTTCAATGCCGTAAAGATGCCAGAACTCTGTACTTATTTGATCTAGGAAAAATAAACCCAATGTTCATGAATATAATTCACTGTGAATTGTTAAAAAGTTGCATTTCCCAGCATTGATATTTCGTTAAAGGGAAGTCATACAATATATTTTTCCTTTTGTGTCTGGTTTATTTCACTGAGTGTAATATCTTAAAGGTCTGTCTATGCTGTAGCATGTGTCAGAACTTTATTCATTGTTATGGCTGAATAATATTCTATTGTATGTATATAATACATTTTGTATATGCTCATATTTGTTGATTAACCGTCTAGTTGTTTCCACCTTTAGAAAATTATTTCAACTATCTTTTGTGTTCAGATATTTATTAGCTCTTCTTTATTATTATTTATTTTAGTGTAGCATCAACTTTTATTCCTAATGTTGGTTAAACGAGACAGTTGAAAAGACAGCACAATTATTGACTCAAAAACAAAAGCCAATATTTCAGCTTTAAATTCTTTTCAGTATTTTTTTAGCATGTACTCATGTTTTAAATGGTTAGTCATAACAAATTAGAATATAGTCAGTTACAAAGAGGGTTAAAAATAAGATCGGTTATAATTAGGGTGCATAGTTTAATATTATAATTTTATATTTAAAATCTAAAATTTTATATTTAAAAAGGTTTTTGTTTTTCTTTAAAAACTGATACAATTATTTGGTTTTATATATTTTCTATTCTGATTTAATAAAAATTTCTGAAAAGGTTTTTAAATATACAAAGGATTATTAATACCATTGCCAAAAATGAAAGTCAGATTAATGATTATGTATTGAAGAAAGTTTACTGAAAGACGTTTAAAAGAAGCACACAGAAAAATTAAGTTAAACTTAAACTTTCTGCTTCAACTATTTGCTTTAGCACAAATTATTTTAGTTTTCTTCTTTCATGAAAGTTCTATTTTAAAGGGAACAGCAAAGAAGATAATTCTAAAGCATCTAAAAACCCCATCTTCTATTAATTTGCTACTCACAAATGAGGCACTGTATTTATTTGTTCTTAATTTGACATATATGTGTATATGTATTTGTTCTTAATATTGACATACGTGTTTGTGAAAAACAAAAAATAATTGTTTCATAATTAAAGTGTTGAATTTTGACATTTTTCAGATGAATTCAAGTTATTTATGAAAAGGCTACCTATGAATTATTTCCTCAACACATCTACTATAATGCATTTGTGGACAATGGATTCTAATTTTCAGCGCCGTTATGAACAACTGGAGAACAGCATGAAACAACTTTTCCTAAAGGCGCAGAAAATTGTACACAAGCTTTTTAGCCTTAGCAAGAGGTGTCATAAACAACCCCTCATCAGCCTGCCAAGACAAAGGTAAGACATTTGTGGTAATGTAAGCAATTAAGTTTATTGCCGAAAAAGTGAGTTCTATTTATTTTTCTGAATGCAGGTGTGTTAATATACAAATCATGATCTAATTTATACTATTAGAGATAATTTGAAAACAATATATTGTCTCAAATAATAAATTATAGTTATTTCTCAAAGTAATAGTACAATGAGAAAAATATATACTAGCACTTATTTCTTTTTTTCTTTTCTTATCAAAATGAAGAAATCATTCTAATTTATTATGTGTTGTAGCCAACTAATAATTGCATTACAGTGAGCAGAAAAGCACAAAGCCCTATGGTTACATTGTGAGCCTAGGAAACAAACAGGATGAGAAATTAAAATTCCTCAATACATAATTTTCAAATAAAATAATTCAAGATGTATTTTCTATAACCAGTGTATAGAAAACCACAAACCTAATTCTACAAAAACTTCTGAAAATTACTATGAAAGCTTCTAAAATTTAATAGGAATGATGACAACAATTAAATTATTTGTGTCTGAACTGACTTGGGGAAGCAGTGTTTGAATTTCCTGCTTTAGGATGTACTGACAAGTAAGTGTAATAAAAAGTTGTATTTATCTATTTGAGGTCAGTTCGAAAACAAAAAGCTACGGGAAAATATAGGACACTATCACAAGAAATATATATTTGTATCAGTATATCTTACATAAAATGTTTGAATTTTGACTTGGTGCTTAAATCATTAAGATGAGAACTCTGTGATTATAGATTTCTTTTGCTGGAAAAAAAACCCTGAAGGTTAGTACATAATTTTAAACATCCATTTAAAAAGAAAACATTGGATTGTTTTTGTTTGTTTGGTTGGTTTTACAATTTATTGGTGTCTAGTATAAAAAAAAAACTATGCAACCATCATAATCTAAGGTGAGGTCATTTTCATTGCCTCAAAAAGGAATGGATTACCAATTAGCAGTCACTCCTCATAAACCTTCACCCAGTCCAAGGCTGTTTCTCTCTATAAATTTGTCTAATCTACTATTTGTCTCTATAGATTTGCCTATTTTGGACATTTTCTGTAAATGGGATCGTACAATATATGGCCTTTTGTGACTAGCTTCTTTCACTTAGCAAACTGCTTTCAGGTTCTTCTATGTTGTAGCATCAGTAGTATGGGTATACCACATATTGTTTATTCGTTCATCACTTGATGAAGATTTGGCTTGTTGTACTTCTAAGCTATTATGAATAATGCTTCTATAAACATTCATGTACACTTTTTTATGTGGACATATGTTTCAATTTTCTTGGGTATATACCAAAGTGGAGAAATGCTGAGTCATGAGACAACTGTATTTAACATTTTGAGAAGCTACCAAACTGTTTTTCACAGTGGCTGCACCATTTTATATTTTCACCAGTCACAAATGACAACTCCAATCTCTCCACATTATCTTCAACACTTGTGATTTTGTATCAATTTGGTTATAGCCATCGAAGTGAATATGAAATAATATCTTTTGGTTTTGATTTAAATTTCCCTAATGACTAACAATATTGAACATCTTTTCATGTGCTTTGAACATCTTTTCATGTTCATTGTATATCTTTTATGGAAAAATGTCTATTCAAATCCTTCACAGATTTCAATATTTTTTTGAAAGTGGGCATTGAGTTGTAAGAGGACTTCATATGTTCTGATTGCAAGTTCCCTATCAGTTGTATGATATACAGATAATTAATTCTATTCTTTAAGGTGTCTTTTCAGTTTCCTAGGCAGTCCTTTCTCTTTTCTTTCTCTCTCTCTCTCTCTCTCCCCCTCCCTGTGGTCAGTTTAGCTAAAAGTTTTTCAACCTCATTTTCATTTTTCACTAACTTTTAGTTTTCTTGATAGTCCTTATTATTTTTTTCATTTTTAGTTTATTTTTCATACCAATTCTATTATTTTTTCCTCTTTGCTGTGTGTTTAATGTCATTTTCTTTTTCTGGTTTCTTGGAATAAAAACTTAAGTTATTAATTTGAGAATTTTCACCTTTTGGGAATAAAACATTCTTTTTAATTTTTCAACTTTTATTTTAGATTCAGGTGGTAAATGTACACATTTGTTTTATAGGTATATTGCATGATGCTGAGGTTTGAGGTATGATTGATCCCGTCACCCAGGTAGTGAGCATAGTACCCAGTGGTTTTCAATAATTGGCCCCCTCACTTTCTCTCCACTCTAATAGTCTCTAGTGTCTACTTTAGCATGTTTATGTCCATAAGTACCAAATGTTTAGTTCTTGTATTAGTCCATTTTTATGCTGCAGATAAAGACATATTTGAGACTGGGAAGAAAAAGAGGTTTAATGGACTTACAGTTCCACATGGCTGGTGGAGGCCTCACAATCATGGCAGAAGACAAGGAGGAGCAAGTCACATCTTACATGAATGGCAGCAGGCAAAGAGAGAACTTGTGCAGGGAAACTCCCATTTTTAAAACTATCAAATCTCATGAGACTTATTCACTATCACAAGAACAGCATGGGAAAGACCTGCCCCATGATTCAATTACCTCCCACGGGGTCCCTTCCACAACATGTGGTAATTCAAGATGAGATTTGGGTGGGAACACAGCCAAACTATATCAGTTCCCACTTATAAATAAGTACACACATTAATTGGCTTTCTATTCTTGCATTAACTCACTTAGGATAATGGCCTCAAGCTGCATTCATGTTACTGCAAAGGACGTGATTTTATTTTTTATGGCTATGTGGTATTCCATGGCATGTATGTACCATATTTTTTTATCCAGTCCACCATTGTTGGAAACCTAGGTTGATTCCTTGTTATTGCTTTCATCTTTTTAAATACAGTCATTCACATCAATAAAGCTTCCTCTAAGCACTGCTATAAATCATTATTTTATGCATCTCATAAGTTTTCTTATTTCCTCCACAAATAAGATATTTAATATGTCTTTTTGTGTACTCCCAGGGAACATTCCATGCCTGGAAAATGTGGCTGGGTGAAGATCTTGTTATTTGATTATAATGAGCCTTATGCTTTATATATGTAGGTTAAAAGCAATTTGAAAACCATGTAATACATTATTTTACCCAAAATAGAAAGTGCAAGAAGATGAGGTGAATTAGGAAGCAAATTGATGAGTCTGGTTATAAAGACATTGACTTTAGGGTTCTTTTTAACTAGTACATCTAGAGCTGGATATGTATGTCTGAAGCTCAGGGAAGATTTGGACAATCTCAGGGAATCCAATCTCAAGGAACGGCAATCATTGGTTCACAGGAATCCATGAAATCTGAATCCAGCTGACATTTGAACAACACGAGTTTGAACTGCGTGGGTCCAGTTATATGCAGATTTCTCCCAATCAAAAAGATTTTCACACAACCTTTTCCATCACCAAGTTCCTCATCCTCAACCTGGTGGATGAAAAATATAGTATTTATGGGATGCGAAACCCATGCATAAGGAGGGCTGATTTTTGTATCCTCAGATTCTGCAAGGCTTACTGTGGGTCTTGAGTATGTGTTAATTTTTTTTTTTAATATTGGGGGAATGGAGGAATTCCTGGAACCAATCCTCTTGGGATACTGAGGGAAGACTGTATTATCAGAAAGTGCAGATATATGTGAGGTGAGTGAAAAAACAGAAACTGCAATTGAGCAGATACTAGAGTAAAATATATCATGGAAGCCACATTAATTTCTAGTAAAAATAAATGAATTATAAGTTGACATACAAAAATGCTATACAAGTTCAAGTTTTGTAATGAAAATGTGGGAAGCTGAAATCCCAGTTCAAACTGGGAGCGTCCAACACAAATAAGTAGAATAAAATAGAAGTGTAATATTTGCATTAGAATTCAACATAGTAGAGATAAATCTTTGTTTTCCAAAACTTCTAAATTAAATAAGTCAAATATTGCCACAGAATTTTCTTGACTTCCTTTTTTTTAATTTAGCGTAATTCCTAAGTTGACTATTAGTCACCACACACACAAAAACAATGCAGACTTCTTGCTAGATAAATTTGTTTATTGAAGTTTGATATTTTCCATCCCCGTTTTTCTTTTACTGCCAATGTAACATTTTGTTTCTATCTCTCTTTTTTTCCATTTTAAAAGAATAATATGAAATGACATCAGGAAAACAAAAAAAAAATATGTACTGGATTCTAGGAGGGTAGAATATGGTAGAATGTAAACTGAACATTGGGTATTTGTAAGTTACATTTTCAGAAATTTTTGAAGAAGACTTAGATAAGCCATACCAGTAATTCGCTTTCATTACAAATTATATTTTTTTCTTGCCTTTATGGAATTGTTCTCAGTCATTCCCTTGAACTTTTCTCTCAATTTATGATCTGCTAAGATCTTGAAAAATAAGCAAAAACAAACAAGACCTTCAAAGTACATCTCCACCAATAAGATATTTTCACATTTCCTATATAATGACAGATAGATTAAAGTTACTCTGTATAGTGTATAGTTCTTCCTTTTCAATAAAGCTTGACATTCAGATTAATCTCACCATTTTTGCTCTGAGGAATTCATGCGACATAAAAATCATTTTTCTTACTTGAGTAAACTCTAAAGCCTGCGACAATTTGGTTTCCTTGAGGTAGTCAACTTTTGCTCCTATTCTAAAACTTTGCAGCTATGTAACAATGGCTTACTAATTTCATCACAAGATAGTGATTACAGCAATTGTATTGTCT
This sequence comes from Homo sapiens, assembly GCF_000001405.40. NCBI lineage: Eukaryota > Metazoa > Chordata > Mammalia > Primates > Hominidae > Homo > Homo sapiens. Next base: position 190,155,958 of record NC_000001.11, on the reverse strand, counting down.
GCTTCCACACTGCTATAAAGAACTACCTGAGACTTGGTAATTTCTAAAGAAAAGAGGCTTAATTGACTCACAGTTCTTCCTGGCTGGGGGGACTGCAGGAAACTTAGAATCATGGAATAAGGCAAAGGGGAAGCAAGACACATCTTGCATGGCACCCAGAGGAGAGAGAGAGAAAGGAAGCTAGGGGGGAAGTGCTATACTTTTAAAACATCAGATCTTGTGAGAACTTACTCACTCAGGAGAACAGCACAGGGGAAACTGCCCCTACAATTACCTCACACTAGGTCCCTCCCTAATGTGGGGATTATAATTCGAGGTGAGATTTGAGTAGGGGAACAGAGCCAAATTATGTCAGCAATTATTGAAAACTATCATAGTATAATTCCTAAAACGTAACTGAGCTATACTATGTTGTGCTGCCATTCACAGAGCAGCAAGGATCCATAGAAATACTACATTTAATGAAGTGTTGGTAAAAGTTTAGCAAACAACTCTTTAGGAAAAAGGAAAGCTTTGATGAACAATATTTAACAATTTTTGTTCACTACCACAGTCAATATCAATCTACCAATGTGATGTCACTGAACACAGAGTTGTGAATAGAAGTACACACTCAGATCTTCTGAGTCAGGACACACAGGCTGCAGCAAGCAATTAAAACAATTGAATATATTATTATTATGAAGTTATTCATATTTTATTAACAAAATAAAGTGAGATGTAATGGAATATTTTAATGCCACAGAGAAAAATGAGTTGAAGTCTACCTATTCATTATATAAGAGCTATGTCATGCACTCCTATATATGCTCTTTCAACTTATATATGAAAATCTTCCAAATGCTGACATATTTCAGTAGGCAATAACAAAAGAACTTATTATTAATATCATCATTGGACTCATGAGAAAAGCCTTTACATTTTAGAAAGCTGTCAGTCTTCTAGTGGCAGATACAAGTTCTGTATTGTTCACTTGAATGCTTTATTGTTATCATTGCCGTTAAATAAATCAGTTGTTTGTCCTGAAGCAACAGCCTCATTTTTTTAAGTTTTGATAACAGATCCACCAAGTGTCCAAGTCTGAATAACCATCATTTTTCTGTCAAACTATGTCAAGTAAAAATGGTTTTCCATGAAAAACGTGGCTACCTCAGCCTGCAACTAAAATAATGGCAAAAGTTATTTTCCTCAAATCAACTATTATAGTGCTATCTGCAGCATAAGTCCTTTATTCATGTGTCTTGTTTTGACATGCAGATTTATACTGAAGATTAAGATGCAGTAAACTTTCTTTTAAATGCTTCAAAATGAACATTCTTGAAAACATTTCTTTCTGTTTTACAAGTATGTATCAGTAAGGAATATATCCCCACTAGGAGAGCAGTTTGGTGGCACTAATTGGTTTGTAGTAAGCCTTCAGCAGTAGTTTACTCTCCATTGCTTTAGAACTGTCAGTGGAAGTGTCAAAACAATGCAAAAGAAAAATGTCTTATTTATTTCTATGAAAATAGTTTTGACTTTGTGCATCTTCTGATAGGATCTTGCCCTCTTTTCCCACCTACACCCAGGGCTATGTGGATCACTCTTTAGGATAGAGAATGCCTGAAATCAATTTCTTCTCCTCCTAAGTAGCTAATAGACAGAAGACAAACACTTCTTCCTTTGCATCTTCTCTTCCTTTACTAGTACAACCCTGAGTTTCATCTGAGCGCATGCTGCATCACACCTGTATACCTTCCTTGCACCTAAGGTGGATACATGTATATAAATGGGAGGAATGCATGAAACTCCTAAATTGGTTCTTAAGGGAAGAAGAATATGTGTCATCTTTTTTATCTCTTTCCCCTAGCTAAGATGAAAATGTGATGACTAGAACTAAAAATCATAACTGAAAAAACTTGTGAAGAACTGTAGAACCCAGCATCTTTGAGGCCACCATATAAGTCATGGATTGTTTATGTTGTACTGTTATTTGAGAGGAATAAAATTCCATTTTGTATAAGTTACTGTTATTTGAGTTATATTACTAGAGCCAAACTTGCATCCCAACAAATAAAAGTACCTTACAGAATGGCCTCCAAATTATTTCTTTACTTATTCATTTTGTTGAGACAGAGTCTTACACTGTTGCTCAGGCTGTTGTGATCATAGCTCACTGTGGCCTTGACATCCTGAGCTCAAGGGATCCTCCAACCTCAGTCTCCTGAGTAGCTGGGACTACAGGCATGAGCCACCATGGCTGACCCAAATTCTTTAATATTATAGAATCTATGATTTAGTTAAAAATTGCATTTATATATTAATGTGAGGGACTTTTGCTGAAAGCAATTTTATATGAAACTGTATGGAAATTAGGATATTAGTTTTTTCTTACACTTACATGTTATAAAATGATCTTTTATTATTTTATTTTTCTAGTTTCAGGCACTCCAGGATGACTCACAAGCACATACTCAGTAATAATGAAGCAGTAAATTTACAAACCCTTACATTTATGTATTAAATGTTGTTATTGAGAAATGGAAATATGAAGTACCCAGTGCATGAAAGGTGCTTAGATAAGTACTTTCCATTTCAAAAACAGAAAACCCCTTTTCTTGTGTGTAGGTATTTTCTAATACACTCATAAATTTTCTGCAAAATGTCTTTCATGTGTTTCATACTCAAAATAAAATTGGCCATAAAGATAATGGTCTAAATGCAAACAAACTGTTACTTAAGAAAGAATGTCTTAGTTGTCTGAATTCCGATTCAAGGGAGCCAAGATTAGCTTTTTGAGGACAACAGAAGAAGAAGGAAAAAAAATCGTGCATGTACCCCACTGTTCTTGATTGGGATAACTTCTAAATAAGTTTCAAAGTAGGGAAAATTGTCCTATCACTTATGCTACCTATTTTCATCTAATTCTTGATATAGCTTACATTTCAGCCACCATGGCTCTAAAATGGCCTTGGTTTTATTTTTGCCATAATATTTCTACTCTAACCTACTCATAAATCTTTTAATTATCTTTCACTTTATTATATCTTAGACAGTTGTGAGTTGAAATTAGTTTTTTAAACTCATTTATATGTATTATGTGTATGTATAAAAATTATTGGTACTCTTTATTATACTATTTGTCAGCCATGCCAGTCACTAATTTGGGCATTTTAGGCAGAGTACGACTATAATGATAAAATAAAATTAAAGTCTGTAGAAATATAGTGTTGTGCTTGCTTTTCTTCATCTTTTTCTCACGGATGAAAGATTAGGACATAGACTTCGGTACCTCAACATTTTGTCCAGTGAACTCTGTCTGCAGCCCACAGTGTACACAGGAAAGATGTCCAGACTCAACCCAATAGAGGCACTTTTTTTAGATAGCTGATTTTGACAATAATAACAGAGTCAAAAGGCTTTGCTTTTTTGGGGGGCGGGGGGGGGGTTGGGGGAGATTCTGTGGCGATATATATATATATATATATTTGTGCATGTATGTAATAGTTCAAAATGATCATCTCATTATATTTATAGAGAATCAGCATGTTGTTTTTTGGACCATATCAATTTCAATTTTTACAACAATGAGAAAGTGTAAACTCTGAGTCTGTCTGAGAAGGTAATGAATAATTATTTGCTTGAGATTGGTATCTAGCATGAAAGCTACTAGAAAGCAACTAAAGTGTTGAGATAATGACTGCCATGGTTGGTTAACAAAAAATATATTTAAAAAGGACCAAAAATATTCTATATCTATATATGAATTAATTTAAAAAGAATTAATTTTACTGACAACAATCTAAAATAATAAATTTATCTAAGATAATGTATTTTATCTCAAATAAATACATTCCTTTTTTAAAAGGGAGTGGTGGTTAAACAAAGTTGGAGATTCTTGAATACTACAGCCCTTTTTGGAAAGCTACAACACATGCATGCCAAATACTCCATAAAATTTTACAATTAGGAAATAAACATGATTAGACTAATTTAAACAAGGGATTTTCAGAATTAAATTTCTACTTCCTTAAATGCCTGTTAAATTGTCCAAGTATGTGCTTGGAGATCAGTGTCACGTCATCTTTTCTCCAGTTTTTTGATTTTAGGCTTGTCTTTTGTTGTAATGTAGTAACTTCAATCACAGTAAAATATTTGGCAATTACCTTGTGCTGAAAATTATTTTGGAAGACTCTTCTTTGCTCACCTCTTTAGTTGTCTTCTTTGTGCTGGGTATCAATCACTGGCAAACAATTACTTCATTACCTTCTCAAATGGACTCAGAGATTACACCACTATGTCCTTGTAAAATTCTAATTTGATAGGGCCAGCAAATAAAATGCTGATTCATTTACTAGGACATATTTTTGTCAGATTTCTTTCTTATAACCTTTATTTCTGAGATTTTCATCTCAATTTTTATTTTGGCTTATATAGAGAGAGTTACTTTAAGTGAGACTCTTCTTTTGATATTGATACATGAACTTACATATGAGAGAAAAATTTTATGGAGTACAAATTGATAAACTGATTATTTGCTGATATCACATTAACTGTCAATGGTTTGTAGATGAGCCACATAGTGTAAATCCATATAGATCCCAAGGTACTAATGTTTCTCCAGATCTTACAATGTTTTTGACCGTGAAATCTTTAGAATGGTTGTACTTTTGCTTTTTAAATATAATTAAGTTAGGGCTGAATCTCTAATAGGTCTCATCTATATTTGAATCACTTCTAAACAATTTTACTTGTTTTTGAATAAGTGGATGCCTTTTAAACTGCCAAATAAATAGGAATCTGAACATCATTTTTTCTTTTTTCTTTTTTTTTGAGACTGAGTCTTGCTCTGTCACCCAGGATGGAGTGCAGTGGCACTATCTCGGCTCACTGCAAACTCCACCTCCCAGGTTCAAGCGATTCTATGGCCTTACCCTGCCAAGTGGCTGATATTACACGCACACACCACACTCGACTATTTTTTTATATTTTTGGTAGAGACAGGGTTTCTATTCTGAGGATGTGGTGGTCTTGTTATCTCACAGTAGAATCCCATCTCGTATATCAGAATTATTTATCTTTATCTATGACCTTTCCTTTTAAACACTTCCCATTAAAATGTTGTGGCCAGGGATAGACACCATGATATTGGTGTCATCTGACTGAGATTAGACTAGTATTTTAAAATCTCTTATTCTTTAAAAATATAATCGTGCATGCATAAAAGAGGAATAACTCAAAGTGTTTTCTCAAAGTATGAGAATCTTTTTTGTCAGCTTCATACAAATAATATTGGAAGCATCAATGCATAAAAATGAAATTGGCTATTTCAAAATTGTCATTAGGTAAATATGTAGATGCTTGTCCTAAACTTCTCATTCTGAATGATAGTACTAATAAATAATAAGATGTCGTACTAAACACCAGAAATCAGGTAAATCTTACAAATGATATCATTTCTGAATCAAACTTGCTCAATGCAGTGGGGAAAACCTAATTTGAGTTGCTTTAATGATACATTTAATCTAATGACTAATTTGGTAACACCACTTAGATGCAGTACGCAATCTCTAATCTCAATACTATGTGTTAGAATCCTCATGCAGAGGACAAAATAGTCCCTATAAATAATCTTCCTCACCGCCTTTTAGCATCATTATTTTCTAACATGTATATGTATCTATGTATGTACACACACACACACACACACACATAGATATGCACATATATACCAACTCATTAAAATGGCATATGCACATATATACCAACTCATTAAAATGGCATATGACTGAAATCTGGAGTTCTTTTCCTTGAGCATTAAATTAAGACACTGTTTTCTAAAAGTGAAAATGGTTTTATAAATCAAGAGGGTGAAAACTACATATTATGAGATGCATACCAGCACAAATCCCTAACACTGAAAAAAAATGTGAAGCACTTCATTTTAGGCAGCCCACACAAGTTATAAAGTGAGTGAATACATTTCAAAAATCAATGCCAATTGAAATAAAAATCTCCTATCTCACAATCTAAATGCACTTCAGACAACAACAAATAGAACATCACAAAAGAACATTGATGTGACAAAAGAACACTCAAGAAAATGAAGGTCAGTTTGCTGTGGTGGTTGTATTAAGCTCAGCAGGAAGAATTCATGTAGGCTCCTCAAAGGAAATACAAAAGATCAAATCTCAGGTAGCACTTTGTATTGAACTGAAACAAAATTAGCTCATATAAGCAGGAAAGTTAGCCATAAACAAATATAAAACAATGTACATTAGTAATAATATAAGGAAATTCTACCAGGTCTCTCTCTCTCACATACACACACACACACACACACACACACACACAACTACTCAACAATATCCTAAGTGCACACTAACACGCACGCACTGAGACGTGTATACAAAAACGTACATGCTCCCTCAACAATATATTTAATACATAAGGAGAGCAATACCTGATTATGATCTAAATACATGATTTTTCTTTTATAACCTCATCTAAATTCCTGTTGAACTGAACAAAACTGTGTCACTACCTGAAATTATTAAATCATTCATCAATATGCAATAATATGGAGAGATATTTTGAAAGATAAACCGCAGAAAGTAAACAGGAATGAAGCTGAAGCTGACCAAATCACAATTCATCACATGTAAGTGAAATACCTATCTAAATAGCAGAAGAGACATGCAGTGGAATCCACCAATATCTCTTGATGAAGAGCCACCCACATAACGAGCTAAAAGAGATTATCCTGGAACTGACTCACTAGTGACAACTGTCATGTTTAACTAGTTATTAGCTAACATGTATTAAGTACAAACGTGTGTCAAACACTGTTCTAAATGCTTTACCATTTTTCATTTTTAACTTAATACAATGTTATAAGGTGGGTAGTAGTTTTACTTTAAATTCACAATTGAGGATTCTGAAGTTTTGATAATCTAAACAAATTAAGCAAGATTACTCAACTACTGGTGGCAGAGCTAGAGTCCAAACTCAGGCAATCTGGCTATAGAGGTCGTCGAGTTTTTCATTACTCTACCATGTTATTTCTCAGGTTTATCATGTTTGTTAAAGAAGGTGTCCTAGTTCTTCCCAATCTGTCATCATTGAAAAGTTTGAGAAAGTATTAAATTCATGCAAAAAACATTAAGTAATAGAATGGAAAAATAGGAAAACAAGAAAAAGTTTAGAAGATAAAAATATGATTACTAAATTTAAAACTAAAATACAGTAGACTGTTAAAAGAAGAGCATTAGTTTATTACAGTAAAACAAGCTAATGCAGTACTATAAATAAAGAATGAGGAGATAGAATTTATTTATTTATTTATTTATTTATTTATTTATTTATTTATTTATTTATTTATTTTGTGACAGAGTCTCAACTCTGTCGCCCTGGCTGTATACAGCGGCGCGATCTCAGCTCACTGCAAGCTCCACTTCCCAGGTTCACACCATTCTCCTGCCTCAGCCTCTCTAGTAGCTGGGACTACAGGCGCCCGCCACCACGCCCGGCTAGTTTTTTTTTGTATTTTTAGTAGAGATGGGGTTTCTCCGTGTTAGTCAGGATGGTTTCGATCTCCTGACCTCTTGATCCGCCGCCTCGGCCTCCCAAAGTGTTGGGATGACGCGTGAGCCACTGCACCCGGCAAGAATTTATTTTAAAAGTGAGGTTCATGAAGAGCATGGGTGAGAGTAAAAATATACAGCATGCATAATAGAATTTCCATAGAGAGAAGACTGATATTTCATTGAGAAGAGGCAATGAGAAAGAGAGAGAGAGCTTTTCTTGAAATTGGATGAAAAAAGACTCAGCACCAAGCAAAATATATAAAATAGAATTGTATTATGTAATGGTTCTAAGTTAATATCAATCATTTTTAGCTACTCCATTTCAGTTTTTCTTAGTTCATCAATTAGTTTAAATATTTGACGTATTTTAAAGCCTACTTATTGTGTGTATGGGCACAAAGGAAGAGAAAAAGTGTGCACAATAGCGTGCTCATCTTACATGTCTGGCTCCAAGTCAACAATTACAGCATTTGTCTATCATACATCCAGGCCTGTTTATTTCTAGATGGAAGTAACCTAAGGCAGACATGGCCACCGGCTCTTTCTGGACCACAGATTGGCTTCTCAGATTCCTATCTTTCTTCTCTCAGGGAGAACCAGAGGAACAAAGCAGTTTGTCAGGATGTCAAGTAGTACATGGTTATAAAAGCAAATATAGCAGTCCAATCTAACCATGAGAGGGAAACTGACTTCCAGCTTGTCTTTCCAAGACTGTGACAGCAAAAGAATTTTGTTTTGTTTTGTTTTCCTCACTGGAAAGGTAACCAAGTAAGAATGAAAACAATTTCTTTAATCTAAAACACTAATTGCAAGGTATGGTAGATTAACGCATGGTGTTTTGAGAGGAAAAAATATGACTGAAGAATTTTCTGCTTAGTGAATTGATATTTTATTTGAGAGGAAAACAAAAGGACTTTCATATATATAAAGTGTCTTTAGATATTATAAACTCTAGTTCTGAAAATGTTACTTATTAAACAAATTAATAGAATAATCAACTCAAGAAGGTATATAAACTTTATCCTGAAATAAATTATTCTTATTGGATAGTATAATTATGCCAAAGAAAAGATCGTCTTCTATTACTTATTGTTTATCCTTGTTTAGTAAGTTTGCCAGTAAATAAAACTTGAATCTACATAATTTGAAAATTAGAAAATACGCAATATTGATATTTACAATAAAATATGCTTGTTAGTTGTGGATGGCATGCATATTTACATGGAAAGCCCCATAGAATATAATTTTAAAAAACTGAAAAAATGTACTTAAAGAAATTTGCTAGCTACAGAATAAATAAAAATGAATAGCCTACCAATACGCAAACAAAACTCCTTAAGAAAATATAACAGAAAAGAATACATCCACAAGGATATCAAAATATGTAATATAAGAAAATAAATGTAATAAAAATCTTGTGGCAATTTAAGGGAAATTTTGAATACATGGAGAGCTTGCTCGTTTTCTGAATGGAAAAATAATTCTGTATGTATATATTTTATCCATTAATATTTTCCACTAAATTAATATTGCAATATAATACTAATTATCAATTTAATACAATATTAATTGAAATTTATGTGGGAAAACAAGTAAGCAAATATAGTAAATAATATTTTAAAAGAGGGATAATGATAGTAGACTAGGATTGCCAAATATTCAAATATTTTCTAAAGAAATAAAATAGTGTTCCAGAAGTGCTCTGGCTACACTGCTGAGTAGCCACTGAAAATTGCTTAATCTCTTTTGACTTCAGTTTCCTACCTATAATGAATACTTTCCTTACCAAATTATTATGAAAATGAATCTCTTTTATATGTGTAAAGTCTCAGCATTTATTAAAACTCAAACAATCTATTTGATAATGATGATGATAGTAATGGTGGTGATGATGATATAGTAATTAAAATAGTGAATATTTATATAACTATACAGTAATTGAAATAGTATGGAAAATGCTACAAAGTCTACAAATACACTCACGTGTATGTAGCAATTTGATTTATGAGTGTAACATTCAAGTGGGCTACAAAGGTATACAAGGAGAAGGTATACCAAGACACTCCTTTTAAGGTTATATTAATTCCCTGATGTTAAAAGTTTAACAAAGTCCAGATTAGGTCATTTATTTTATCATAATCTAATAAGGTTAAATATTTTAAGTGAACTTTTATGCTCTTTTAAAAAATTATTCCAATAGTTTTGGGGTACAGGTGGTTTCTGGTTACATGGATAAGTTCTTTATTGATGATTTCTGAGGGTTTAGAGCACTCATCACCTGAGCAGTGTACACTGTACCCAATGTGTGGTCTTTGATCCCTCACTCCCCTTTTAACTTTCCCTCCAAGTCCCCAAAGTCCATTATATCATTTTTATGCCTTTAAGTCCTTATAGCTTAACTCCCACTTATAAATGAGAACATATGATATTTGGTTTTTCCATTCCTGAGCAACTTCACTTAGAATAATGGCCTCGAGCTCCAACCAAGTTGCTGCAAAAGACATTATTCTATTCCTTTTTATGGTTGAGTAGTATTCCATGGTATGTGTGTATATATGTATGTATGTGAATGTATACATAATAACATTTTCTTTATTCACCCTTTGGTTGATGGGCAGTTAGGTTGGTTTCATATCTTTGCAGTTGCAAATTGTGATGCTATAAAAATGTGTATGCATGTGTCTTTTTCATATGATGACTTCTTTTCCTTTGGGTAGATACCCAGTAGTGGGATTGCTGGATTGAATGGTAGGTCTACTTTTTGTTCTTTAAGGAATCTCCATACTGGTTTCCACAGTGGTTGTACTAATTTACATTTAAGTGAAATTGTTGACATGCAATTTTTAAAAATGAAATTCTTCCCTGATTGGAAATTAAGAAACCCATTCCTACTTAATCCTTTGTTCAAAGAAAATTCAAAGGGAAATTTCAGACTCTAAAGAAAGCAGTTCAAAAGAGAACACTGCATAGTGCTATGAGAACACAGTGAATTCTAGACTCAAAATAAAGATCATAGTTACAAATGCCTTAATTGATAAAGAAGAAGGAATAAAAAATTAAATGGGATTTAGATGAATTCAGTAAAGTTGCATGACACAAAATCAACATACAAAAAGTTAAAGTTACTGAGAACTTGTAACCATTTTTTATTTCATTGGACAAATAAACATTTAATGTCATGTATGACACAGGACATACATCAGCCTGTGCAATTTTATAGAGAGAGAGATTATATATAATGTATATAAATAGCCTGGAAATTATGAGTTAATAATTTAGTGGGGTGAAAAAATAAAGTAAATGGGCAAATTATATATTATTTTTGAAGATTATCAGTATTATGGAAAAAATAAGCCAGAAAAGAAAAAAAGGACATGCCAGGGGTTAGGTATCTATGTGGTTGTCATTGTGTTTACAATTTTAAACAAGACTGTCTGCAAAGATATGAAGAAGGTGAGAATGCAGTATGCCATATGTATATCTGGAGAAGTGAATTACAGGCCGACTGAACAGCAGCATGTTCAAATTCCTGAGGTGCAGTGGGGCTTGGAGTGCTCCAGGAATCATGAGGAGCCCCTGTGGCTTCCCATGGAGAGTATAGTAATAGAAAACATAGTCAAAGAGTTATTGGGGATGACTGACAGATCATTGGGAAAAGTGATAAAATACCCATTTTGGAAAGTATGAAGATGAGATATGTTCATCGGTAAGATTTTTCTGACTTTAGAAGGTTAGAAATATTATTTAGGTTTTTTCCAGGCAACAAGAAACTATGGAAGCCAATCTTTTATAAAAATGATGTAACTTTAACAAAAATTATACAAAAATGGAAAAAAAGATGAATATACTTAGTTTTCTAATTTAATTATTAAAATATAAAGTATCTTAATGGAAATAAATGACCACCTAGAGGAAAGGCTACAGCACAATGGGTTGAAATTTCTGTAGGGTACTAACATCCCAGATGAGACTACACAGTTGATGATGCCATTGTCCATTAACAAGATTCCAGGGCTATCATGAATTCCCCTGCCCTAAACTTGGAGTCAGATACTTTCCCTGAACTTCCACTTTGTTTTAGGGCAGGTTAGAATTAGAGAATGAAATATGGATGCTATGGATGCCATTGTATTATTTTATATGAGCACTGGGGGAAGATACTAGCTATGAGCCAGTTTAGTGAAAGAGAGGAAATAAAAAGGGGGAGGGGGTTGCATTTCAAAAAGACATTAATTGATACTGAAATTTCCTGTAATTTTCTTGGCACATTTTGTGTCTCCTATGCCTGTACATTGTTTGGTGTTTCTGCAGCCTCTCTTAAAGAATCTTGTACAACAAATAGGGAGGATTTTCCCCTTAATACTCTCCTATGCATTTTCATGGACATCAATATCCAAACAAGCCAACCAGACATCATGCTCCTTGCATAAATTTGTGAGGAAATTAGATTAATGTTTTATTGATCATATTATTTGATAAAATTATAAATGGTCATGGCTATGCAATTCTCATAACTTTCAGATTACCAATCTGTCTAGGGATTCATAATTCTAAATTTTGTAGTTCAGTTAGCATTTGATAAAGGGATGTTACCTGGCCACCACCTTGAATTTGGCTAAAATGACTTAAAATAGTCATGGCATACCTCAGTACTGACATTCAGCTAGAGCCAGAACATAGCAGTGTAAGAGTTGATACCATTCTTATATGTTGGGTGTTCATTCTGATGGGCTGGTGTTCATGCAGTGCTAGTCATTAAATGTTTTTGGATTCAGCCCTTACTCATCTATAAAAATATACATTGCCTAGATAGAGGAATAACTCAGTTTTGGGGGTGTTGCTTGTTGAAGCATCCCTCTCAGAACATTCTATTATTATTTCCATATCCACAAAGGACTATTGGTCCTGCAGGTATGAGAATGGTCCCTCAATGTCCCTTAGGAAAAGGCTGTTTTCTATTTTTAACTGAAAGGCTTGACCTTTGAGTAGTTCCATTGGTGAGCTAGTTTCTCTTTGCATTCAGAAGCTGGGGAGAATTACATTTTCTGCATCTGTTTCCATGTTGTCTTCATGATTTTATTATTTGTCTTGGCCTAACCAAACTGAAGTGAGTGGACACATCTTCCGAAAGCCAGCAGTCTCCATGTGGTAGAGGTAATCTAACTTCAGTCTGAGTTTTGCTGTTCTCCATAAGCCAAAAATCTTTAGAAAGATAATCGGACAAGTATATAGGCTACTTGCATTTTATTTTCCTCCACTCCAAGCTGATGTATAGTTCTATGTTTTGTATATTTTAAAACATTTTAATTTTTTGATTGAAAACTTCTTGCAAATCATCTTTACTTTAAAGAAGGAAATTGGGTAGCTAGGCTCTCTTCTCCTATTTTCTTTCCTCAGATACCACAGAAAACTCAAGCCAAAATTCTAATATCTGGAAAAGGAAAAATAAAAACTACTTACGGCCTTTCAGGAAATTTTTTCAATAAAAGTTTTCCAGGCATAGTTTTAGTCTCTCCTTTTATCTCAGATCTCTTTAGTCCAGAAAGGCCAACTTTTTTTTTTTCCCTAAATAAAACATATTGCTGAAGCAAAAAGTGAGCTTTTTGATAATTAGATTAACTTGTCTCAGGCATACTTCAATTCCATATTTTTAATTTTTTTATTTGAAAGTTGTATTTTTTCAAGTATAAAAATATTTCTGATAGGTTATACTCTGAACACTATTAAAATGAAGACAAGTATGGTGTCAAACACTTATAGAAAAGAAAAAAAGAAAATTAAATTGTAAAAAATGAAGACAAAACCCCACTCAAATTAGTATCCAAGATAAACTATACCTTTGTACCTGGCATTTTCTGTAAAAACAGAGATCAATACACACGTATTAAAATAGAATTACTTAAAAAAATAGCATGAATCTTATCATTTCCAATGCCAGCGCAAAAGCAAAAACCTTTCTTTAACTCTGTTTTCAGCTCTAGCCATATCCAAATCCTTAGCAGTTTTCCACTTTCTGACTAGAATGAGATTTCCTTTCCACATAACTAATTATGATTAGTTATCATTTCAGGTGCTTCTTGACCTTTCATATATCAGGTTATGTAAAATGTTTCTTCAATTATGTTGTTCATTTTTATTGAGATGTTTGTATTCCCATTATTAGTTGAAAATAATTATTTACATATTCTGAGGCAAGCACTTTTTTTCTGACTTGTAAATGTGGCCAACCAGAATGTGGATTGCCATTAATAAAGTCTAATTCATCAATTATTTTCTTCTATAGGTAGAAAGGTTGAGTCCAAAGAAATTTTTGCCAATCACAACTTGAACAGATTTTCTCCCATATTTTCTTCTGGAAAAAAGAGTCTTTTTATTTTATATATGTTTTTTCTTTTCATGTTTACTTTTTACTTTTTAAACTTTTATTCATATTTTTCATAATCGATATCTTTTTTGATCCTCACATTAACTACTTGGGATGTACAAATCAGTCTTTATTATTTTATTTTACATATAGGAAAAATAATGAGGATTAAGGCTAGGCGTGGTGGCTCACACCTGTGATCCCAACACTTTTGGAGGCCGTGGCAGGCTGATCACAAGGTCAGGAGTTTGAGACCAGCCTGACCAACATGGTGAAATCCTGTCTCTCCTAAAAATACAAAAATTAGCCCAGCATGATGGCACACGCCTGTAACCCAGCTACTTAGGAGGCTGAGGCAGGAGAATTGCTTGAACCAGGAGGTGGAGGTTGCAGTGAGCGGAGATCGTGCCACTTCACACTAGCCTGGGTGACAGAGCAAGACTCTGTCTCAAAAAAAAAAAAAAAAAAAAAAAAGGAAAGAAAGAAAGAGAGAGAGAAAGAAAGAAAAAGAGAAAGAAAGAGGATTAAAATATTAAGTGATATTCTAAAGGTTATACAGTTATAAAATTGTGGTGTTAATTCTGGAATTGAGCCCCAGTCTAGTGCAGTGTCTTCTTGACTACACTGCAGACAAACAAACATCTCAATCAAGAATATGGATTTAAATTCCAGGCATAAAATTATCTTTACTACTGGGAAAATAACGAAGAGTTATAGCAATTTAGTATTGATGAAAAACAGGAGCTTCTTTTTACTAGCAGAACATCTATAAAATATATTATATTAATATCTTAATGGCAAAATTTCCACAAGAGATACAAATCAATTGACATTTGATATTTTCATTAGTAAAATAAATTAGGTACAGTCTGCAAGAGTATAACATTCAAATTAGAAAACCTATGAAAAACAGGCCTCATTTAAAGAAACATGGCATTAAAATGCTAAAGCCAAGGGATTCTTTCAAGAATATTTATAGGAGAGTCAGTGTATAATTCTGCACCTGTTGCTAAGAGGAGGTACAACTGGTCAAGTTCCTATTTGAATTAGCATCAAAGATTTTAAAAAATAGCCTCTCTGTTTGTAAGTTTTCCCGCTCTTGTGAATAGAGATTTGTCTTTTGCAAGGGAGGAGTGGCAGACTATCATTCTCTTCAGGCAGCACCTGTGAAATTTGGCAAACTTGAGTGTCTTAAGCTGCTGGCATGAATAGCTTTACACTATGTGGGTAAAGAGGCCACCAGTACTTTCTAATGAATGAATCCATGGAATGCTAATTTTGGTATCCTTGAATTATGTGACTAGTTCAATGTTTATGTGCTGTTTTGAAATACAGTTCATCTCACTAAATTTGAAAACAAATTCTACAGCTTTAATTTTAACATTTTATTAAAGTTTGTTTGATGTTGAGCAATGTCAAAATTAATTTATTTTTTATCCTAAAATTTATGGTTTTAGGAAATAAAATTAAACTGTATTAATATAAAAGTTTACTTTTATGCTTGCCATAAGATTAATAATTAATAGTAGGTTTATATGTGTAAATATAGTTCTGTGTGGCACATTTTCATACAGTGTGGTTAAGTAAACAGATATATCAGGTAAATTATGTTTTCATGGCAAATGAAGTCATTTAATAAACATATAATAATAATAGTATCACATATAATTGTAGATTTTGCATCTTCTTATCTTTCTATGAATCTTTATATTTAGACTAATAATACAAGTATATTTAAAAGGATAACCAAGATGGTTTTGAATGTTAGTGAAAAGTGTTTGTATAGATTCGCTTCAACATGAACAATATTTGCAAGAAATAAAGTTTAAGTGGAGAAATGCTTCTGGTAATGTTTCACAAAATAAAAAATACTCAAATTAAGTGCAGCTTAGCTGTTTTTTCCTAAAATATTTTTAACCTATTTCCACTATTTGCTATAGATGTTTTCAAAACCCAGTTGAAATATTATCTCCTTTCTTGAAAATTTTTCTTAACCCCTTTCTCTACAACAAAGTTAGAAATTGTCTTTTGGAATTCAATATTTCTCAATTTTGTCATATTACATTTTTATCGTATTTATTCGCTTACGTTTGTATTTTCCAATAGAAAGCAAGCCCTCAGAGACAAGGATTGTGGTTTACTCATGGGGTAGCCCCTTGACTTAACATAATGAGTATCCAAAACATGTTTACCATAGATATAATATTGGGCCTACAAACATGAGAAAGGTAACACTAAATGTTGCCTGGAGAAAACCTTAACTATGTAGATTTATGTCGTATGCTATATTGTCTCAAATCTGGCTTGACTGAACTCTGTATATCATTCAGCAATAAAGTCACATTTTTGCTCCTTTCCTACAGTGACTTGAAAATGTTTATTTACTATTTCCTTCAAGCCTCCCTGCCCACCTTTCCTTCTAATGTTCTTTATTAGCAGCAGACCTAGTATTTTTTCACACATAAAAATTAATAAAATAATTCATATTCAATATGATTTTGCAAGTCAGACACTCAAATGTCAGATGACAAAGATCATTTTTTTTCTTTTCTTTCTTTCTTTTTTTTTTTTTTTTTTTGAGACAGAGTCTCACTCTATCACCCAGGCTGGAGTGCAGTGGTGAGATCTTGTCTCACTGCAACCTTTGCTTCCCAGGTTCAAGTGATTCTCCCGCTTAAGCCTCCCAGGTAGCTGGGATTACAGGTACCTGCCACCATGCCTGGCTAATTTTTGTATTTTTAGTAGAGACAGAGGGGGTTTCACCATGTTGCCCAGGCTGGTCTCAAACCCCTAGGCTCAAGCGATCTGCCCGCCTAGGCCTTCCAAAGGCTGGGATTACAGGTGTGAGCCACGGCTCCGGGCCGATCATTTTTTTTTTTTCTATGATGCGGTCTTCTGACAGTGACCCATCTATTTTACCTAATGCAGAAATGGAATCTAAGCACTTTTAGGTATATTCTTTCTAAATCCAAAGTTCAACTCTGGTCTGTCATTTCATTGCATTCAGTTATAAAATTCCCTCTCAAGGCTTTTTCTCTCCTTTCTTGGGTTGATTCTAAACCCAGCATGGATTTTCTAAGCCCCACTATTGTGGAACTCCAGTTTTGTTTGCCTGTCCCTGCTGCCGCCATTGAGATGTATATGATCTGGACTCAGGCTCTGAAGGAGACAAAGCTACACAGGCTACTCAGCATCTTCCTCATTTTTGTACTAAGTCATTGAGGTCCTTTGTCCTTTCTTGGTCTGGACACAAAGAAGGACATGGCCATTCTACCAACCTTTCTGAGACCCACCTGTCTCTGTTGCTGGTATCTCTGCAAAGCTACACCCAGCCTCAGTTCTGCAACTCTGCAGGTGGACTGCTGGCTCCCTTTTGCCCTGATCCCCAAGTTTCACAGCGTTCAATTATTTCTCCCTCAAACCCCTGCCCACCACATATGCCACCTATACCAAGGCTCAACACAGAGGGCAAAGCACAAAAACTAACATCTGAGCTCTTTGGGTTTTCCTACGACTCTCTTGTCTGCAATGAGCTACCAAGTCATTTTCTGACTCATACCTGCTTTCTGATATTTCTTGTTTCATATCTGGAAGGTGATTTTAAACTGAGAACTGAATAATACAAGGATTTGTTTTTTTAACTTATGCAATAACTTCACCTCAAATCATGTGTAACTCATGTTTAGCAGTCTTCATTGAAATAAAGATTCTCATAACACTAATAAATAAATTTGTTGGGTTGCTGGGGATCTACCATTCAAAAACTAGGAAGTCTTGGCCAGGTGTGGTGGCTCACACCTGTAATCTCAGCACTTTGGGAGGCCAAGGTGGGCAGATCACCTGAGGTCGGGAGTTCAAGACCAGACTGACCAACATGGAGAAACCCCGTCTTTACTAAAAATACAAAATTAGCCAGGCGTGCTGGTACATGCCTGTAATCCCAGCTACTCAGGAGGCTGAGGCAGGAGAATCGCTTGAACCTGGGAGGCAGAGGTTGCGGTGAGCCGAGCTCATGCCATTGTACTCCAGCCTGGGCAAAAAGAGCAAAACTCCATCTAAAATACAAACAAAAAAAAAAAACTAGGAAGTCTTTTCATAATTTCTGTAAAGTCAGGTTGCATCATTTGTAGAATGGAAGATAAGACAGTTGTCATGGTTACAAGAATCAGCATATGTAAAGTATCTAAAATAATTTATATTTAATCAATATAATCAATATGTACTTTTTTCTTTATTCTCTTTTAGTTTCCTCTTTCTTACTTATCTAATATCATCCACTCTTTAAAACATTGAAGAATGGCTTTCACTCCAATATTACTATCTTCTTCCATCAGTCTTAAAATAATGACCATCTAATTGCCAGATCAAATGGCGTATCACTTCTTGTCAACCTGGAAATACTTAAAAACTGTACGGGTTTTGCTCTTTTTAAAAATTCTCTCTTTTCAGTTTCTATGATCTCACATCCTCCTGATGTGCTACTTCTGTAATCACACCATTATCATTCCAGACAATTCTTGTATTGTACTTCCTTCCCCTCCACCTCTTGTCTATAATGCGAAGCATTTTTTCAGGTTTTTTTTTTTTTTTTAAACTTTGGTTCCAAGTCTAGAATTCTCACCCGAGAGAATATTTGTATATCTAGTTGGGATATAGCTCCCTGCCTCCAGTCTCAGATCATTTCAATTTTTCCTTCACATGGCAATCAGAGTATTTCTTTTCCAAAAATAAAAACCGGATAAACTGGCATCCTTATTTGCTCTCTTTCATCTATAATTCTTCATAGCTCACAAAGAAAAAATTGTATTGCCTTGGGCCTTCAAAATTTTACTCCTGCCTTTTTTCCCCAAACCTCCTTCAGTGGAGTCTAGAGATTAAAAACAGAATGTTTTATTCGAAAAGAGTCATGTTCAAATCATGGTTCTTTCATTATTTATTGTCTCTTAATGAGCAAGACACATAGCTACACTATACCTTAGTTTATCTGTAAATTGGGGAACAGTGATACCTACTCATCCAGATATTGTGAGAACTTATAATAGATTAATTTGATTAATTACCATACCCCAGCTTTTAAATAAGCATTTTATATAAATATATATTTAATTTATTTGGGGTCAATTTAAATAAATGACTGGTTGAATTTCAAGTGTTTAATAAATATCTGTTATGTAGTAAGTGCTCAATAATTGGCAACCATGATTATCCCATATGCACTTCTCATAGCTCTTCTAGGTTTACATTTGCTTCCTATTAGTATTTTGGAAAAGTCTCTTCATATTTATTTATGAGTAAAAATTAAGGTAAGAATAATGGCTTCCCTCAAATTACAAGACTTATGCAGACTATATGAAAAATTTGAATTAGATGATGGAAAAAATAAAAATGTTTGCGTATGTTAAAATTGTAAGCTCATGGTAATTTAATTTTCAATGAAGAAAATAATAGCTGAAGCATTGTTTTAAGTTAAAAATTTGGACAAACAAGATTATTCAAAGAGGGAAGGCAGGGAAGAAGGTGAGCAGTATACTGGAATAATGTAAGCATTAGAGAAAAACTGCAATTAGTGCATAGCTAATGGGAATAGAAAAGAAGGAATCCATGTGATGAACTGAGTTCAGTTGTGGTGGCTAGGTACATAGCCTAAGAGGTAGTGATTTTGTTAAACAAAGATCCCCAGCAACCCAAATCAACCCAATCAATGTGTTAAACAATGGTTGTTAGATCTTTAAGTGCATTGCTAATTAAGTCAACATTTTTAAAACTCTAAGGATGTATTAATTATCTTTTTAAAACAAAATATAAAGAAAATTTTCAAAAAATGATAGCAATATATTATATTCTGGAGATTTTGAATATGAATACTCTCTTAATATGATTGTACTGTATTGGAATTTCTCTCATGAAATATTTTTTTATCTTTAACAAAATAGGAAACCAGGGCATGTGCCTCTTGTTATGGGGTGAATAGAAGACGTTTGCTACACAAATACACTCACACACCTTAGTCATAATTGTCTTATTATTTCTAGACTTAATTTTAAGTACATTTCATGGTAAGATAATTTTGTTCCACAAGAAGTTAGCTACTATAGTAATGTGTGCATTATTTTACATATTTGTGTCTTGGTATAGAGATAAGAGAGTTAGAGAAATATTCACAAATTTTAATAAAATAGGAAAAATGATATATGCTGTGCTGCATTCTGCCTTTTTACGTATGTTGTAGGCAACCTGCAATATTCAGATAATATGAAGAATATAAACTAATGCAGAAATAATTATTTATTAATTTATAATTTGTAATCTACCCCTTTACAAAATCATGATTCAAGATGACTACATGATGCTCAAGTTTAGCCTGGGGCTATTACCAGAAATCAGGGAGTCACATGCAAGTATCATTGGTAATTTTATTAAAAACAAACATATTTGTCATTGGCATGATTATTGTTATCTCCATGGAACATGAAATGTACACAATTATGATTTCTGGCTACTTCTACAATATTACTTTAATTTCCAAAAGTGGTTTCTGTTGCCCATTTGTATGCATACACACCAAAATTAAGTATAACCACTATATTAAAAATTATAACAAATTTCTAAATGCTTTGGAAAAGAAATGTCATCTCCACAATACTAAAGCTCATGAACTCCCAATTCTACTAACAAATGGAAGAAAATCCCCAAGCATAACTGAAACAGGGAATATTCCCAGAAACATTTCCATAAAAGAGCTTTTAACAATGTGTATACCATTAAAATCTTATTATTTAAAAATTCTATCATGGCAGCATTACTAGTTCTTGATTTTTATTGAGTATTTTTAACAGCATCTTGAAAGGATTAATTCCCATATGCATTTGTTATCACAAATGCAGTAATGCTTTGTGAAGATTCAACCAGGAGAATTCATCTAGGTTTCTTGGGAAGATTATCTTCAAGAAAGGTCAGAGTCTTATCAAGCCAGGCATTGGCAGACACTTCTGATGCTAATTGATGTATATACATTTACTATTCTAGATGCTAAAATCATCCTTAAATAACATGTGTACTTCAGCAGGTAACTAAATTTGTCACTAAACCTGTAGTAAAGAGGCACTGAGATACACCTCTCATCTGACTTTTCCCAGCCTCCTCTGGAGGTTTCTTGCCTTGTCCTAAAAGCTCATGTTCCAGCTCTGTAGGATCAGTGACACCAAATGTTGACACTTTATTATTACTCATATATTTAATGTTTGCGCATTATGCAAATTTAATATCCCTCCCAAAAGCATGGGTTAAAATGTAGGCTATCATTTTATAAATCAGATCATGCAATTTTATTTTTACCCATTTGCTCTGGAATAAAACTGAAGTCCCTCATCTAACCCACTTGGTTTGTATGACTCCTGCCTGTCTCTGGAGACTCTTTAGAATCTTTCAAATGCTACTGTTTCCATCACTGCTCAGAATAATTATATGTCTTCCTAAAAGTATAACTATAGCTGTAGCATCATAACTAGTCTTTGTCATTTCACTCCCGCCCTTCTTTTGAATTCATTCTCCACACAGCAGTTATGATGTTTATTTTGTAAAACCTATTTTTTTCTACCCTGATTTCCTTTTCACTAATGCTAAAATCTAAACCTGTTTCTTACGACTAACATAATCCTGCTTTGTCACTCTCAATGAACTCATGATGTTACAGCAACATTGATCTTTGTTATCCCTGTCTTGCCAAGCCGAGGCATCTGCACTCTACCTGGAACACATATCCTTTTGTACATCTTTGCACAGAGAACTAATTCTAATCATTTGGCTTTCAGTTGAAATATCACCTCCACGAAGAGGCTTTCCCAAGACTCCCTAACCACCGTAGACCTCATGTATTATTATGTATCATGTCACACCCTTAATCATTTCACAGCACTTAACGCTTTCTTAAAATTTTCCTGTTTATTTATTATTTCACTTATATATTGAGAATGAAAGCCCCAGTGGGACTATTTCTCTTTTTCGCTGTTGTATTTTAAATCCCCCAACACAAGAAATGTAGTAAGTGGTTTTGGGGTTTTTTGTTTGTTTTGCTTTTATATTTTGTTTTATGTGTCTGGTTTGACTTTTTCTTTTAACTTACATACAGAGATTTAAGTTACATTTCATAGTTACCATTTTCTTTCTAGGCCAGGACCCTGCCTCATTTTATGAATATATGTAGTTTGCCCTTTTAAATCCCTTATCCTGACTTCCATTCCCTTCCCCAAAAGACATACCCACCGTATTGGGCTTGATATATGTCCTTAAATATGGATGTACTATTGTAACATGTAATGATGTACAAGTATGCATATTCAATTTGTATTAAGTGTATTATGCATCATGTTTTTGCATTTTTACATTAAGTATGTTTTTAAGATGCATCCATTCTTATCTGCCTATATTGTTTGATGTTTAATTGCTGTAGAATATATATATTTTTAGCCTGCATCCATTATGCTTTTCATCCATCATACTTTTTTTAATCCATTCCCTCATGATGTGATTCCAAATTATCTATAACACCTCCCACTCTATACTATGCCACAGTAAATATGCTGCTGCATGTCCTGCCTCTGATTTGTGGGGATTCTTCTGTAATACATGCTCAGAAGTAAAATTCTTAAGTTATAATGCATATATTTATTTTCAGTAAGACAGTAGATGTTTGGTAAATATTTGTTAAATTAATCATTTAAAACCACATAATAAACTATTTTACATTATAATTGTATCCTATGGATGAGTATGAATTTCCCATAGATGCAGTGTTACAAGTTCTTAGAGAATACAAGTATAGTCTTACTATAATCTATAAAATGCTAGTTATCTATGGCTGCAAAACAAATTTCCCTAAAACTTAGAACATTTATTATCTCATAGTTTCTGGGGGTCAGGATTTGGGGAGTAGCTTAGTTAAGTATTCTCACTCAGGATCTCTCATGAAGTTGCAGTCCAGCTACCTGCCAGACTGCAGTCATATGTAGGCCTCACTGGGCCTGGGAGAGATTTACTTCCAAGATGGCTCACTAGCATGACTATTGGCAGGAGTTGTCAGATCCTTGACAGGTGGACTTGTCAAAGTGCTTTTTGAGTGTCCTTATGACGTGTTAGCTGGCTTCCTTCAAAGTTAGTGATCCAAAAGTTAGAGTGAGAAGGAAAACACAAAACCTTTTATGACTTATTCTCAGAAGTTACAGTCATTTTCATCAGTTGCTATCTGTGAGATGCAAATCTTTTCCACACTCAAGGAAAGGGTAATTAAGCCCCACTTCTTGATGGAAGGAATTTCAAAGAACTTGTGAACATATTTTAAATTCACCACAAAATCCAGAGGATAAAATGGAGTACAATATTGTGTAAGTTCTGAATAAATGCACATTCATTTATTATGTTATGTGTCTGATTCTGTAAACATTAAATGTCAACCTTGTGCTAAACATTTTCCTAAATAATATGAAGAATAGGATGAATATTTAACGTTTATGCTCTGAAGAAATTTACAATTGGATAAGAAAAAATATGATACAAACAGCTTAAAATGCAATTTGATAAAGATACATTGAAATGAGTTTTACTACAACCCAATATAATACAAATATCTAAGATAACACAGTCCTACATGATGTAATACAATACACTACGAAAATTGTAATGGCATAACATGAGGGCACTGTTAACATAAGTGAAATCAACCCAATTCTGTTTGGGAATAAAAGTTTCACAATGAAGTTATAATGTTAGGTAAGATTTAAAGAATGATTGATTAGGTAGTTTCTAGGTAAATTACCCATCTATAGGAGGCTATAGGCAGAAGAGTATGATATGCAAATCTACAGAATCATGAACATTGCAGATATGTTCAGGAATCTATAATTAAAGGTCATTGGCAAATTTGATACATAGGTCCTGAGTATTCCATACATTTTATACTAAAGAATATTATAAATTGATGCTTAGATTACAGACAATTGGCAAACTTTCATTTCAGTCAAGTCCTTTGCTTCTACACACTAGCCAGGATAGACAGTTTAAAACTTCGCTGCACATTTTGCATATGTTTTCTTATCCATCCTAACAGCCCTATGTTGTAGGTACTATTATATCCATATATTTCCAAAGTCACCATTGCAAATGACCAATACAGAATATTAAATCTGATAATGTCTGGTATCTGTTATAGTTTAGAGTTTCTAGCTCATAAATTCAAAGAAAAAGATGGAGTAAATGAAAATGCATTTGTAGATAGGAGCAAGATCATGGAGAGCTGGGTAAGTCCACAATGTGAATTAACTGTGGGCTGAATTGTTGGAGCAGGAGAATGATACTACCAGATTTACTTGTTAAATATTTCACAATGGTGATAGTATAAAATGTAGCTAAGAAAGGTTGAAATTAGAGGCAGGGGACATTAGACTACAGATGACAAAGTTTTTCACAGAAGACGGGCATAAATAAAAGATACATTGAGGAAATACAATAGACAGACCTTGTAGACTACAAGGATGTGTGAGAATGTGGGAGTCAGAAGCCTTTAGAAAAACATGAGTTTCTAACCTGGAATCTACATTGACAGAGATATTATGTACCATGTTAGGATAGCTGCAGTAGTGGAATAGAAATGGTTATCGTTATTATTACTATGTTGGGTTCTTGAAAATTATACATTACTGGTTAATCTCAACATTTTAACTCATGAATATCCACCCAGTGTCGATTACTGTCAAAACATCCTATATCCACTTAACTTTGAGTGAAGGCTTTGTACACAGCTTTTGGTAGCACGTTTTTGGAGTTAGCTTCCCTGTCCCCCCACCCCCCACCCCCCGCCACACACACATAACCTTTTACTGTCAAACAAGCAACCTAAACTCTCTTGGTCCTAGTTTCTTCATCTATAAAATGAGGATAATAATATCTATCTGAATCAGTTAGGGCAAGCTGATAGAACAAATAGACTCACAATGAGTAATGAATGAACACAATATGGATTTGCTTTTCCACGTTAAAAGAACCCAAGGTGATAGGGCATAGGGAGCAGGATTATACTGGTGTGAGAACTTGTACTTTAGCTGCAGATAATCGTTCAGGAATCCCGATGTATGGTGGCTTTTCATTTTTGATGAGTGGCTTCCAAGTTTACTTGGTACATTAGCATCTGGTCAGTAAAAGGGGCAGGGGCAGGAGTATGTGGGAAAGCACCGCCTGTTTTATAAGGGCCCAAATTAGTAGTTATCTCTGCCATTCATACTGACTGTGTGGTCAAGAACTTGTCACGTGGCTATACCTGGATGCAAAGCTGACTGAGAAACACAATCCCTGGCTGTACAGTCACTTCTTAGTGATAACTTCAAAATGTCATATGAATACTTACCGTTCTTTAGAAAATTAGGTAAGATAATGCATATGGCACTTTTAGAACAGGATCTAGAATATGAAAAGTGCTCAGCAAACATTAGGATAAGGGGAAGTGTGGTGGACAGGAGGCAGAAGGACTCTCTTCCTTGTTCTGCCCAGGACCTTCATAGTTAGCAAATTTTTCCACTCTTCAGATGATTAAAATAATGCTTAAGGTTAATGAAATCAGCGAAAAAGTTTTAAAGATATGAAATCTAGTTTATTCACTAATTATAAGAGTAAGTAAAAACATTTTTTGATAAAAGACTTAAATTGAGTAAAACAAAGCAGCAAACAAAAAACAGCATGAAGAGTTTGGCCCAAACGTAGACTCCTGATTTTTCAAAGAGCAGCATGAAGACAGGCCACAAGAAACAGAGGAGTTTTTGTTTATTTGTCAATTAATAAAAAGGAGGCATATAGTCAAACAGCTCAAAGATTTGGGTCAATTCTCTTATTTGCTCTTAAAACTTGCAAACTAGAGAGATAAGAAACACATCAAAAGTCAGACAAATTTTTTTGTAGAAGCCAAATTGATATCTGGACACGATGCTAGAATTTTTTCCTGAATATATAAGGTTCTACTAAATTATTTTGTCTCAACTGGCAAATTATTTATTTGTAAGCACAACTACGTAGAGATATGTATTCAGAAAGTCAGACTCCAGAATAGATATTTGAATCTTATAGGAATGTTAAATGTTGTCTAAAGAATGGATTCGTGTTCACCATGTTCTTGTAAAATGAGAATTGGCTGTCTTATCGATATATTTATCATGATTATTATTCTCTTATTCTGTCTTGATTTTAGAAGTACAGCATGCAAATAGCATTCTGTGTTAATCATTACAGTATATAGAATTGATATACACATTTCTCTAGAAATTGTCCTAAACTTTTGGGAGAAAATGCTAACGGAATAATAAAGACTGCTAACAAGGCAACTAAAAACAATCCTTTGTTTGCTAACATCATCTACAGTTTAAAAGTCCTCATCACATCAGTAACATTCTCATTCTTCACACTAAGCATGCTGCTCTAAACACAGATTGGCTTATTGTCCTTAGTGTTCAGAAACTGCACCTGTTCTTTTCTAATGGTATTTAAAAGAACAATGCTGTAATTATCTACTGCATGAATTACAAGTATCCCCAGAACTGGTAAATAATATAACACTACAAACTGAAATTATAATTCAATGCTTATTTGCATGTAGATGACCAAAAATGTCTCTCCATGCACTCTTAATCTAGTAGACAATAAAATTACTACCATGTCACTTTTAAAAGATAACTCTGTTTCTTTAAAATTACTGTCTGAGCTGAATACATTTTACAATTGGTTTACATAGAGGAAACTATTGGTAAGAGGAAAACGACTAAAAAAATAGGATTTGTTTATTAGCTTTCTCACTCTGATGTCCCTAATCTTGATCCTTTCTTAGATGACAATAACTGAGTGGTTTTGTGTAAATGGGATTATCAGATGATATCAAATATGATTTATTTATGCTTTGGAAAAGGAGATATGTATAAATAAAAACACAGTGAAAATTTTATTCTGACTGCTGTGTATATACATGGTAGACTTTGCAAATCAAATCAGAACTTTCAAGTATTTATTCTTATGAGATAATAATTGGACATATCTGTAAGATTTTAAAATTATTTTGTATGTTCTACTGTAGAACCGGTATTGGTATAAAGATCTTTTTTGATCTAGTGTAAGTCAAGCTTTGATAAATAAATTGAGTCAGGAAGAATTTTCAAAGCATTAGCTATATTTAAGATATGTTACATCCAATATCCCTTTTCATCACATATGTCAGACATTAGTTTGCATGATTTAATCTTTCTCTTGATTCTCTGCTACTTCGTGCATAGGTAAAGGCAATTCATCTTTTATGTGATAAACTGGTAAATCACAGCAAATATCAAATAGGAATTAATCCTGGAAGCATAATTTATTAACAAATAATGTGTATTGAGTGTGGAATTATATCTCATTCTACCATTTTTGTCAGATATTGGACAGACTTCTAAGAAATTAAATTCTAGATCAAGTTGATATTTAAGTTCTGTGAAACCAGTGGAGAATGATAACCTTTATTCATCAACCAACTCATGTCCATTTGATGTAGACATACATCATCAATTGTAAATCAATATATCACTGAGAAGCTAGCAAAAATAGTTTGTGGATGATAAAATTGAATTGTCAGTTAAATAACACATTGTAATTGTGTGATAAATATTTATATAACAAATTGATGAAGTTATGTAATTACAAAAAATGTAATTAAAAGTCATTTTAAAGTCTGGGAAAGTAGTCCTGGGACTTACTATATGATAAATCTTGCACATATATCATAGAATCTAAACCTTACCACAACCACATAAAGTGGTTATTTCTCCATTTATCTAGAGGAAGAATAACGAAGTTCAAAGAAGTAACTTATGAAATTCACATAATTATGAATAAGTATGAGATAGAAATGTTGACTGACTACTGGGGATCTTTGTATCCTCCTACCTGATTTTTCCAACTCCATTGTATTTAGATGGAGACATGATACTAATTACAGCCAATGAATTGAAAGCAGCATTGATATTACTTCTGGACCAAGAAATTTGACTCAATGAATCACTCTTTGTCTTTTCTTTCCCTATCCTATTGATCCTGGAATCCTCAAGTTGAAATAGTGAACTAGATTACACTGCTATAACATACAAATCCTAGGTTTTCAGCGATGTAACATGAAAAAAGTTCATCATTCACTCACTCTCCCAGTCCAAAAAAAATTAGAAAGGACTCAGTTTCTTGTAGTCACTCAGATAGCCAGGCTGATGGGTGGTCCATTTTGCCATATATACCCATAATTGCTAGGGCAGGAAATACAAACTGAAATGTGCAATCTTTACTAAGTCTTTCTTCCAGAAGTGACAACATTACTTTTATTTTGATTTCATTGTGAAGGGAATTTACTTGGCCACAGTGACGGTTAGTTTGATGTGTGAGCTTAGCTATGATATAGTACTTGTTTATTCAAATAGATAATTGTGGGTGTAACAAAAACTCATGTAACTTTTAGAAAGTCTGTATATTCAGAACTGTAAAAAGAAGAAAAGACAGGATGAAACCTAATTATATGTTGGTAGAACTGACATTTGATTAAATACCTTGAAAAACAACTGATCTTTTACAAAATGTTTTAAATAGGCCAATATGTTGTATTTTATATAAATGAATAACTATAAATACTTTAAAACACTTTAATATTTCAAATTATATTATTGACCACATTTATTTCTATTAGGTGTTTCTCACTTAGGCAGATTAATAAAGGATGTATTAACGTGCAGTTTCAAAGATAAAATTTGGAATAGCTGTTCAAATGTATAATCATCTCTTTAGTTCAGAAATAAAAATAAATTCAGATAAAAATATAAAATATATCAATTTAAATAACAGTTTATTAGAAAAGACTCATAATGCTGCATTACTAATTTATCTACAGTTATAATTTTATTCCATATTGTGTACAATGGTGAGACACAGTAACTATGATTCGTTCACTTAAGAAATAAATAAATACTGTTTGTGATCAAATTAAATATTTCATTTTTGTAAGAGTCACATTACCCTTTTAATGGTTGCATGAGTAATCATTGTTAAATATTTGCTTTCTTCACTGCTCTATCAGTCCAATGAAGGTAGAAACTATATCCATGTTTGAATTTGAAGAATCCCAGCACTCTTTCTCCTATGTAATGTACATTCAAAAAAACTGCAAGGAGAAAACAATCGACAATCAACAAATAAATGCATCAGATAATTCCTGATATTAAAATCTATGAAGGAAATAAGCAGGTTAACATGATAATGATTGACTGGGGAGGAGGGTGCCATTTTACATAGATAAATCTCCCTGAAGAGGCAAAATTTGAACAAAGACAATGAAAGATGTGGCCAGCTGGCCAATGTAGATCTGAGGAAAAGAAATAAATATCAAATGCAAAGACACTGAGCATCGTCAGTGAACTGGGAATTAACAGTGCTAATACTGAGGTGTCTTGCTTCAATTAACAATAAAAATAAGTAAATACACAATTATAATAACAGGGTGTAAGTCCTATGATACAGGTATTTTAACAGGATATACCTCTGGAATATCCAGAACAGCACAGAGGAAAGACAGTCAAAGCATACCATGGTGGAGGTCAAGTGGGAATGTGGAATGGATCTCTCTAGTATTGCAGATAGTTCTGCAAATTCAAGGTGAACATATGGGAAGTGCAGAGATACAATGTAATACCATTATTTATGTAGAAAAGCCAATGTTCTATGAAATAAACTGTTAAATTTACTTTTAATGATTTATTTTTTAAATTGTTCTTAGGTTGGAAGAATTTTTATCAGCATTTTGTCAAGCCAACTTGCATTTTTTATTCCAATTGTTTAAATATTTTGCACATAAAATTATCAATGAATGGAAACATCTAAATTCCTAGTCAAATCAATTCCAGTTAAATTAGGGTACATGTTAAGTTACTCTGAAGTAAAAGACTCAAATGGTAGCTTTCACAGGATACGAGTATTTTTCACACTTATGTTAGGAAGGCCTTTTATAGCTGGTATTCACAGTGTTAGAGGGCTAGTTTCCTTTTAGCTGTGGTTCTGTGTGACTACTGCAGCTATCACTACAGTAACTCCATTCCAGCAGCAGCGAAGGAGAAATGAAAAAGAGAGCCTGCTTCTTCCCTATGGAGGCATGCCTTAGAAGTTGAATATATCATATCAGTCACAATCCAGAGAGCAGAACTTACTCTTAAGTCACTATAGGTACCAAATGTTAGAAAATTTGGCCTTTGACTGACTGGCTATCTCTGTACTCAGCTAAAAAGTTTAT
Organism: Homo sapiens; assembly: GCF_000001405.40. Classification (NCBI taxonomy): domain Eukaryota; kingdom Metazoa; phylum Chordata; class Mammalia; order Primates; family Hominidae; genus Homo; species Homo sapiens. The sequence goes on along the minus strand of NC_000001.11, from coordinate 190,125,702 downwards.
TGCTATGCAAAGGAAGGAAGATGACTATTAACACACAAGTTATAGTCTCTGCTATATCCTCCCATTGTGATTTTAATTTTAAAGTGTTAGATTCATTTCTGGAAGTGTAGAAATTTCTTTAAGATAATCAAATGAACCATGCAGAAAATCAATTACATATTCTGAATAGCTATCTCAATCTCACTGCTTATTTCTTCATTATTATCAAAAAAGTTTGCATGTTAATAATTGTTGAAATAAAATGTACAACATATTCTTCAAGGAGAAAAAAATATGTTTTAAAGCATTGTAAAAGAGAAGAAAGATATATGGGCATATCTACACATTTTATTCAAAAAATAGTATGTATATATATAATATATGTGTATATATGTAATATGTATATATATAAACCTGTAAATATGCATATGTATTTTTATGCTACATATATAGGCATATATAGACATGTTCACTATTACCTCTTTAGAAAGTACTTGATGACAGAGCTCTTTACTCTGTTTTATTTTTTAATGCTTTAGAACAGCGTGACCTTTATTTGGTTGAAACTACCCTAGTTAGGCATTTGAATACTTACATTTGAGGCCTTGTTCTGCTACTAATTATCTGTGTGACCTTGGAAAATTATCCTTGTCAATCTGGTTTCAATTTCCTCATCTACCAAATGAAGGTGTTGGACAAGGTGATCTCCAAGGTCCTATCCTGCTTTAATTTCCATGATTCTCTGACTCATGGTACATTGCAAATGCTGATCTAATTAATTTTCTTAGTCACCTTCATGACACTCTGTGGAATATATTTTCTCATGAAGTCCAGAGGTTGATTTGTATCTGTAAAGATTTTAGGTAAATATAAACACTAATTTTTACTTCCATAAGTGGTGCAGAGTTGTTTATGAAAATGTATACTACTTGTATAGGACAACCACTCTTCTCCCTTCCCTGTTCTTTTTACATCAATTTTGCACATCTCTGCCCCTTCTGATAAGCTTTGATATGATTCAAAATATTTTACACCCACGGTGTTACATATGATGTTTTGTGTTCAAAACTATTTATTAAATACATAATATAAATAAATGAGTTTCCTAAAATAGTTATAAACTGTTTAACCTGAAATGATTTTTTAAAATACCATCAGGTATCACTGTTGTTATTTTTATTAATAAGTATTTGTTAAGCAGCTTCTACGCATTGTACATTGTGCTGGACTCTTAAGAATAAAAACATAAGTTATTGCCATCAGCTCTCAAAAGCTCAGGATCATTTAGGGATATAAGTTGTCTTAGTCTGTTTTGTGCTGCTATTAACAGAGTTCCACTGACCAGGTAATTTATAAATGAGAGAAATTTATTTCTCACCGGAAGCCATAAAGTCCAATATCAAGGTGCCACCATCTGGTGAGGGCCGCCTTGTTATGTCATTCCATAGCAGAACAGAAGAGGGTGAGAGAGCACTCACAGAAAGCAAGAGAGCAATAGGAGGACAAACTTATTTTCAAAGCAAACCCACTTTCTCAAGGATCAGACGACTCCTGTGATGACTGTATTAATCTGTTTACAAGGGCAGAGCCCTGTGGTCTAATCATCTCATCTCCCAACACTGTTGCACTGAAGATTAAGTTTCCAACTCATGTATGTTAGGAAACAAATTCAAATCATAGCATAAGGGCATATGCCATATATAAGTATAGAGATATTTCAAATGACTTCAGAATCACTAAGGAGTAGAAACTGAAGACAATTCAGATAATATACAGTTTGTCTATAAAATAAGGGAAGAACTCGGGCAAAGTTTGATGCAACTATCTAAATAGGGGAAATCATTTAAATGAAATTGTGAAAGTGAGCATATTTAGCTAACAATTAAAAGAGAGCGCTTACCAATGGACAGCAAAATACAGATTTCAGCATTCACAAAATCTAATTGTATGGGCTTTGAATAATTCACTGGAACTTTTGCAATGAAAAGTCTACATAGTTTTTCCTTTTGGCTGAATGATATGGTTATTCATTTAGGAAACAATTTAGAAAACAATCAATATTCTAATTAATAGCTTTAGCAGTATTATGAGTAGTATTAAGTAGTACTAATTGGTACTTGGTATAACTGGTATTAAGTACTATCTAAATATAAGTCATAGCAAGTATAACTTAATATAAGTTGTACTAAGTACTTACAGACATTGAAAATAATGAGACAATAAAATTTAGAACCTGAATGGATAGAAAGGAAGTCTCAAAAACTGTTCAGAATTCTGAGATTTTACCATACCGACGAGCTAACATTTTAGTGTATTGCTTTTCATAGATGTCAGCAGAAGACACAGACTCCTGAGTCAGAGACTGAAGTCGTTATTAGTAATGACAAAGCAAGCAGTATAAGCATCTGCATATTTGCCCCAGTTCCCTTTGCCTCCAGTTCACACAGGGTTATGTAAGTGGTCCAGGTGGATTCTTTACATGTGATGGGTTTTCATCACTGCTGAGAAACAGAGAGCCAAGAGTCCAATACTTTTTGAGCAAGCAACAAGTATTATCATAAGCAGTAAGTAAGCCAGTTCCCCTCCTCGAGGGGGGCGAACAATTATACAGGTGTCACCATCAGGCTATGTGACCAGCTACAGAGACTTCTCAGTTTGAGAAGACAGGTAAATCTTGAAGTCTGGCACACTCAAGAATAATGTGTTAGAAAGTTCAAGTCTGGTTGCAACTGTCTGTCCCAACAGAAGGATAATTCAAAAGTGATCCCAGTTTCCCTAGACTGTCTGCTATTGAGGGACATGACCTCAGATTCATGCATCTTTATAATCTCAGTAGCCGGCACAGACAAAACACTATCTATATCTATACCTATTTCTGTATTAGTTGCCTAAGTTTGCAGTAACAAATTACTGCAAACTGGATGGTTTAAAACAACAGATATTTATTCTTTCAAAGTTCTGAAAAATATAATTCTGAAATCAAGGTTTTTTTGTATTATACTTTAAGTTTTAGGGTACATGTGCACAACGTGCAGGTTTGTTACATATGTATACATGTGCCATGTTGGTGTACTGCACCCATTAACTGGTCATTTAACATTAGGTATATCTCCTAACGCTATCCCTCCCCCTCCCCCACCCCCACCCCACTTTACCCTCTGAAGGTTCTAGGGAGAAAGCCTTTCATGCCGGTGATTCCTGGTGTTCCTTGGCTTGTAGCTGCATTACTTCAATCTGCCTCTGATGTCAAATGGCTTTCTTCCCTCTATGTTTCTGTAATCTCCTATTCTTATAAGGGCTTGAATTTAGAGCCCAGCCTATTCTGATATGAACTTATCTAAGTTTAACCAATTATATCTGCAAAGACCCTATTTCCAAATAAGATGATGTCTGAGATTCTGAATGAACATGGATTTGGGGAGGACACTATTCAACCCAGTATAATATTTATATTCATATCTATCCAGTGAGTGTGTGAATGCATCAATACATGAATGTACAAATGAACAAATGTATGAATTCAAGGCTATGTAAGTGAGTTAAACAATGGATCCGATGGCAGAAAATGATACTAAAAAGAGAGAAGGATTCAATATTATACATACCAAATTAAAGTTGATGGTATATCTTACAAGTGGAGTTCTCACAGGCAGTTGGAATCATGTCAGTTGAAACATGTCACTTCACTGCTACTACCCTTGTAATATAATATTCTTCACAGTAATATTGCTCTATTATCCTCCTCCACTTATTCATATTACATTACATTCATTCTACAAGCCTCAGTTCATTTACCATCTCATTTGGTTATTTCAGTCCACACGATTTTTATTTTTTAAAATTCCTCTTGCATTTATTTACATACTCCTAATTTGCTTTTTTTCTATTTTACTTCATGTATTGATTCATTCCATATATTTGAGGTTCTAATGTAATAGGCAGTTAGAATTCATAAAGAATAGCTCTGCTTTCTTTTCTATTCCTCCCTTTTCCACTTTCCCCACACAATAGTATCTAAAATGATGCTGACAGATAATTAGAACTCAATAAGAACTTACTGCCTAAACTTTTATATTAATGCTTATGCAAGGTTTCCATATGGAAACTAATTTATATTTTTGTCTGTATTTTACACATTTCAAAATAGGAGAACCAAGGTAATAATATTTTTAGTGTTTATTTGTAGAAATATTATTTACTTCTGCAGTAAATACAAACATATCAATAGCACATTGTTAGCAAATTGATTTCATAAACATTTGATATCTGTTTTGATTTTTATCACTATGTAGTCTTTGTTTTAAGTTACCTTAATGTGTGCTGTTTTTCTTAATTGTACAATTATTGTTGGTTTGTGCTTTTAGTTCTATCATACTGTAATTTGTTTTTGTAAAATCAGTTTTGTTTTAATATCTAATATTAATATTTTATTTTTCATTCTCTTCATATCCCCAAATAATAAAACACATTTTGTTATACCGTACCAGTACAGTACAGTACAGTACAGTAGTGGCAGTCTGCTCTTAACCAAGTAAACTATAGCTCCGGCCGGTTTTGTGTTAGATTTAGTGGGAGGTTGCCTTTTAAAACTTTTCTGTTTTTCAGCTTTGCCAATATGCCTTATTTATTCATGATTTCATAGATAATTTTATTTTTTGGCATTTTCACTTTGGTTGACAACATGTTGTGCTATACCAAAAGATATCTTTCTTGTTTATATTTTCCCAAGTTTGATTTCAATTCTACATGATATGTCATAATTTAACTCACTGCCTTTTTTTGTTCTTAGTCTATAGACATAGATATGCCTATCTGTTGGCATTGTGAATGCTTAATTCAAATCGTATGTTTAAAAGATTCTCTCTTTAGTTTACAAACAAGCAGTTTTAGAAAAATTTTGCACTTAACAAAAAATAGGTTTGGGCCGGGTGCCGTGGCTCACACTTGTAATACCAGCACTTTGGGAGGCCGAGGCGGTGGATCACGAGGTCAGGAGTTCAAGACCAGCCTGGCCAAGATGTTGAAATTCCGTCTTTACTAAAAATACAAAAAAAAAAAAAAATTAGCCGGGCGTGGTGGCTGGTGCCTGTAATCCCAGCTACTCAGGAGGCTAAGGCAGAGAATTGCTTGAACCCGGGAGGCGGAGGTGGCAGTGAGCCAAGATTGCACCACTGCACTCTAGCCTGGGCAACAGAGTGAGACACAATCTCAAAAAAATAAATTAATTAAAATTAAATAAATAAATTAAAAAGTAGGTTTGTAAAATTGTATTTAAATGCTTGACATTATAAGAAAACAGTAGTTATATGACAATATTAATGTGTCATAATCAATGAACCTGCTGTTTTCTTGTTTTATATGTTGTATTTTCTAATACACATATTTAATACAACAAATTATTTTCTAGTCCATTTTCATGGAATAGTAAAATTTTATTATGAAGTACTTTACTGTGAATTGGCTGCAATGAGATAAGGTTGTAACAGAGAAAAATTAGTGCTGAAGGGGAATAAGAAAAACCTGGGATTTTCAGAATTCTACATTCTTTGAATTCAGAATCACTAGCTGCTAATGACTAGCCTTTGGATTTTTTCAAATATGTCTTTCAGAATGCCCATAGAAAGTAGTTAACCTCTTCTTCTGCAAAAGAGAAAATAAATTAAAAAGTAAAAACAATGCTCGTCTAGCAGTTTGAAGGAAACAGAGAAGTACCATATCTACTTGCTAGATGTGATGGACTCAACTACTTACTTTACTGAAAAAGAGTTAAGCTAACAAACAGCTGCTCTTCGAGGATCTGTAGATGCTGAGTATGGCTCTGGCCACACCCCTGTGAGGAGTAGCCTGCAGTCCCCAGTGGGAGTACACCAGCAGCACAACAGTTCTCCATGTTAGATGATGCTTATTTCAGAATCTGGGACTCCCAGCTTAAGGATTTTACAACACAAAAAGATACATGGAAGGCATTAATCAACCAAAATACAATTACATCTCATCATTGTTGCCTTTCCTGTTCCTCATGATTTTTCTGAATAAAATGCCTTAACAGTTCACTAAAAATTTGTCTGAAATATAAACACCTGCACTCAGTATAAGTGAAACTTATTGACAATAGGTGATTAAAAAAGTAAAAAGAGGGCTGGGCACGGTAGCTCACATAAGGCACTCCAATTCATTCATCCCAGCACTTTGGGAGGCTGAAGAGGGAGGATCACAAGGTCAGACTTTCAAGACCCCCCGACCAAAATGGTGAAACCCCATCTCTACTAAAAATAGAAAAATTAGCCGGGCATGGTGGCATGTGCCTGTAATCCCAGCTTTCAGGAGGCTGAGGCAGGAGAATAATTTGAACCCAGGAGGCAGAGTTTGCAGTGAGCCGAGATCGTGCCACTGCACTCCAGCCTGGAGACAGCGTGAGACTCCATCTCAAAATAATAATAATAATAATAAAATAAAAATAAAATGAAAAATAAAACAGATGGAAAAAATCTTTCATGTAATGTAATGTTTTAAAGATTTGGAAACTATTAAGAAGTCATGATATGAAAAAGAAATGGATGTTTTTATATTAATTCTGATAATAAAAGTACAGAATTGAATGCAATCTTTTTATTTAGGTGCTAATCAGATAATCGGAAAAATATAAATAGCAATTATCCTTTGCTTCCCTTATTATCTAGACAGACTTTAAAAGTTTATATTTTAACTGTTATTATTAATGTAGGAACATAACTTTTCCCACAATTGAGCAAACCAGGAAGAACATAAAATGGCCTGATGAGAGAAATGGAATGGATGACTATGGCTAAAATTAAAAATTCTCAGCTCCATAAATGTTCCTCGAATGAATTACTAAACGAATGAATAATTTAGGTTTTCTCTATTTCCCTATTGAAAAACAAAAAGTCTTTTTCCCTCAGTACCGCTTACCACTTTCATGTATATATGGATCTTTTACAATTGATTGATGTTTTAATTGCCTGAAGGAAATACCATTACCTTTATTATGCCTTTAAGAAGAAGCTGGTTTTGTGGAAAGGCAGTCTTAAGTAGCACAGAAGAGTACCATATTGCCCTTCAAATCCCAGCTCAGCCATTTCAATGTTCATGTTAAAGTTACTTTGCTCCAGGCTGTGATTCACTTTTCTGTGAAATGAAGACATTAGTACTTATCTCCTAGGTTCATGGTGAGTTCCACGTGAGTTAATAAAGGCGAGACGTGAGTTAATAAAGGCGAGATGTTTAGAAAAGTATCTGGAACATAGTAGGCACTTGATAATTATTAGCCATTCTGGTAAAAGTAAGTCCTTATGAAACATTTATTTATTAAAAATTAAAGTATAAGCACCAGTCAATAAGTCAATATCATTATCTATACAGTAAAGATTTTAAGAGTAAAAATTAAAGGGAACATCTTTAATTTATAGTTATGCTGGGACTATAAACAAAGACTTTCTATTATAATAGGCACTACTGCTACCATATTTTCTTACCTCTATTTAAAATGCAGACTATTTTTTGATAAATATTTTTAGAGAATCACAGAGCTTTATTTGAAATCAGAGTTGTTTATATTGTGTGTGTGTGTGTGTATGATTTGGGAACAGAATATTAATTTAAGACTAAAACATAGTGGATTCAGCATCATTTATGAGATTTATTTGTACCCTTTGCCCAAAAACATAATGCATTTGGTTCTAACCAAACCTTTGGTGACAACTTCTGCTGTGCATGTTATTAATTAAGGAGGTAAGAACAAGTTAAATGATACCACATGGAATACATCATCGAATCCAAAATGTGAGCTATTTTATAAAACTGATCTGCTTTCTACAAAAAGTCAATGGCATGAGGAGAAAAAAGAAACGACTGAAAAAGACTTAAGTGATGTAACTACATGATGAAATGAGCAGAATCTTGTTGAATCCTAATTTTTAAGAATTAAAAAATTATTTTTAGATTATCAGGGTAATTTGAATATGCCCAGGTGTTAGTTCTTGTCAATAAATTACAGCTGGTTTTGTTATGTGATAATGACATTTGTGATTCTGTAAGTTAATATCCTTTTAATTTTTAAAATTTGAGGATATACACTGAATTGCACACCAAATATTTAAAGGTGAAATTACTTGAGATCTGGGAGATGCTTTAAAACATTCTAAAACACCTGCTTCCCCAACCTAACAAAAAAATGGGAATTGGTAGATAAAACATATAAAACAATATTTGAGTAATGTTTGAGGCTAGCTAAAAAATACCTGGGTCCTCAAGTAGAATCTCTACTGTTTGTGTATGTTTGAAATTTTCATAATAAATAGTGATTTAAAATAATAGTTAAAAATAATGAAGATTGAATATAGGCTCCTTAATATTAGCCATTGTGTCTTTTCAGGTTTTCAACAATTATTTATAGAGTAGGAAGTTAATAAATACTTATAAATCTTATGTATTGTTATGTGCACATTTCTGTTTATACTGACACAAGCTTCTTATAGAAAGTTAACTTAATGTTGAAAGATTGATACTACAACCATAAAGCCTTTAACAAGATGCTTCTTCTTAATTGATTGTAAATAACAATGAGACATTCTCTCTAACAAGAAACAATTGCATTACAAAAGGATTTACACTTTTAGTTCTATATTCTGCAAAGGCATTATGCTGAGAAGGTCAACTATGTTTTGTATGAAGGAGGAGATTAAATAGCAAAAGTAGCAGCAATTACTCCCTTTTCACCAACTGTAACTTGATTTAAACAAGTCATAAGCTTTTTAAGTTGAGAATAACTGTAAGGAAATGATGTCCTTATATCCAAAGCCCTGTATTTGACAGTGATGTAAAAAAATTGAATTTGTTTTGTATACAGAAATTCTAAGTCACATAAGGCACTCAAATTCATTAAGCAAAAGAGAACATGATAGAATCAAAAATATTTCACAGGCAAATAGTTAAATACTTCTGTGGCTTTAATTCTTTCTTCAATTTATCTTCAGGTAACTATTCCATAAATAAAAATTTATATTTCCCTCACTTGATTTTGGATCAGAAAATCTATTAGGAAAAGTAATGCAAATGTGTTCTTTTGAAATTGTGTTTAGTCCCTTTAGATTGTTATGTTTACACCAACCACTGATATTGGAAGAACATTTGAGGACATGTTACCCCAGGGTGGAGAGCCAGTTACATAGTAGTTATGCTACTTTGAATTTAATTTTACAAACAAATAACAGAAAGGACAGCAGGTGTTTTTGTCTAACACCATTGGTTATGATTAGAGATATTACGAAACTATGAAAATTAATGTTGACATACCACTTTGAAAGCTAATTTTCTTGTGTGTGACATGCCATAGCATATCTAAAGTATGTGTATTCCCACTTGCCGGAATAACACATTATTTGTTAGAGCCGTTAGTTCTAAAAGCAGATGTTGTCTACTTCAATCAATTTTCAGCTCTTAATGGTAGATTTTAACCACATTTGTGAAAGGCAGATACTTTCAATTAGTATTTTTCAGGAATTACATGACATTTATTTTGAGGAGAAATTTAAGGCTGCCAGAATCTATTGTAGCATAGGATTATCTGGATAAAAAATATCAAGTATAGACAGTATTGTACGCAGCTTTAGGAAACAACTTCATTTTTCCTCTGATTTTACACTACACAGGAGATGATGAATGTGTCTATCGTAAGTGATATGGAATAAAAATAGGAATAGAGTGAATGAATTAGCAAAGTTAATATGCACAATATAACTCTCCCAACGACTGGCAACTTTTTGAGGTAATCCATTTGCTTTCTTTCTCAAAGAAACATATACACTTTGAATTTCATTTTCCTATGAATGTAAAAAGAAAGCCAAATAGAAAGATAGGTAGAACCTGTTCAGAAAATCAATTTCATCCACCATAGTCTATATGTAATCACATGGTAGAGCTGCAATAAGAAATTATGTCACCTTCGGTTTCCCACAGTTATTGCTGACTGCTCTTCTCTTATCTGTCCTAAGCAAATACAGTTTTAGAACTTCTCCATATCTCTGTATCCAAAAACCACTGAGGTTGGTGAGGCAGAGAGTCGGGATGTTCCTGTTTTTATTGTTGTAATTGTTTAAGCTTAGTTTGTATTGCTAATGGCATGTATAGGCATGGACATTTCTTTTTCACATTTTTTAAAGATACCGTAGAAAACCTGGGACGTAGAAATATTTGTCAATTTATAGATGAGAAACATCTTCAAGGACTGAAATTTTGATTTGCTCTTCTCATTTGCTGTATTCTAAAAATTTCCCCTAAAACAAATTTCTATTCTAAATATCACAGTGGTTGAGAAAATTGAATGGAGTGGATTTTTGGAAACTGAAGTGTAGTGTTGGGAGCAAAAAGGAGAAGAATTAGGTCATAATTTTCAACTACAGATGTTTCTACTTTGCTGAGAATTGTTTTTAGTATATCTAAGAAAATCTTCTCTAAATTGAATATAGGCAAATTAAACAGAGTGCTTATTTGTACCTACTAACTATGCCTATCATTTTACAAATTTTCTAAGTAAATTTATTCATCCATTCTTTACCATAATTTATTGAGTACATGGGGACTATGACCATGAATAAGTGAGATAAAACTTCCTGCCATCATTAGATGTAAAATTCTCACTAAGAAACACATTTAAAAGCAGAAAAATGAAAAATAAATGCAACAAGAAAATAAAGTAGGGAAGGATGATCGAGAGGGCTACAGTGGCCAGATATTTTATATAGGATAGCTATGAGAATCCTCACTAAGAAAATATTATTAATAGTTTAAAGATCTGAAAGTGATTAAGGAATAAATTGTACAGATATATGAGCAATGGGGTTCCAGAAATACAAAACAGCAAATGTAAATGCTCAGATAGAGAAGCAAATGTGTATTATTCAAAATAGTGAAGAGACCAGTGAAGCTGTAGTGGAGTGAGAAAGTGGGAAAGAAATCCAGGTGAGCTTAGAGAGTAGTGGGAGGCCTAATTATACAGGGTCTTACGGGCCACTGTAAGGATTCCCATTTGTGTACTAAATGAGATGATTGAAGGACTGTGATTTGAGCCGTGATATGATCCTACTTTGGTGTAATATAATTACAATGTATTTAGAAGAGACCAGTAGAAATGCAAACACACATGCACACACACACACACACACACACACACACACACACAGTGGCAAACTTATTTCTAAAATATTTGAAGAGAACAGAAGATAGTTGTTTTCCTTTGGATAATACTACTATAAAGTCTGACTAACAGACTTTATAGTTACTATAATCTAATTTATAGGTACTGATTTTTTGGGGGTTGTATTAGGCCATTCTTGCATTATTATAAATACCTGAGACTGGGTAAAATATAAAGAAAAGAGGTTTAATTGGCTCATGGTTCTGCAGGCTTTACAGGAAGCATAGTACTGGCAACTGCTCTACTTCTAGGGAGGCCTCAGGAAGCTCACAATCGTGGCAGAAGGCAGAACAGAAGCAGGCATGCCACATGGCGAAAGCAGGAGCAAGAGAGGAATGTGTGGGGAGGAGATGCCATACACTTCTACAGGGCCAGATTCCATGACAACTCACTCCATTCATGAGAACTCTGCCCCCATGATCTGATCACCTTCCCCCAGGCCCCAACCCTAACACTGAGGATAACATTTCAACATGAGATTTGGGTGGGTGCAAATATCCAAACTATATCACTGGTATAATCTAAGTATTTTTATTGAAGACACATAGGATTCCTGAGTCTTCAGGTAGAATGTAGACTGTTGAAGCTGGAAAGAAATTTAAAGATATTCTGGTAAAACCTAGTTTGCGTTATTAGTGAAAAAAACGTATTCCAAAAGAAGTTAATATGTCCTCAAATCACACAGCTTTGGAGTCCCCAAACCATGGATTGGACAGGTCTCATTTCATATCTCAAATCCAGCCATTGTTCTGTCATGTTTGCAATATACTAGAAATATGCTCCCTGGTTTTAGTTTTGCCACTAATTGACGGAGGACTTGAGTAATTTGCTATTGTTATTTCAGCTTTCTCATTTATAAACAAGAGTATAGTTCTATTTAATTCTGACTTATTTTGACTCAACTCTATTTTTCAGTAATTCCAGATGTTTAGAAATGGGTAAATGTGTAGAAACTTACTTAATGTCTCCTTAAAGGAGACACATGCTGTTTGTTTAACTAATTAGCATAATTCCGTGAAAGATTGGGATTATGTTCTTCTTTGTCCATGTATTTTAAATGGACTGACTTTTCGGCAATGGTACTGACAAGTTGTTTCAGAACTTTATGTTCCACAATCTCCGCCCTCTCTAAATAAAGATAATAAACTGAAGTGACATTGCATAATTCTCCAAAGATGGTTAGGAAGAAGAAGGAGGAGCAGCAGGAGAAGGTAAGGGAGAGGGAGGATGAGGAGGAGTGGGAGAATGATAATTAATCAATTGACTTAATTATTAATTAAGGATGAGGAGGAGTGGAAGAAGAATAATTAGTACATAGGGACTATTACCATGATTATAATAATAATCAATTGATTATTGCTTTTTTATTATCTTAAAATATTTAATTGGTAATATTTGTACATATTCAAAGTGTACAATATAATTCGATATGCATATACACTGTGTAGTATCAACAGTTATCACAATCTAGTTAATTAAAACATCCTTCACCATCCATACTATACATTCACCCCCCACAGTTTATTTTATAGCTGAAAGTTTGTACCATTCAGTAATGCTTTCATGAAGAAAAAGAACTACATCATTTTCTTTTAATATGGAGCCCTGTGCTTTGAATACTTAATTGAAAGTAGCTTTGATTTAATCCTGGGTTCTTTCCTGGGGAATGTAATGTTTCAGTACAATTCTCACCAAAACAACTTTAGGCATTGATATATGTGTCAATTTTCTTCCAATTTAGAGGACTAGGGAAATGCTGAGCTTCAGATCATTTACTGGAGTGATTTATGTGGGAGTAAACTAAAATGAGGAATAAAATATTCCTTACAAGAATCCAAATACAGTTAAGAAGACACTAAAGGGAGACTTTTGATTCTTTAGAAAAGGAAAAAGTACACATTAGATTAAAAATTCAGTATGTACTTATTAATTTTCAAATTGTTTTTCATAATCCAAGACTGTAAATGTATTTTTCTAAGCTTTTCAGTGCAAAAACAAAATAGCATTGTGAAAGATAGAGGCTATACTACTTGCCTCCTGTGGTGCCATGGTCAAGGAATTCATAATATACTAATGCATAGAAATATTCAGTGATTTCAGTCTCATTTCAGTTAATATTTTATTATTATTTGACATTAGAATATATCCTCATAAATCAAGCAAATAGCATATACTCTCAACATTAATTTGACATTGTTGCAGGAACACTGTGATATGGATTGCTGAGGCTGAAAACACATACTTAATTTTTAAAAGCCTTTTCTTTACATGCCTCCAGGTTTTATCTTCAACAAGCACTAAAAAGCTTTCATGTATAACCAGTCATGCTTCAAACCTCCACATTCTCTCCCATGTTGTTACTACTTTTTTTGATTGTTGTACTAAGTTATATGTTTTTACTCTGTTTGGTGAAAGAAAATCACCTGTCCGTTTGGTCAATAGGCTCAACTTCCTCTTTCAGATTTTCACCCTTTTATCTATTTATTCCACAAAAGTTCCAACTATATGGCCTGCTTGGCTTTCATTTTAGAGTTGCTAAAAACAAGTTAGTTTCTGAGGTATTTTCCTCTAAACACTTTTTTGAGACTCAGTATGCAAATCCATTCAAGTTGTTTCAGCCCTGGAACACTCCTCCAGTCCTCCAATCTCCATTCACAGAAGGTTCTTAATTTTTCTTTCTAATATAGGAAGAAATTGCTTCCAATGGTCCCTGAACTTGATTTCAGGGCCAATTATGATTCACCCTCCTTTCCCCTCAAGTTTCCTTATGATTGTGACTTTGAAATGGCAAGATGGCTCCTGCAGCTTGAGACCTCATGTCCATTTTCAGGGTGAGTAGCAGAAAGTAGTAGAGTAAGCCATGTCTGTTGACTAAAGGAGTAAGAAGCAATCCAAGACTCTCCCACATTAGACTTCTGTTTGTTTCAGAACTGCGTAACATAGCTACCTCTAACTCTAAGGGAAACTGGAAAAATTGTTTTATTTTGGCACATTGTGTTGAACAAAATCAAGGTCCTGTTAGGAAGAATAATAGACCTGTGAATATTGGATAGGCACCAATGTCAAATAAAGCACCCACTCTTAAATTACATAATTACATATCACGTTGCTGTTTCTCACTTACCTCCTCAGATTCCCTTTGCCCCTCACACAACCAGATACCGTAACACTTCAATATATATAAAGATGACCTACTAATTAAAAAAAGAAAAGAAATATTTTGAGTAAACTGTTTAAATAAGGAGGTGATTACCATCGGGTCCAAAGTAATTCCCTTCCTCTGTTCCAATTAAAGTTCTAAAGTTTTTTTTTTTTTTTTTTTTTTTTTTAATGGAGTCTTGCTCTGTCGCCCAGGCTCCCGGCTGGAGTGCAGTGGCCCAATCTCGGCTGACTGCAAGCTCCGCCTCCCGGGTTCACTCCATTCTCCTGCCTCAGCCTCCTGAGTAGCTGGGATTACAGGCGCCCAACACCACGCCCGGCTAATTTCTTTTTGTATTTTTAGTAGAGACGGGGTTTCACCGTGTTAGCCAGGATGATCTCAATCTCCTGACCACGTGATCCAATTAAAGTTTTAATAAAATAGTGTATTCTGGTTCATGATAGTTTTTTGACAGGTTTATCTTGTGCTAGAAGAATCATAGATTGTGATTCAAAGTGTTTACATAATAATAATTTAATTTCCAAAATCAAAGGCTACTTGGTTTTAACCCTGTGTCCATTCAGTTTTTGTAATTTTTTTTCATGGAATATAGATGTAACCTAAAAATCTATTCCTAATGGCCACAAACATCAGCTGAGGTGAGTTGCCCGTTTCTTAGTTTTTAGGCTGGTTGAATAGAAGGCCTGAGATATCCTGATTCAGGTCACTTCAGAATTCCATTTATACTACAGGACTCCAACAGTCATCTGGCTTTAACATACTCTATGAAATATGTGTTTTAGTAGAGGGTACTTGGCTAAACTATAGAGAAACTATAAAATATCATGATGATATCAAGATGCCAGTATGAGTTACATGCCCATCTTACTTTGTGTTGCTTCATCCAGAGAAAGTAGAGCAGCTCACATTTTTTTCCAAAGTTTATCTGGGCTGCCTAAAATGTTTCAGACAACTCTCATCTTAGAAAGGTGTGAGATTATAATTACCTAGAAAAATATCTTTTCTCAATTTTTTTTCACAATATTTTATGTGCCTTTCTTGGGTGGGCTAGTAACATGATAGATAATAGAGTGGTTGAGAGCATGAGTTCTACCTCATTTTCCTAGACAGACTGTCCTGTAACTTATGAGGTATCTGGTGTACCTTACTCTCCCTACTTATAACTGGAGACTATTAAAGCATTCACCACACGTATTGGTTGCAAAGGCTAAGTAAGCATTAATATACAAAAAATGTGTCATAGCCCATCGTGTACATAGTGAGTTCTCTTTATTGTATTAGTCAGGGTTCTCCAGAGAGACAGAGCCAATAGAATAGATATATACAGATATACATACACACATATGAAAGGGGACTTACTAGAAGAATGGACTCACATGATTAAAGAGGCTGAAAAGTCCCACAGTTGATCACCTGCAAGCTGGAGAACCAGAGAATCCAGTCATGAGGATCAGTCCAAATCTGAAAGCCTCTGAACCAGAGAAGCCAATAGTGTAACTCTCAGTCTGAGGCTGAAGGCCTGAGAACCTGAGGGACTACTGGTGCAAGTCTTGGAGTCCAAAGGCTGGAGAAACTGAAATTCAGATGCCCAAGGGCAGGGAAAAAAAGAGCTTGCCAACTCCAGAAGAGAGTATGAATGAGTTTGCTTTTCCTCTGACATTTTGTTCCATCCAGATCCTCATTGGACTAGAAGGTGTCTGCCCACATTGGGTGAGAGCACATCTTCTTTATTCAGTCCACTGATTCAAATGGTAATCTCTTCTGGAAACACCCTCACAGGCATACCCAGAAATGATGCTTGTCCAGCTATCTGCGTATCCCCTAATCCAGTGAAGTTGACACCAAAACTTAGCCATCACATTGTATACTTATGATTATTACTTTATGGTGTATATGAGGAATGTGTCAATAGGTTGATGGCTCTGAATACTGGAGAGATTGTGACTCAGAACTCTAGTAAGTACATACTGGGGATCTGGTAAACTATGTCCAGAATGACTTTTGTTAATCCTTGGCTTGATAATTATGTATGATTTTGTAAGGTCAAACTATTTTTGTTTGAACAGGTATTTAATCTACATATCATATGTAAATATATGAAAAAATGTAACTTTTCATATCATGGTTTTAGCAATTATTTACATATGATGTGGCTTCTTTTTATCCTCCAAAGAATCATTTTAATATCAAAAGACAATACATGATAAAAGCAATACATGAATACAGAAATAAAGATAACATAACTTTGTAAACAAAAAGAAAACAATAATATCTGATATTCAAATGATTTCAAAGTGGATTTACTGTTCAAAAATTACATTAAGGCTGAACTAGAAACACTAAGGAAAAAACTTACGGATCTTCTCCCTGCTAACTGAACAGATGAAGCTCTTCAAGTAACACAAATTTCTATCTTCCTGCCAGCTGATAAAAGGCTCTCATTTGTATTGCTGTGGTTTACCCCACAAGTAAGAGAGAACAGTGTATTTTGAACACCTATTTGATTTGCGTGATTGCTGATATCATCCAAAGAGACTCATTTTTTTTCCAATCAGATGATATTTTGGTTAGTGAGAAGTCTTGTCACTGAGGTGAGGGAGATGGTCTACATTTTGTAACTTTGTCTGGAAAACCAAGGATTAAATATTTGTTTTCTATGTAGATGTGAGATAGTAATTTAAGTTAATTCATCATTGTTTGTAGTCTCATCTGGAAAATAATGTGGCCATAGATGGTTAGGCATACTAGATTGCTTCTGTCTTTAGAACAGTCATTTTATACATTCTGATTTTATTTTCTGTAAACATAATGTCATATTAAATTGTTAGAAAAATTAAGAGATAATACCTATGTACTCTTCTCCCTGAAAAGCAAAGTCATGTGAAACAGGACCACATTTTACTGTTTCTATTAGTATTTTAAATGAGCCGACTTTTAAAGTTATGAATTGTCATTCCTTAAACCATTGTACAAATTTTATACCAGCGTGTGCGCACACACACACACACACACGATTTGCTTATGCTCATAAAAGGTAACATTTGTAAGGGCCGTATAACCTATTATTTCCTGGTGATTTTGTGGCATCTCTATTAATGCGGTTATGATTCTGAGTTCAGAATTTTATTCCAACCACTAGAAAATGTTAATATAAAGCTCTTGCATTGCGAGTGTGACTTGGGTGACATTTTTGATCGATGAAGTTCACCTATCAAGGATTCCTAGAAGGTGATATTATCTTGGTGTTTTTTGTTTTGTTTTGTTTTTTAATGGCCCAGTTTCTGACAACTATTCAGCTCCAGTATCTCCATCTACATTAGCATTTTAAAGATGACCAGTTTTGAAATTACATTTTAGTCAATCAAACTCCTAAACAATAATATAGAGTCTAGAAGGCCATATTGTTATTTGATGACATAGCAGTCACATGACTTACAATACCAGAAATCAGATTATTATTTTCCAGATCATAAATTCATTAAAAAAAATTCAGTGCCATAATTATTTGATTTTCCCCAGTAAAAGAGTTTTTAAGAGTGTTCACTGTTACATTTTCTCGCCAACATAAGTCGAGGTCAATTTTGATCTAGCAATTTTGTTTGGAGGGGTTGGGAGAAAAAGCACTTTCTTGGACTCTAGGGATTCTAGTGTAACAATATACATTTTCTTCTTTCTTAGGAGATCATACTCCAATTAGGAAAGCTAACATATAGACAAACACAGATACTATCAGGAATGGTATATTTTAGTTGAAATCACAAGATAAGAATCTATTATACAACACTATATTGTTATAGTGGGCTTAATTACAAATAAGTGATATAGATAATAATTAACACACTTGTCCAAAAAAGTAAGTCATTGTAAGTTAGATTGTTAAGGAAGATCATTTAGGGTAAGAAAAATTGAATTTAAATCTTAAACTGGCTAAGCAGAGGAAAAAGGACATTCGATTCTGTAAAAGAAAATTCCACGTAGTTGAAATTGTACATGACATATTTAGGAGGGTAACAAGGACAGATTTTTAAGTGTGGAAAATATGTTATTGAGTAATGACAGCTAGATGTTGTCAGAATGTAAAGGCTTCGAAGAAAATATCTTATTGAGTAATGACAACTAGATGTTGTCAGAATGTAAAGGCTTCAAAATAATTTATATTTTTATATGAAAGGTATTAGGATGTCATCCAATCAGAAATTGATCAATTTAAGTAGATTAGCTTGGCAATACAAATCTAATAAAACTATTTTACAAAAACTACATTCAAGATTTTCAGAAACCAAATTCTTGCTTTAATTGTGACACAAAGGAATGAGCTGATATTCAGCATTGAGAACAACAACGATGATTGTAAAAAGAGAGTAAGTAGTGAGTCCAGAAACATTTGGTTTAAAGGGATGCTAAATTGTACCACTTTTGGAAGCACACTAAAATTTCATTAAATTATTTAAATTATACAATTTCATTTGTTTTCAGGTTTTCAATGTTCAACAAGAAAAATATATTGATTTGTCTTTAAACTAATGGGAAATTGGTCATGAAACATATTTTAAAGAAAAACAGATATTATGAAAATAAGTCCAGGTTTTAAAATGTCTACCACTCACTGGGTAGTAAGAAAAAAGTATTAAATCATTGTGCACAGGTACCCTAAAACTTAAAGTATAATAAAAAATAATAATAAATAAATATATGTTTTTAAAAATCCTTTACAACCAAGAACATTTCTAGTTTAAGTCTGCACTTGCTTTTCTAGCTTCCTCTCTATGTTGTTAATTAATGTATTTATTCATAACAAATTTATATTTAGTTTCAAATATTAGGGTCACAGACGAACAGATCTATGAAGGATGAAATGAAATGACCTTTTAAAAATAATATTATACTTTTAAAATCCTTAAAATTTATTGTTTAGATTTTCAAATTTGAATTCATAATGCAGAGATTTTAAGAGCAATAAAGGTTTTGAAGGTTGCAATGCAAAGATTTAAACATAAACACTGTAAACTGACTTAGGTACTTTATGATAATAAAATTATGAAATAAACATATGTTATATATATAAAATCATTTTCATTATATATATGTGTATGTATATAATTGTTTTATCTCACAGAATACAAATTATGTAGCTGGTTTGATAACAGTGACCTGGTGTAATGAATATTATGGGGGGGTGAATACCAAGATGTTATAAAAGAACATAGGAGAGGCCTGATGGCTCCTATTTGCAGAATAGTTGCATGTATCCATATTCCTCAATCACACTAATCACTTAACAGCATGAACTTGCCTATAATAATACTTTTTAAACCTTTTTATTTTAATATATATGATTTAGTGAAAAATATATTTCAATTGACAGTAATCTTTGATAGAAAATCGCATGTGTACGCTAATTTTTAAAATATAGTTATTTTTGGTAATTTTTTTACTTCCAGAAAAGTAATTGTGTTTATCTTTGTGTGACTCATGTTTCTCACTTTAAAAGTTGATGTGTTTCTTTTTATATTTTATATTATAAGTGGAAGAGAGATTTATCTATTGATTTTTTTGAACTATATTATGCTGCATAGATGTGGACAGAAAATTTCTATAGCTCTTTGAGAAGTAAGCACATTTTTCTGTGTACACCACTTAACCAGATTAAATAATAAATTATTTGAATTACATCAGTTCATGACGATAAGAAGCTGTGATTCTGGAGAAATAGAGACCAGGGGTAAACCTTTAGCTCTGACACTCACTAGCTGCTAGATCTTGGACAGGTTCTAGTTATTTAAACTTCTTAAAACTTGTGTGTTTATTTATGTTAGGATAACAAGCATACTTATATCAGGGAGTAGTGAGAGTTGTGAAAATGAAATAATCCTTGTAATATAACTGTGCACATGAGAAAAGCTCAATGAATGTTAACATCAGCTAATATTATCTTTAAAATATAACTTACACATTCAACTGCTTCACACACTTATTCATTGCCTTCTTGCAAGCCAAAATTATTAGTAGATAATTGAATTTAGGTTAATAAATTAAAGTGTGTGTGTGTGTATGTGTGTGTGTGTACTTTCTTGAGAGACTCAAAGTTGAGGGATCTTTGAAAGTGACATTTCCCTTTCTCAGAGTGCAAAAGTATTTCCAAGAGTGAAACTGTTGTGTGTCAGGAGTGTCAACATCAGCCCTAGGCAACGCTGCCAAAACTGAGATGGCCAGAGCAAGAGTCTGGAGAGACAGTGACAGAATTTTATTTGGTTTTATCTGTCTGTGACTGAGCTAATAATCAGCTTATGCTTGCTTAAATGGCTGTGGATGCCTAATTCCAAATTTATATTTAAAGTATTCATGTCTGAGAATAACAAATCTATGAAGGCTGAAATAAAATAGCCTAACCATAAAAAAGTGCTAATCTTTAACTTCAAAAAGATTCTGAAATTATATAGTTTAGGTTTTAAAGTTTGTATCCACATTGCACAGATTTGGAGAGCAATAAAGGATTAGAAGGTTGGAATAAGGGACCTTTGAAATAAGATTATTACTGCTCAGAGCAGATTTAACCATGAGACGAGGTAATTGTTTTTCTATCAACATATGTTCTAATACTTCAGTGAAAAGCGTTACACATCTAGAATGTCTGTCCTGAATTTGAGCAATATTGTTTTCCATATTTTTGAGGGTTTCAAAAGGATCACAAAGAAGTCATACAAGTATATTTCAATATAGTCTTGATCATGTTATTAAAATGGCATCTATTTTTAAAAAGGTGAAACACAGGTATATAGTGTAATACTATGCGTGAGTGCATGAATTGTTGAAGAGAAAACGAAATGTTCCATCTTCTGAGAAAAAAAAAGTGGCTATAATAAAGAAAATGCCTACAATATTTCTTTAAAAGATGATAGTAGGAATAACATTCATAATAGGAATAAGAGTTTACATTTATTTCCTGTTTATTCTGTGCACAGGCATTCTTTTAAATGCTTTACCTGCAACTGTGCTTTAATTCTTAGCACAACCCTATATTTAATTCCTATTTTCCAGGTGAAGTAAATGAACAGGATTCAAAGTGGACAGTCTGGCTCCTAAGAAAATGGTCTCAAGCTAATATAGTGTATTGTCACTCAAGAACCTAAATGTTACATCACAAATAAAAGTTATTGTATCTTTGATGTTGTCCTGCTATGGCAATAAATGACTGTTTTCCCTGAGGTTGTTAAGTGCTTCCATCTGCCCCCTCCCTCACTCCATTATTCTGTGAAACAAAACTTTCAACACATATTTAAAAAATAATATTTAGATTTTTTCCTCTGAGTTTGTCTTCATTCTAATGCTTAATAGATATGTAACTAAGTCATTAAAATTGATAAGGTTCAATTGTATTCAAATTTTAAAATGGGATTAGCATTTACAAACTACTGAAAGGAGATGAAATTAAAAAAAAAAAAAGTGACTGGCCCCAGAATGAGAGATGTTCACCAAACAGTTAATATTACTGGACCAGAACAGAAGTGATGTATTATGACAGGCTTTAGTGTGTGGCTTATTCTTCTTATGTGTAAAATTTCTACTACAGTTTATAAATTTTATTGTACATAGTTGCCACGGAGCCCCAAAATGCATATAAATTAAAAGCCATCTGCTGTTGTCCTCTTCTCTACAGAACTTTCAACTTTTCCTTACCTTCTTGTAGACATATTCCTCCATATTGATGGTTAGCTGGTATTTAAGGAATCCCTAATAACAGTTTTGGGTTGTTGATTTACATACATAATGGACCTTGCAACCTCTGTGTATACGTAATAGTTCTCTGGGACTGCATATTTTAACATGAGATTCCTGAATCCTACTCCTAGAAATTCTTATGTCTGGGATGGGGCCCAGGAACTT
Organism: Homo sapiens; assembly: GCF_000001405.40. Classification (NCBI taxonomy): domain Eukaryota; kingdom Metazoa; phylum Chordata; class Mammalia; order Primates; family Hominidae; genus Homo; species Homo sapiens. The sequence goes on along the minus strand of NC_000001.11, from coordinate 190,103,467 downwards.
GGTTCACCAATCATACCTAACATCTTTAATGAGAGAAATAATCATATCTTAAGTTGATTTTCTTTAAAACAAAAAAAATGTATAGTCAAACATTTAATTCATGTTGTTTCATTATGAGCATTTACCCAGTGTAAGACTCTGTCGTAGGTGGGTTTTACCTGTTATATCCTTTCATCCTGGCAACAGATCAGCAAGTGAAATCACAGTTTAACACATTGGGACTCAGAAAACTATCGATAGTCCACAGTCATGCAGAATCATAATTTGAACAAATATTTGCTTGAATTCCAAAGCTTCTGCTGAAGGTTAAAGAAGCTAAGTAACTCGTCACAGGGCACAGGGTAAAGTATGGCTGTAAAGTCAGATATTCACACTCCTACTCTAGTCCTCTTTTGACACATGTATAATGTGTATCCTGTGGAGAAGAGCAAATCTTAAATAAATGGAAAATATTATAGGTTGAACAAAGATGACTAGAAGAAACAGCTGTCTAAACATTTCAAACTAGTATGTCACATGATTTCTCAGTGGTATAAACATTAATGGCCTTTTAGCTAATGATTAATTTTTCCAGTTAAATTTTAAGTGAACTCCGGAAGATATTTTTCTGCTCATAATTCTTTCACCTAAAAGATTTTTGAGGAATTATTTTCAAAACTTAAACTCTTCCTTATAGATAAAGATTCTCTATATCCTTGAATTGGTCGAAATCATGGTATTTATCATGTCAATTGCTTTTTTAAAGTTTGCATTCTAGTTTCCTTCTTCTGTTCCTCCATAATCTGTAGTTCCTTCACTATAATGTATTTATCCCCTCCCTTTCCTTAGTTTCTCTCTGTCTTCTTTCTCCCTTCCTTTTTTCCTTCTTTTATTTAGAATGTTTACTGAAGTATTATTAAGCAGATGTCAGGGATATTGCCACCTGTTTGATAAAAAACAACAGAAGACCTACTTGCCACCCATGTGGTCACAATTCTTAGCCCAAGTAGACCGTAAATAGTGTGTCTAACCAATGTGTATACATGAATAAAATGTGGCTTCTTTTATTTGTGTTAATACTTAAGCATAAAAAGAAACAAAGTGGAAATACACTTGATACAAACTAATTTTGAATTGTTAGGACATTTGTCTCCAAAATTCTTTTACAGTTTTAAGATAAAGTAAGGGGAACTAAATTTTACCTTGTTGGGTGGGGGAACCACCTATGTGAAAAATTCATTATACAATTCTGCAATTTGCTTAGTCTTTATTTTTGACTGCTGCTTTCACTAAGATTACACAAGGAGTAAAGAAAAGACAGGTAACTAAATTTCTTCTTTCTTGAAAAATCTATTTCCTCCTTGTAGAATGTAGCAAAATAGTCAAAAGGTAGGTGCTAGAGGAAAAAGGACGCAAAGGAGCAAGTAAGAAAATCTACATACTATCTCCTTAGTCCCAGGGTACCAGAGCTTTGGCAGTATGCTGAATTATCAGTATTCATACATGAGAGCTGAAACCCAAGAAGCTGAAATCCAACAGCCGAAACGCTTTCCTTCCATAATGTATTTGCCAGACATGCAAAGGATTGGAAAAGACAGAAAGCTGAAAAAAGTTCTTGCTTTTCTAAAGTGTCCAAATGATTCTTTCTACAGTGCCCTACTTTTGTGAGCTCTATCTTTGCCTTAGGTCTATTAATTTCATTTTTTGTTTTCTTCTTATGATTTGGAAACATGATTAGAGCTTACAGTGGGAGATGAGTTGGCTCAAGGAATTAATTCTTTGGTTTCAGGGAAGAAAATATAATTTTCATCTGGATAGGATGTATATTTTATGTAGTTTATATTAGATATACATAAATGAGAACTGAATAAAGAAGCAAAAACAGGAGAGGACAGAGAAAGAGAAAGGTAGCAATGAAAAAGGAAGAAAGAAAAAGGAAGGCATAAAGGAGGAAAGAATGTGATTGAGAAAAAGAATGAAATGGCATAAACATGTCAGTAACTGTAAATGATGAATCTGTAGTATTAACATCTGCATTGTAAGACTGAATACAGAAATGATTAATCAAGCTATTTTATAAACCAGCAATAGGAAGCTTTTTGCACATATATTCTGTGGTGAGAAAACAAGGAACCACAGCAAGAGTAGCAGAGACACTCATATATTGATGTAATGTTTATGAAGTGCCAAATAGCCTCACATTTTTGTTATTTCACAACACACTGGGCATACTTTTGGGAGAATTTTTGAGAGAATTTATCTTAAAAGTATCTGGAGAAATTCAGAAATAAATTATCTTAGTCCACTTCATGCTGCTGTAAGAGAATATCACAGACTCGGTAATTATAATGAACAGAAATGTATTGGTTCAGGTTTCTGGAGTCTGGAAAGTCAAGATCAAAAGACTGGCATCTGGTGAGGGCCTTTTTGCTGCATCATCTCATGGTGGAAGAGCAAAGAGAGGGCAAGACAGAGAGCAAAAAGGAGCCAAACTTGCCCAATTATAAGAAACTAACTCCCAAGATAAGGGCATTAATCTGTTCATGAGGGCATTTCTCCAAGGACACATCATATTCCATTAGATACCACCTCACAATATCACTGCATTAACAATCAAGTTCCCAGCACATGAACTTTGGGGGACATATTCAAACCATGAATCTAATAGGTTTAAAATTTCAATCAGTGATTTTCAGTATAAGAAATAATTAAAAGGAAAATGTTTTATGGTTGGCTTAGATTTGATTTATTTTTTTCTTTTATTCTGAGTATATACGACACAGTTGCATTTACAGAAGCTGGACAAGAAAGGCTTTTGCGTGTTTTTAATTGTGCAAATGTCAAATAAAGTGTTGTATTACTTTACTACCTGCTACTTCAGAGCTAGGATTTTCCAAGTGTATTAAATATTCAGTTTAGGGTTTAAAATTCACTTAAAAATACCCTTCTTAAGAAAATGTTCCTTTGGCTAATCCATGCATTTTATTCAATATTCAATAAATATTAAAGGCTTGTTATCTCCTGGCATTCTACTGGGCACAGGTTATGTAGCTATGAAAGAAAACATACAAGATTTTGGCAAATGGGTATTATATGTAATGAGAAAAACAATATAAATAAGTAAATACACAGTAATACAAAATCTTAAGCAGAAAAATGCACTATGAAAAACAGTAAGTAGATATTTAAAGGATTGAGTACAGCATATATATTTTGCAGGAAATCCAAAATGTATTAAATGTGAACACCAAAAAAGCATAAGAATACCAAAAATGGAATTGTTGTGTATCTACTGTGAAACAGACACTTTGCAATATTCTAAGTACATGCATAGAGTTTGACCTTAATTTATTTCTCACAAAATCTCAACATGGACGATATTACTATTCCCATTTTTCATATGAGAGAACTGTGTGTTATAGAGGCTGTGCAACTTTTCCCATGATCATACATGCAGTATGAGAAAGCAACAAACTGAAAACAAGGAATTGTGTTATTACAAGGCCATTGCTCTTCCCTCATTATTTTACTGGTTTTAAGACACCAAAATAGTTTAAATAATGCGAGAAAATCAGAAAAGTGAGATTTGAAAAAGGAATCATGATTAACCTGATGAGAAAAAAAATGTTAATGACTCAAATCAAACACATTAAACTAACACACTTACCCCTTATTGAAGGAGCTTGTTGATTTTAATGAGATATTTTCAACTATTTTCTTGAGCAGCCTGTAAGAATAAACATGTTTTAATATTTCTTTGAGTGGGTACTTGTTCTTTCAATGTTGATGACAACCCTAGCATCTAAATACACTGATTGACAATTTAGAGCTGTTTTTCTTTCATTTTTCTTTTACTTTCTATTCATCCTTCCTGCAACACTAGTGGTTTATAAAGCTAAGAGTAAATGAATGAACAATCACCATGTATATGCTCTAATTCTCCTACAGATATTTTATGATAAAATCACTTACCTTTCTTCTTCTTATTTCAAAACAATAATGACCCATTTTTATTTACAATGGTCTTCCATGTGCACTAATGAGATAGCATGCAATGTCTTTAGAAGATATCACATATTTAGAAATGTATTGCAGTTCAGACCAAGTATAGCTCTAATCTTGTTTTGTGCAGTGATAAATGGAATATACATACACACGTCTGTGTGTGTGTGTGTGTGTGTGTGTGTGTGTATTATATAGTCTAATTATGAGCTCTATGAATCTTTTATTTCATTTAAATTACTGGCTGGAGATGACCTGAAGAAATGATAGCAAAGATTTCTGAGCTACGGTTTACTGCAGTACACAGAATATCTTTGTATTTATGTAGATTCGTTCTGTTTTGTATTTCTAGAACCTCAACCTACTGGCTTACTCGCATCCAGTCTTTTCTCTACTGCAATGAGAACGGCCTCCTAGGCAGCTTTTCAGAAGAGACGCACTCGTGCACGTGTCCGAATGACCAGGTGGTCTGCACCGCGTTCCTGCCCTGCACAGTGGGAGACGCCTCTGCCTGCCTGACATGCGCACCAGACAACCGCACCCGCTGCGGCACCTGCAACACCGGCTACATGCTCAGCCAGGGGCTCTGCAAGCCTGAAGTCGCCGAGTCCACCGATCACTATATTGGCTTTGAAACTGACCTGCAAGATCTCGAGATGAAATATCTGCTGCAGAAAACGGACAGACGAATAGAAGTCCATGCCATTTTTATCAGCAATGACATGCGCCTCAATAGCTGGTTTGATCCCTCCTGGCGTAAGCGGATGCTCCTCACCTTGAAGAGCAATAAGTACAAGTCAAGTCTGGTCCATATGATTTTGGGTCTCTCTTTACAGATTTGCTTAACTAAAAACAGCACCTTGGAGCCAGTGTTGGCTGTTTATGTCAATCCCTTCGGAGGCAGCCACTCTGAGAGCTGGTTTATGCCTGTGAATGAAAACAGCTTTCCAGACTGGGAGCGGACTAAGTTGGACCTACCCCTGCAGTGTTATAACTGGACATTAACTCTGGGGAACAAATGGAAGACATTTTTTGAGACAGTACACATCTACCTGAGAAGTCGCATCAAGTCCAATGGTCCCAATGGTAATGAGAGCATTTACTATGAACCTCTGGAGTTTATTGACCCTTCCCGGAACCTGGGCTATATGAAAATCAATAACATTCAAGTGTTTGGCTACAGCATGCACTTTGACCCTGAAGCAATTCGGGACCTGATTTTGCAGCTGGACTACCCCTATACTCAGGGATCCCAGGATTCAGCACTTTTGCAACTACTAGAGATCAGAGACCGTGTAAATAAACTCTCCCCACCTGGTCAGCGTCGTCTAGATCTTTTCTCTTGCTTGCTTCGTCATAGACTCAAGCTGTCTACTAGTGAGGTGGTGAGGATCCAATCTGCTCTGCAGGCGTTTAATGCCAAATTGCCAAACACAATGGATTATGACACGACCAAATTATGTAGTTAACCATAAATGTCAAGCACAACCCAAAATCTTGAAGGAGTTTTTACAGTGCTTTTGTGGAACAGTTTATGTTTGGAAGAGTAAATTTAAATTGTCTTTTCAATATCTGTCTTATATCAGTCAATAACATTGGATGGCAATTTACACACATGAACTTGCTGACAATGAATATATTATACAGCAGTTTTGGTTTATGAATGACATAAATACTGACACCAGTCTAGAAGACATTCTACTTTTTACAATAAATTTCATTTGTAATTTTATATGTTCCGTGGCAATGCTTTTGTGCATTACATCCTCTAGAGGGAACATAAAAAGATACCAATAAAATTTTGTAGCTGAACAGTTATTAAAAAGAAATGCTGTGGGATTCCTTTTTTCCATGAAATGAGTTCTATTTTGATACAGTTTGTTAGAACCTGGGGAAAATTCACCAAGAATTTTTAATGGAAATATTTGAAGGTCTCTTTCAATTATTTTTATGGAAAACCCAAGTAGGTAGGATACTTACTATTCAGTTGTTTTTTATGGTTAACAGAACAACGACAGTAGTATGTTTATTACCTGTACTTGGGAAACCAATACTAGAGACACAATTGTAATTAAAGTACTCAGATAAACTAATTCTCAAACATCAGAATATTTCAGCAAACATACAGAAAAATCAGTGTGATAATAAAGCATAGCATGGAGAAAGCAAACCTTTAATTTCCTTAGCAACTTGCTTGCTTTCTCCTTCCCTTTCTACATTCTAGGAACCAATAATCAGCACACTCGGCACAATTATTTTAATTTCAAATCCTGAAAACCTAGTTATTCCAGCACTTTACCAGTGTCAATAAAACAACATTTCTAGAGTTCACAAGTTGTAAGGTAATGGTATAAAATAAATGTTCAAATACCTAGTTCAAGTGTAAATAGATTTGTTTCTCTCAGAGAAGCACATATTACTAAAAATATTTTGAGGAGAAAATTATTTCAATATGAAAACAATTTTAGTTCAAAATTTTCATTTGAAAGTTGTTTCCATTTACTCGTGAAATAATATTAGATATATTATTAGTTGTTTTTTTCTATAAACTTGAATTTCATTTGTGTTTAGCTATGTGACCATATCTGTAAAATGTGTTTTTTGCTATTTATCACTCAGCTCTATTCTAGATAACTTATAAATACTTTCTTATTACTTAACCAAATCCATTGTCCAGACCAGGCCAGCTTTCCTGTTGGTCATGAAGGCATTTCTCAGGGCACAGAGAAAGAACCCCATGGCATGGAAGAAAAAAAGAACAGATAGAACAAAACATTATAATAACAGCCATTCTTGATTCTTGGGTTATTTTTAACTCCTAAGCATTTAAGAGCAAAAGACAGTTCAGACAGAAAATAACCAATACACCATAAGCAAATAATTATTCTTCCAACCTAATATATGTGTAGCTGAATGTCTTACTTCAGTTAGCTGATTTTTTTTAAAAAAAAACTACTTTCTGTTATAGTAGGTCATTCAACAGAAAATTTATATTAGTATTAAACACCATCATTCTGGTATCATAGAAAATATTCTTTTTGTTTAATTCTGACAATAGCACTAGGTTTTAAATTATCATTCTCATTTTCTTGGTGAAAATAACAAAGGCTCATAGTGGCTTGTCAAGCTCCCCAAGATCACAAACTAAGTTGAAAGATCAAGATTCCAACATAGACTTCTCTGGAACAAATTTGTCCTCTTTTTATTGCACCACTGAGCACTAAATGAACCATAGTATTTCTGCATTTAATTTCATTTCATGCAATGGCTTATGGTTGAAACACGAGTAACTTAAGAAATTGAGGTCTAAATCAGTTAACATTATATGATACACACACTCACAGTACATCTAAAACATTATATAAAACAGGCATTGATCATACACAATTAGTAATCCACAAGGTGACCAAGCTTATCAAACACAGACAGTATGTTTGAAAAGACACATACTGTAAAAGTCAGAGTTGCCTCCAGGACCTTTTCCAGAAGAGTCTTGAAGGTCCAGCTGTCCAGACCCTTTGACACCCAGAAACCATCTGAGGAACATGCAAATTACCAATGGACTCTGAAGGACATTAATTTCATTGTACTTAAAAGAAATTGTCAGGAGTGCTATTTCTTTTATTGCACAGCTAACTTATTTCTGGCCGCCATGTGAGAGAGAAGACCCATGACCACAGGTAAGAAAGTTCATAACTGGAGTCTTATCCTGGGACTCCTCATGCCTGGCAAGTGTTGTCACAAAGGTCCTATTGAATAAGATAAAATTATCTTAGCTCCAAGTCTTTTAGTGCTCTGTCAGTGAGTGTTTAATAGCTCTGAGTCAAGGTTTCTCCTGAAAGGAGAGAAGTAATATCAATACCTTTTTCTGAATATTGTGTCTAAAATAACATGAATACAATCTATATAAACATAACAAGCAAATTCTACAGGGATATATAGACTTAGAGGATACATGACTAAAACATAAACATGTTTTATGTTTCCATATCTCACATATGACCACCTATTAAGAAATGTCCATAAGAAATCGACTATATTAATAATCTAAGTTAATACAACATGAGTTACCAATGTATGAGAAAAATGCAGCTCAAAAATATTTAATTTTTCCTGAATTGGCCTATATACAACCATTTTTGCTCACTGCTGTTTTAGGAATTCGGTTATTTTTAATACAAAGTTTTGTTTTTTTAATTTTTAATATAAACTTTATTGTCAAAACTTTATTTAGAACAAAACATTTATTTGAAATCATGTTTCAAAAATAGGACACTTTACTTCATTTAGATTCTTGATATCCCCAAATTAATGACTCTAAATTTATCTTGAAGTTAATAAATTCAATAGTACTTGAAATTCTGAAAATCAAAAATTTATTGTGAATACATTTCCTCTAGGAACAACTCTTACTGCATCAACTATTTTGATGACCATCACAGTGTGACTTGACTTTCAATCTCTGGAATCTCAAGTTGCATTTTAGCAAGGTGAATCTGTTTCCAAATGTTCACTCTCAGCTCAAAGAAATAAAAATGAAAATGCAGAAATAGCTGATGGTCCCAGGTGCATTTCAATAATAAAAGATGGTTCATTTTCTCTTCGTGCTCTCTCTCTCTTTTTCTCTCTCTCTCTCTCACTCTCACTCCCTCTCTCTCCCCCACCCCGCCCTGTCTTTGTGGTTAATCTCAAAATGGGAAGAAATAGCTTGGAATGAACCAGGACCATGGACTGTTCTGTAATCCTACACAGACCTTCTTTTGTTCTCTTCATTATGCACATTGAAAAGCTCTTCATTTTGAAAAGATATAAAATATATTCATTTGAATAAAATAACCCATTTGAAAAAACATAAGAGCAAAATAAGACTATATAGATTTGCTAAAGTGGAAGTTATAGAATATAGGAATTCAACTGGAAGGAAAGTGAAAAGTTTTGGAAACCAAATAGAAAAGACACCCTTTACATAATAAACTTGGTATAAAATTTTAAGAGACTACATATACGTTTTCCAAATCAATGTGACAAATGAAAAGGACACACTAAATAGAGCAAACCATGCTATGATAACAGTATCACACTGAGTTTGTGCCTGGATGATTTTAGTAGAATAATAATCATTTAGCAAACTTACGTTTTCCCTCTAGCCTTAAGTATAATATTTATCATTTGACTCACATATGCTAAACTTTTAGTACCCTTCGGAAGTATAGTCCAATCAGTTGAATTTTTAAAACTTGAGAATTTATACTTTGTCATTCCTATTGACTATACCATCTATTTATACTGTTGCTATTGACATTCTTTCTTTCCTCCACCTATGAGATCAGATTTGTAATTCTATATCTAGTCTTTCCTAGTCTAATAATTTCAAGAATTATAATTCAGTCACTTTAATAATTCCAGTATTTGGTAAGTGCATTTTAGCAGGAAATTTTTACAAACATCTCCATTTCTTTTACATGAAGGCAACATTAGCTACTTTAATGAACTATGAATAACTGATAATTAGAAATCCATGTCAAATTATTTAATATTTAGGACATGGCATCCAAGTGTAGTAAATTAGTACATATAAATGAAATTCAAAGTGAAGCAAAAATCTTACTCTTGAAATTCTGCTGTGTGCTAGCAATCAGATTAACCAATGAGTGACTGAAGTACTATTTTATGCTACCATGACAGAATATGGCTATCACATAATAGATATAGTGCATAATATGTGAATAGTTGAATAGATATGCAATACTTAGCATGAGTAAAGCACTATTCTGAGAGCATTGTAAATATGAACATTTCCAGATAAGAGTAATCTTATCACAGGTTTCTGACTTGTCACTCCCTCCATCGAAAATTATTATGGACACAAAACACTCCTGAAAAGGACTTCAAAAGTGCAAGAATGAATAAGTATGGGGAAAAAAATGAGGTCCATGTAAAATATCTGTAGCAATAATAGAAAGCTACTTAATACTTAATAACACTCAAACATCAATAATACTTAAAAACGTATTTACTACAGAAAACGGAAATCAATTTCAGTATTTCACACCAAAGTATTTAAAATGTATCTCTTATATTTTTGGTTTTGAAATATAGTTTTGTTTGTATTTTATGGTAACAGGCAGTTTTAAATATATATATATATTCATTTTAAATCATTAAAATAATAAAAAACAAGAAAAAATAACAGTGAATATTCACTTACGCACTTTATATACTAGATATTTTAGAGATCTAGGAAAATAAGCAGAAACCTATCATTAAAAATAAGTATAGTAAGTGTTTAAAATTCTTCTAAATAAACATCTAACAATAAATTTCTAATGGAAAGAAGGACAGCTCTCAATTTTTGTAGAATAAAACAAAATATTAGATTCTTATTTTTAATACAGTTGAACATTTCTTCCATCATAAGTTGGAAAAGTCTAAAGCAGAAGAATAAATCATAAAGTAGATGAAGATATAAGTTAGGTAAATATAAGAAATACACTTACTGAAATTATGTAAGAGTATAAAACTAAACTGACAGTTTTGGAAATATGCATTATGCTGTTAGAAGAATACACCAATACTGCAACAGATATCACTTCTAAAGTAATTTTTAAGTTTACTTTCCATTAAAGAAGATCTTAATAGAATTTTTTATAATTATAAATATATCATAATTATTTTAAAGTGTGTTTGGGAAAACAAATGGTTGTGAACAAATAAACCAATTGGAAAATAAGATCAATTAGTAGAAATTTCCATCAACAGATATTAAAATTTATATAAAATAATGTAAAAATTCAGAAATATAGTAAGGAGGTATAAAATAGCATTAGATAATACAATTGTCATTTTAAATGGTTAAAGAGAATATAGTTTCTCTAGCTTGGGTTTGATTTTCTGTTTGGAAATGAGGATTCAAAAACAAGATTTACATCTTAAAGCAAAAGCCAGGAATAAATTAAATTCTAGTGGCTTATAGTGTTAACACTATCAACAAATAATAATATGAGTGCTAGCTGGGGAGAGCTCTAGTGTTAAAAGATTATTCTCTCAGAAAGAGCTGCTGAACAGTAATATAATGCAAGCCATACATGTAATCTCAAATTTTCATGTAGCCACTTTTTGTTAAAAGCAAAAGCAAAAGAAAAGCCAGAATAAATGTTTTAATATATTTTAATTAAACCTATATATTTAAGATATAATTTCAGATGTAATCAATAGGAAATATTATTACTGGGGCCATTATAGATATTTTTGTCCCAAGTCTTGGAAATCTAGTATGTATTTATCCCCATCTCAATTTTGCCTTTTTCTTTCTTTTCTTTTTTTTTTTTTTTTTTGAGAAGCGGTCTTGCTCTGTAGCCTGTAGCCCAGGCTAGAGTTCAGTGGCTTGATCTCGGCTCACTTTAACCTCCGCCTCCTGGATTCAAGAAATTCTCCTGCCTCAGCCTCCCGGACTCCCGAGTAGCTAGTGTTACAGGCACACACCACTGTGCCCAGCTACATTTTTTAAGTGTTCAATAGTCACATGCGGCCTGTCCATACTTGCTGCAAGTGCAGCTTCAGTGTGTGACTTTCTCACTCTTCTTGTTTCACCTGAGCAGTCCCACCAATGAGGAAACTTTTTCTAGATGGGAGACTCTCCTGTCGTCTCGATTCAACTTCATTATCTGCATTTTATACGTTTTTGTTTATATATTTTCAATATCTTTGTTATCTACTTAGATACAGTAAAGCCCCTCCTGATGTCCTACACAGTGATTCAAACCTATAAACTTCTTGGTTAGCAAGACTGGAATTTTTCTCTTCTTCTGTCATTATCTTACCCACATATCCTCCATTATCTCAAGGTTCAATTTCTGCTTCATTTTTGAGTTCTGATGTTTTCTTTTGCTTTCTTCCTTGTTAGCTTTGCTTAAAAGGGTAGTTGTTTATCTAATCTGTCAGTTTTATGTGTTTATTAGGGAGCTTTTATATATTTTTTAAATTACTGAGATTGCTGTACTGACGAAAATCTAAAATATGTATTTTTCCTCTAATTCCCCTTGAAACCTTTCCAATCCATGCTTCACCCAGTCACAAGAGTGAACATTGACAATACAAATCTTTTAAAATATAAATCTGTTACATACTTTTCAATAGGATAGGTATCTAACTTGTTAGTTGGCATGTAATTCTTTTCATAATGCCGTCCTTGGCTACTTCTCTATCCTTCTCTTCAATTGTATTTATTTAACCTCAAACTAAATCTAACTATACAAAAGGTTTTTAGTACAAAGATGGAACACTCTTTCATGTCTCTAGACTTTTTTCTTACATAGCATCCTGTCTTCTGCCTGCAACACTCTTCTATCCCACACCCTTGTCTTCCATTTATAATGATGAAGATGAGGATGATAAATAATAACGATAATGCTCATTTGTGAGTCTGATAAAAAAAAATCACAGTACATTTGAATTTATTATTCATCTTTTGGATAACAAAATGAACCACTGCCTTTACACTCCAATTGCAACAATGTCAAAATGTTAATAAAGTCATTCTGATAGTCTGTTGTGCTTAATTTCTTACCTAAGTAACTCTATTAGACTTTAAGTTCATAGAAGGCAGAACCACACATAATCATATTCTTTCTTTAAGCCTTTACTATGTACAGTTATTGAAAAGCCTGAAGTCAGTGGTCCCTGTACCCACTACACTTTATAAGTCCAACATATATTGGTTCCTTGAATATATGACATAAAAATGGGATTCTGAATTTAAAGATTCTATAAAAATAGTTCCTCTGGGTAAATGTCTTAGCCTTGTGCATAATTTATATTACAGCAAGGTTAAAATCAATACAGCTAAGAGCCAATGCTATAAAATCTGTTATATTCTTCTTTTTTTTCTAAACTAAAACAGCATCATTGGATCATTTCAATAGCACTTGTCCATATTCTTCCATCATTATATCAACAACATATGGCTGATTCCACTGCCAGGTCGCAGCGTCATTCACCTAACATACTTCATTTTAATGGGAAAGGAAGACGATTCAAAAACATATCACAAATATACATTTAGTTAAGTTTTCCTTAGGGAGCTGTCCATACTATCCTACACAAAAAGAGGATGGAAAATGAGCAACTCACTCAATAAATTCATTTTATTGATTTCCATAAAACATAATAACTTTAATATTGCAAACAAAATATTTTAAGTGAAACCACAATTACCCAAATAGTTGCCTTATTATTAAGTAGTATGTTATAATTCACTTGAAAGTGGTTGATATTTGCTATTTTCTGCAGTAGACAATCCTCCTTTACTTTGAGGCTAGTAAGATAAAGTAGTATCAAGAATTGATAAAACATGGTAGCAAATTTTACTGTTTAAAATAAAATTTATTCTTGTTAAATCACTTTCTGTATTTTCAGATTCTCTAAATTTTAATTAATTAATTAATTAATTTGTTTTGAGACAGAGTCTCCCTCTGTCACCCAGGCTGGAGTGCAGTGGCGCAATCTCGGCTCACTGCAACCTCTGCCTTCTGGGTTCAAGCAATTCTCCCTGTCTCAGCCTCCCACGTAGCTGGGATTACAGGCACCCGCCACCACGCCCGGCTAATTTTTGTATTTTTAGTAGAGATGGGGTTTCGCCATGTTGGGCAGGCTGGTCTCGAACCCCTGACCTTAGGGAATCCACCTGCCCTGGCCTCCCAAAGTGCTGGGATTACAGGCGTGAGCCACTGTGCTTGCCCAGATTCTCTAATATTTATATGATGACTTACATAGATTAAATAAATATAAAAGCGTATCTTTCTTAAAAATTTTTAAACACTAGGACTAATAAAAATATTATACTCAAATAATTTAAATGCAGAAGATTGTACTTACAAATTATGTGAAATAGATTACTATATTTAGAAAGTGTTTTATTTATTACTTATGGGGAAGTGGTGGAAATGTGTAAAATGTCTTATCTCAGTTATGTTTCTGAAACTCTATGATCTATACACTGGTTTATGATATTGTCTTGTTTCCCTTGGACAGAAAATTCTAGTAAGTTATAAAACAATTTATAAAATACATATAAATTATATAATGTCTATTATGTAATTCTTAATTTTTATTTTCTTCGTGGCCCCCAATTTTGCAGAATATTCCAGTCTATAATCCTCTATGCTAAATTCACAAATAGTTTAATAGATTTAACAGCTCAACAGATTTTCTTTTTTAACTTGAAAAATCTAGGAAATATTTACTAATCATTCTGTTACAACATACCTGTACTAACATGATGCCATATAGTACTATTTAAAGTTGGAGGTAAGATAGTTAAAAAAATGTATTATAAACTCAAGAACATTCACTGAAATATATATTTTAAAGCAATATATGCTAAAATAGATATGCTACAAAAAAAGATAGGATGGTAAAAATTCTCAATTAAAAGCAGAAAAGGAAGAAACAGGAAAAGTAGAGACTAAGTACAATAAATATACAACAATTAGAAATATAGTAGATATTAATCTATGTATTTCAACAATCAATTTAAATGTAAATGGTCTAAATACTACCCTTAGGTCAGATTGACATAATCAACAAAAAAGATTCCACTATATATTTTCTAAAAGAAGTCCACGTATATAAAAATTCAACTTAAAAGGGATAGAAAAATATATACTGTGCTAATATCAATCAAAAGAAGACTGAAGTAGCTATATTCATTGCTGAAGAAACAGGCTTCAGAACAAGAAAAATGTTCAGAGATGAAGATAAACATTACATAATGAAAAAAGGAACCATTCTCCAAGAAGACATAGCAAACTTTAACAAACTAACAATAGAGCATCAAAACATATAAGGCAAAAGTTTATGTAATTGAAAAGGAAACTATCTACTATTATAGTTTGAGGTTTCAACACCTCTCTTGCAGTAATAGATCAAGCAGGCAGAAGATCACTACAGACACAGTTTAACCTTGCATCACTACCAATCAACTTGATCCTATTGAAATTTATAGAATATTCCATTTAACATCAGTAAAATACACGTTTTTGTCATAATTAGACTGCAGTTCTATATTTTTGGGAGAAGACCACATAGCCCCATTTCATTATGTCATATAAAGGGTACTTACTATCAACATAAATTATCGAGATGTTTACCTTGATCACCTGACTGATGTAGTCTTTGTCTGGGGTGTACACTAAAAGCTCACTCATTTTTCTTCCTTTCCATACTGTACCATTTTGAACAAAGTTACTGTGCATACCCCACACTCAGTGAGTGGAGAGTTATGCTCTATCACTGGCTCACCTTGTATTATTTCCTGTCCCAGTCCTAGAACCAGGCATTTTTCTAAGAATCTTTTCTTACTATTTTTGGGAAATGGTATTGCAGAAACCAAAATCTAGACAGTGGGTGTGCTCATTGCTACAGGATTGTCATTGCATCTAGGCTCTCTCAGCTAACAGAGCAAGGACACAAAGTTAATATAAAAAAGCCAATACTCTCCTGTGTAGTAGCAGTGAAAGAAGGATATTAAATAAAAGCTAAGGAAATCTGAATAAAGTATAGGTTTTAGTTAATAATGACGTACCAATATTGATTAATTGTAACAAAGATAACTATTTTAATGTATTACATTTAAGAATTTAATAACATGGAAACGAAGTGGAGTACATAGGAACTCTGTCTTTTTGAATTTTTCTGTAAATCTAAGTAAATCTGTTCTAAATAAAAGCAGTTTAAGAAATGATAATTCCATAGGACATTCAGTGTATTGCTAGAAATTCCATAAGTAAAAATCATTTTAAAAATAATTTTTAAATTGTAAATAATGTATTTGGGAAAGTATTGTTACAATACTTATTTATTCCCTCAAAGTAATCTCTTTTTTCCTAGGTACAGAGCTTCTCAGCTAGATTACATTTTCTTATCTCATTTCTAAGTAGTTGACTATATGTCTAAATTCTCATCAACAAAATGTTAGTAGAAAACATTTCAACAATTTCCATTTCACTTACTTAAAAGAAACTTGGCCTGGATTCACTCTTACTTTTCTTCCCGTCTGTGAATGGCTATGAAAGGAACAACCTTGAAAATCATGTTTCAAGGATGGTAGAGCCCCTAACTAATCCTGACATGACTAATTTGAGAAGATTCCAAATATATATCCTGCACATTACATAAGACAGAAATAAATTTATTTCCTGAGTCATTACAATTAGTCTCCTTTTATTTTTGTTCAGCCTTCACTCTAACTAATATAATAATGCCTTCTTATGCATTACTTTTCCGCTAATGTATCCTCCAACTCAACATCTAAGTACTCTAATGCATTTTCATAATAATGAGCATAAAATTTACAATTTACAAATTACCCAAGTGCTGTATTTATTCAGTAATTTAACAGGGACTAAATAGATTTTTATAAGGATATTTTTCAGAAATGCAAAACTTGTACACTTTTTATACCTTCAAACTCTTTTATGTAATTCTTTTATGCAGCTTTTTCTAAATTCCTTATTTCTAAATTCCTTATTCCCTATACTAAGTAATCAAGATGACCATCAGTTACTTTATGCAGTAGTAATAACAAACAGCAGTGATTATTGTGACACATTAGTTTGTTTTGCTTTATACCAAATGACTCTATATTGCTAAAATTTTTTGTTTATGCTAATTTCACCAGCAATAATCTATTATCTGGGAATCCAGAATCACATGTAATTGTCCTAACACTATTTTTAGAAAACATATTACTCTTAAAGTGGTTACAGTAAAAAAGGTATGACACCAAAATGTGTCCAAGTTAAGACTACTTTTACCAGGAGAAACTTGATACATTCACCAGTAATTAAAGAGTGTGAGATTTCGTACCTCTGTATCACAGTTTGACCAAACATTATTTATCCTTCTGGAAATTGAGCTCCATAGGCATAATACTTACCTGCTTTTATCTGTTGTGAACCAGGAATTTTGAAAGTATTTTTGAATCTTTGGAAATATTTATCTAATAATAAAAATGGTACTAGATTGAGCCAATCTCATTTTCTAATGTTCTTTTGATGATATATCTCCAACTAAAATTAAAAGATTTGTTTGTTTTGTTTTATTGATTTCATTTATTTCATGTATTTCAGTCACGTATTTATTTCCTCAACAAAAAATATAGCCACCTACTATGTGCCTGTCATATTCCTAGGTTCTGGGAATCAAAAAAAGGAAAACATGGACACTGGCTGAGACTGTTAGATGTAAGTCAATATGCATTCTTTTTTCCTTTTAATATAAAACTCCTGAGTTTTAGCTCTCCCTGGCTGCCAGCAAGCTATTACAATCTTCAGCATTTAATGTGGCAAAGTTGTGGTTATATAAACAAATTTTGGCCAGTAAGAATTCAAAAGGGGAAATGCATGCCTCGGTCATTTTTCTCAGGGCTAGCAACATAATTTTCAGGGTTCAATGCCAAATAAAAATGCAGAGTCTTGTTAAAAAATTATTACGAATTTCAAGAAAGTGACAGCAAAGTATTAAACCAATGTGGGGACCCTTCTAAATTCAGGCTCCTTAACAACCTCCTAGCTGGCACATCAATGGACCCTAACCCCTACACTCTTAATTGGAACGTGAGTTCATAGTCCTTGTACTTTCATTCCTTCCACACTTGCTGAATGCAAAAATCATGTCAGAAAGAGGTAAAGATCAAAAGATAAAAGCCAGGTATGGAATATGAAACAGCTACCTGTTATCCTTAAAGTAATTGGAGTAACAGCCAATTTCTGCATAACTATGTGAGATAGAAATACAATTCTAGCTTATGTAAGCTATTGTAATGTTTGGTTATTTTGCTATAGTACATTGTCGGATGTCAAATATTACATACATATATTTTCAACAGGCCATCATATAAATTTGACTCTATGTTATTTAGAGTCCACACAATTTAATTTTTATTATCATTGTACTTAATTTATACAGGTGTAATTAAAACTGAGTAGATAATCTCATGTAGAAAGTTATTTAAGTGGTACTACACTGCCTTTAATATGATCAAGCTTATGTTCATTGTACCCTGCTTTATAAAGATATATTTCTCTGATATTTTGTTTCACTTAATGATACACAATTTTATTAATTAATGTTGATATCAGTTATGCCAAACTATTGATACATATACAATTTGCATACTGTATACACTTCATCTGACTTCATTATTCTCATCAACATCAATATCAGAGATCATGCTGAATACATGGTATATTCTAGGGAGTAAAGAAAAAATTCCGGGGGCGGGGAGGATATGATATAACACATTATCACCCTGTTGAGGACAGTAAAGTAAAAACCTAACATACGTTTTTTCCTATCTCCTCGCACATATGGATGGATGTGTTGCAAGACTTTTCCGTAGTTCAGCTAAAGATGGTGTTCTTGTCTGTTCCACAGCCACGAAAAGAATAAAGCAGGATTTTTATTGTGTGAAAAGGGGGGAAATGGGGAAACAGAGATCCTCTGCAAGGCCAGAGTCCCCTGCTGGAGTGCTTCCTGCCCCAGCGTTGGACCCCACGTTCCACACAGGAAGAGGAGGGGACAGGCTCCTCCCTGCTGCAAATGTGTGAACTTCGGAGGCTCCACGTCAGTGAGCAGGCTGATTGGAGATTCTCCAGGGATCCCTCGCACCTGGTTGTCTCAGTCCCACCTGTAATGAAGTGCATCTAACTGCCCTTAGAATAAGGATAAGGACGAAGACTAATCTTAACTGCTTCCTGCCAAAAGGGGGCGCTGTTTGGGGAAACTGCAGTCAGAGCTCCCTCAGGGGCCTAAGGGCTCTCAGCAGTAAGGAGCCATTGTCAGAGGCTC
Organism: Homo sapiens; assembly: GCF_000001405.40. Lineage (NCBI taxonomy): Eukaryota > Metazoa > Chordata > Mammalia > Primates > Hominidae > Homo > Homo sapiens. Next base: position 190,084,639 of record NC_000001.11, on the reverse strand, counting down.
CGGTTGTCAAACTGTTTGGAGTCTGATAGCCTTGAGGAAAGAACAGACAAACCAGGTTATGAGAAAACATGTATCAAAATGAAACAAGGGGAGGGGTAAGGGCAGCTCAAAAATTCCGAGGCCTTTACCAGTTTGCACTGGGAGAGGGAGGGCAAAAGCCTGACTGGAAAAGAAAAAAAAGAAAACCTTTACCCTGGCAAGGCACAGTGCCTCATGCCTGTAATCCCAGCACTTTGGGAGGCCAAGGCAGGCGGATCACGAGGTCAAGAGATCAAGACCATCCTGGCTAACATGGTGAAACCCCGTTTCTACTAAAAAATACAAAAATTAGCTGCGCCTATAGTCCCAGCTACTCGAGAGGCTGAAGCAAGAGAATGGCTTAACCCAGGAAGGGGAGGTTGCAGTGAGCGTAGATCGTGCCACTGCACTCTAGCCCGGAGACACACCAAGACTCTGTCTAAAAAAAGAAAAAAAAAAAAAAGAGAGAGAAACAAAAAACCTTTATGCCAGCACGTTGGGTTTCTGGGTTCCCTTCCCCCGAGCCCAATCCTAAGCCAAAGAGTTTAAGGTTTTGGAAATTAACTCTTTCCAGTTTGGAGGATGCATCTGAGGGGAGTGCCCTACAGTACGGAGACATAATCACCTATCCATGTAGAGAGAACTGAGGAGGAGAAATGAAAAAGAAGGCATTTTTTCAAAGGAGTCCCAGGGGTTCAGGACGCAATCCAAAGGGATACAGACTTAAGATGAATGACTGTGCATCTAGAAAGAGGGGAGTGGGCATTCCCGGTTCTCTTCTCTTCTTAAAAGATATCCTGGGTACATGAGGGAGAGAAGGAAGAGCTTCCTCTCTCCTTCTTCCATCCTTGCATACTAAGGAAATCCTTCCTCATTGAAATGAGCAGAGTGAGGGTAAGAGAAAAAAGATACAATGAGACAATAATAATTTTAAAAGGCTTGAATCATATTTCTCCTTAGTCAAATTCTGCTATGATATACATCAATACCTTGGTACAATATCAGAATGTGTGAGAATTTAAAAGGATTACATTTGGGGCTAAAAACATTTCATTTGTTTTCCCAGAGGCATTATAGATATGTCTCTGTCTTCACAAAATCTAGTGAAAACTATAAATTTCGAATTAGCATCTAATGCTCTGTTCAAACAAGACACAGAAATAAAAAGTGGTTTCATTTTACTTGCTTAGAAAATTTTCCATTTTGTATAAGTTTACTTATTTCTAAACTTTTACTAAATAACACAGCCATACAAAGGAGCTACAGAACATAGATTTCCCATTTTCATTTGGTACATATTGCCTACTATTTTTTAAACTAAGCAAAATATTATGCCTTCAAGAGGATGGCCATCTATTGATGATTTTGAATTTCTTTTTACATAAACAAACAGATACCACAACATATTCTTAGCTCTAACTGTAGATAAAAGAGAATGCTTTCTATCTGTTTTATCATCTTATAATAGCCTGTACTTCCAATAAAAGCTTAAAATATGGTATGAGAATGCTACTCTTTGTTATATTGAGTTAAAAAAATATTTGAAAAGTTCAGAGTGTGAAGAGTGATATTATCTCAGCTGCAAATTTTCAGCAGACATTAAACATTCAGGATTGCTAGATAGCAAGCTAAATAAGTCAGTTTATTCAAGCTAATGAAAAAGGATGTTTCACAGCCTGCAGCACTGACATTTGAATCACCACTGGCTACATAGAGCTTAAAACCTAGGGCTTTGTTTCAATGGTCAGGAAACTTCAAAGAGAACTCTAATTGGAATGAGAGAAAAATAGAGTAAATTAATTGGCAATTATACTTGTGGAAATAATGGAACAATAAAGCAGAACTAAATTCTACCTGGTAGATAAGTGATTTGGTTGCTTTAAATAAAGTTCAAATTAGCATTCTTTTAAAATAATTTGTAGAGGTTGTAAGGTGATAATATTTGCTCATTCATATTATATATTAAAGTGGAGACTTTATAATTGAATAAAATAAGTGGTAGAAAGGGTATTGTTTCTACCTGAAATGAGAATAGACATTACCAGCAAACTATTTTTATTACTTAAAGTAACTCTAACAGCATCTACCAGAACATCAGACATAAAATATGCAGAAAACGTGGATTCAAAATTCAATAAATAACAGTGACTGCCATTATCTATCAGCAATTAGTTTGTTTATTTTGTTGTTGTTGTTGTTTAAACTTACATGCCATCTTTTAGTGCCTCAAAGGAAGTAAAACCCGGCTAAGAAACCTATTCGTTATGGCAAGGTTGTTTTAATATATAGCAACATTCCAATTACTTAAATAAATGGAAATTTACTTTTTGCTCATGAAAAAATGCAATGTGGATGTGGGTGCAAGCCTGGTTTATACTCCAGGCTCCTTCTGTCTTGAGGCTCCATTAGTCCCTATGCCTTGAAATTCTTTGGATCAAGTTGGTTAACAAAATCTACATTTGGAGAAGGCACTCATACTCTTTAAACTCCTTAGCCAGAAAATGACTGTGAAGTTAGGGAATAGACCACAAAACCACCCTCATTTCTAATAACACCTGCAGAGTCCGGTGGTCCCCAAGACTACCCTCGAGTTATATTACTTACTAGAAGTACTCACAGAAGTCATTGAAAATGGTTATAAGCAGAGTTGTGGTTATAAAAGTGAAAGGATAAAATACAATGAAGGGAACAAATGCATGGGACAAAATCTAGAAATGTTCTGTGTGTGGGGCTTCCTTTACTTCTCTTCCAGTGGAGTCATGGACAGTGCTTAACTAGAATCGATTTGTGACAATATGCGTAGAGTATATAGCCTCCAGTGAAGCTAACCCAAGTCTTAGTGCCTAAGTTTTAACTAGAGCCTGGTGACATGGACTTGGTTTACCAACTATGTGGCTGACTTTTGTCTCCAGTTTCTCTGCAGGTCAAGCTGATACCATAGGACCCAAAGACTTCACCTTTTATCACATTGTTAGATACCTGGTGTGGCCAAAAGTTTTCAGGTTAAACGAAGACATATTCTTCCCGCAGGATATTCTAAGGGTTTAGAGATTACCTCAGCAGCCAATGGGAAAGGTCAGACTTTTCTCTGGGCAAGGTAAAATCTTCCCATACAAAGTAATTTACACCATTGCTACTAATATTTATTTGGTGAGAAATAATCACATAATGCCATCTAAACACAAGGGAGGTTGGAATGTGGGGTCCTTCACTGAATTGTTGATTCTCAGCAACAACTATACACAATGGAAAACGGAGCATACATCTCTAGGGACAGCCAACAATCTCTGGAACAAGGTAGCTTTCTGTAATCCAGTGATTCTCAAATTAAGATTTATACAAACTTGTGGTGGCTTCATGGAAGTGTAGCTGAAGATACGTAATTTCATTGAGAAAACAGGCTTTATATTCTTTCTTTTCTATGGCAATCTTAAAAATTATACTCTCAATCTTTAAAATCACAAAAATTGCTAATATGTGTTGAATGCATACTACATGACAGGCAATGTTCTAAGCACTTTACAGGTATTATTCATTTAATCCTCAGAACCCCCGTAAGAGACGAGAACCCGCAGCAACTAAATGAACCTGGATTGCAACTCAGACACTTGTCCTACAAGCTCTTGCTGTGAAACTTAGATCTTTTTGGTCTGAAATATTATTTTTGCCAATAGATTTATTTGTGTCTGCCCTTACATATAACTTGATAATTTTAACAAAAAATATTTTGAAATAGTGAACTCATCTCTAACTCCTGGAGATTGTGTTGCCCTGCTGCATCTGTTAGAATCATTTAAGGTACAAGTAACAGAGGAACAAACACAAACTGTTTGAAATAATAAGTCAATTTTCTGGCTCACTTATCAGAAATGGTAGTGCTAGTGTGGACTTCAAGACTATCTCATTTCATTGGCTTTGACTCCATTTCCCTGTAAATTGGTCTTCGGTATGTTATCCCCCTCCTCAGGCTATTAGTACAATTACTAAAGCAATTTCAAAACTCACATTCCTAAATAGCAATAGCAAAAAAGAGCGAGAGTCATTCCTGAATCTTTCATTAAAGAACAAAAAAGAAATACGCAGAATACTCAAAAAACTCCATTTTCATTTTTCTGAATTATTTTAAATGGTAACTTTAATCCAGTGCTCTCCGAAAATATATATTCATCTATTGGAATTGCTTAAATAGTTATTCATTGAAGAATGTATGAGCCATTTCACTAGCTGAACCCATTTGACTTTTCAAAATAACTGAAGAGCTTCATGTTATTGAGGACCTGTTATGGACTGAACTGGGTCCCCGAAAATGTATATGTTTAAGCCCTAACTCAACATCATGACTAATTTGAAGAGGATATAATATTAAATGAGGTCAAAAGGTGAAGGCATAATTCAATATGAGTACTGTCCTGTTAAAAAGATTCAGGAGCAATCAAAACTGCTGACACCCAGATCACCATAAGTATCCTGTCCCATAAGAATAAACCACCAATTACACCAGCCAACACTCATACCTGGTCAAGATAATCTATATTTAGGGGCACTGAATTATCAAGGGAATAAATATAAAATGTAATACCAAATAAAGATGGGCTCCACCTAGTGTCTCCCACATAGCCAGTGTAATGCAATTTAGTCTTGTTCTAGGATACTTAAACAAAGACTTATCTAGAATCTATAACTAATTAATTATTTAAACAAACCAGAAATGCTACTTGCTTGAGTAGACATCACTTCCAGTAAATTTATGCAGAACAAATCTTTTAAATATTTTAACCTTAAAATGAAGCAAAATATTAAATATTCTCATGTTTTACTTTATATTTGATGATATCTTAAACAGCTGTGTTCCATAGGACTTTGTAAATAACACCAAATGATTTATAAGAATGAATGAAATCCTATTATCGAGTTATAATTAATCATTTGAAAACAGTCAAGCATATTTATAGACACATAATACATTCACAGCCTACAAAACTCAATTACTATGGCATATAGTTCTTTATTAGTAATTTCTGTGCAGACATTCTGCTTCATCAGCAGAGGTTTTGCTGATTTTTTTCTTTGTGTCCCATGATGGTTTGTTCAAGACCGACTTTTCTCTGGACAGTTTATTTCTGGTAAATAATTGTATCTCTACACCTGCAGCTTTCAAAAAAGTTGAAAAATTTTTTTTGAGGAGAATTGGATCAACAATGTGTATACTTTTATCAAAATGTGTCTTTCATTCTGGAAGATTGTAAGTCTTTGGCACTCGTGTTCTAAAATTTCACAGCAATGATTCTGCTTTGGTGTCTCTGCTGTGCACTTGAAGAACTTCTGCAGTATGCAGATATTCAGAAGCATGATATTCAAGCTTGTAAGTTTTCTTATTTTTTAGTTCATAACTATTTCCCCTCTTGTTTCTCTTCTTTCTCTCTTTCTGTCATCATTTTTTTCAACTGGGTAACTGGGGTGAATTAGTGTAAGGTAGAAGTGGGGAGGGTTGATAATTTTCTTTATAACCTAATATGATAACAGACATCTATAGGACAGAATGAGTCTGAGGTTTGGGGATAAAATCACTGAATAGAATTTAAAAACTCTGTCTCGTATTTTCAAAAAAATAAATATCAAAATAATAAGAATTATGTATAATAGCCTTTCAGTGAATTACAGAAACTGTGTCCTTAATTTATAATGTTATGAAATTTTCCAACATAAGCAGTGCTTAAAGGGGTTTGTTAGGTTAAAAGGTTGGTACTATAAAGACCTAATTAGTGTGCACAGCAGGTAGAAACCCAGCATGTGTTCTGAGAATTAGGTAATGGAAATAAATAGTGGCCATGATACAGGAGAATATTACTTTTAAAAATCAATTTGCTAAAACAATTGCTAAATGCTTTATGGGGGAACTGTTTTAATGTTATGCTTCCAGATGACATATTTTACCCATATTTCTCCTGTATTTCCTGATTTTTGGACATAGTATATTTATTGTACTTCTTTCAAATTAACAATTAGACACATTGTATTGAATTTAGAGGTATTTCACCTAAGAAGAAAAAGAATAAGTCATTAGTCATTGAGTTTTTGACTAATATTATCTTTATAAACAAGCTTATTCTGTTTCTAGCATGAAAAACAACCTATAAGATGGCTACATGCCATACTATCAATTACATGCTCTATCTTAATTTTTTTATTACATGCCACAAAAGTTATTTTTTTAGAAAAGCTTGTGTGTATTTCTGATTATGTCATCAGACTACATTTTTAGAAGTAGAATAGCTAGATTAAAATGTGTAAATGTATCAGTGACTTTTCACATATACAGCAAAAATTGACCTTCAGAAATACAATATTACTTTTCACTCTCAGTGAAATTTATCTAAAAACTTTTACAATATTAGTTGTTATCTTTAATTACAATTTTAAAATTCAATAAAAGCAATTTTTTTAAAAAAATATAACTTTATAAAGCTAAAAGCTTAGTAATTATTTAATGTGATCATTTTATTTCATTGATGTGGTGACTGTGTTCAAAATAATTAATTGAAATGAGTAGTTATAAATTCCTGAAGACACAGAGGCATACCTGAAATCTAGATTTTTTTGAAATACTCTAAGTTGCAGTATTTTCTTGATATCAATCTTTTATAGCATTTCAAATGTCATGTGGTACCTTGTAGATATCTTAGAATTACAAATGAGGTAATATTCTAGACCATTGTCAAGAAAATGCTGTATTTTCACAGCTAAAATTGATTTGTTGTTATATCTATCATAGCTGACAACTTGAGAGAACATCTTCCTTAAGCTAAGAAAAATTAAAATTGTTTTCCCAGAAGTAACTGATGATAGTTGAGAATGAACTTTACTTAAAAAGCTAATAAATCTGATTAGATATTTATGAATATAATTAGAAAAAATTATTTGAGATATCTGAATATGATCTATATATATAAGCTAAGAAGTAATTTGACTGTTTCCTTTAAAGAGTTATGGTTTATTATAGACATTGTATCAAGCTAATAAATTTCCAATTCTCAGCTTTGTTCACACTCCCAGACCTGAATCAAATCAACATTCTTATCTATTTTAACTGTAATCCTTGCCCATGCTTCTATTAAATATTTCAGTATTTCTTAAAAGACATTTTGATGTTATATCGTTTTCCATGAACATTAATGCAGATTCACTTTTAAATTTGGTATAATCTGTTTTTTTCTTACCTTACTCCCTTTTGCTAATTCTTTTCCTCTTCATTTTCTATCCCTTTAAAGTACCCATATACTTCATGCTTATAAACAGGTACACACATGTGTGCACACCAACATGTGTACACATATAAGGTATTTTTAAAAATATTTTACAAACATTGGGTTATTTCATATAAAACTTTACTTTTCTCAATAAACAATATAACATAAATTATTATTACCATCTAATAGAAAAAGGATGTGATTGATCTTTGTCTAAATCTTGTAAATATTATCCTTGAATTGCATGGAGACTACATCACTTTGCCCACATTGAACCAGAACCACCATACCTTGGGCAAACAGACCCACGTACTGGTGAATATTTTCCCTTAAGAAAACTAGTCTATAAAGTTTAGAAGAGATGACTACTTGACAGATGTACACACATTAGTGCAAAGACATAAAAAAACATGAAAAGGCAAGAAAAAAAAAACGCCACCAAAGAAACACAGTAATTATCCAGTAGCTGACCCTCCAAAAATGGAAATTTGTAAAATGCATAAAAAGAAATTCCAAATAATGATCTTAAAAAAACTAAGTGAGATATAAGAGAATACAAATAGATTAGTTCATGATATCAGGGAAACAACTAATGATATGAATAAGAAATTTAACAAAGAGATTGATGTTATAATAACAAACCAAACAGAAAGCTTGGAGCTAAAGCATTCAATCAATTAAATAAAAAAATAAAATAGAGAAACAGACTAGATCAAGCAAAAGAAATAATTCTATACTTTAAAACATTTTTTCTCAAATAACTCATCCAGAGAAAAGAATGAAAAAAAAAAGTGAAGATGGACTGTGAGATTTATGGAAGACCATTAGTCTAACAACTATTTGTATTTTGGGAGTTCAAGAAGGAGAAAAGACACAAAAACAGAAAGAAAGCTAATTCAATGAAATAATTGCTGAAAGCTGTCCAAGTCTTGGAAGAGACATGAACAACCGGATGTATGATGCTTAAAGGTTTCTAAACAAGATGCAACACAAAAGAAGTCCTCTCCAAGGCACATTATAATCAAACTGTCAAAAATCAAAGACAAAGAGAGAATTTTATTCTATAAGCAAACTTCGTAGAAATATTTCAGGCTAGGAGAGAATTGAAGATTATATTAAAAGTGTTGAAAGAATAGAAAAATGGCAGCCAAGAACACTCTAGCCAAAAAAGCTGTCCTTGAGAAATGAGAGAAAATAAAGTCTTTCCCAGACAAGCAAAAGCTGAAGGAATTCATCACATTAGACCTGCCCTGCAAGAAATGCTGAAGGGAGTTATTCAAGTAGAAATTAAAGGGCAATAATTGCTATCATAAACACACATGAAACTACAAACTCACTGGTCCAGGTAAATATATAATAAAATCCAGAATACTACAATACTGTAATGGTAGAGTGAAAACAATATATATCTCTAGAATAAAAATTAAATGTAAAAATAGTTAATAAATAAATAAAAACTAAAGCTACGATGCCATAATAAGTTGTTAAGAAATACACAATTTAAAAGATGCAAAGTGTGAAATAAAGACATAAACTCTGGAAGGAGAGTAAAGTCTAGAGTTTTTGTATGCAGAATGTACATGGGTATATTTTATGATGCTGTGGTTTGCATGATTATTGACCCTGTCACCCAGGTGGTGAGCATAGTACCCAATAGGTGGTTTTTCAACCTTTGACCCTCTTCCACTCTTCCAGCCAGTAGTCCCGTGTCTTTCGTTGCCATTTTTATGTTTATATGTACCCAATGTTTAGCATTTACTTATAAATAAGAGCATGTGGTCTTTGGCTTTCCGTTCCTGCATTAATTAGCTTAGGATAATGGCCTCCAGCTGCATCCATGTTGCTGAAAATCACATTAATTTTATCCTTCTTATGGCTGCATTGTAGTCCATGGTGTGTATGTGCTACATTTTCTTTATCCCATTCATTAGTGGACACCTAAGTTGATTCCATGTCTGCTATTATGAATAACACAGTGATGGACATACAAGTGTATGTGTCTTTTTGATAGAATGATTTATTTTCTTTTGCATATATACCCAGCAATGGGATTACTATATGAAATGGTAGTTCTGTTTAAGTTATTTGAGAAATCTTCAAGCTGCTTTCCACAGTGGCTGAACTAATTTACATTCACACCAACAGTGTTTAAGTATTTCCTTTCCTCCATAATATCACCAGCATCTGTTGTTTTTTGACTTTTTAATAATAGCCATTCTGACTGGTGAGAGATGGTGTCTCATTGTGGTTTTGACTTGCATAAAGTGATGTGGGGCATTTTTTTACATTTGTTGTCTGTTTGTATGTATTATTTTGAGAAGTGTCTGTACACAATTATTTTGAGAAGTGTCTGTACATATTTTTGCCCACTTTTTTCTTTTTCTTTTTTCTTTTTTTTTTCTTTTTTCTTTTTCTTTTTTTTTTTTTTTTACAGGCTCATGATTTTTTGCCCAGGCTGTTGCTTGGTGCAACTTCAACCTCCTGGGCTCAAGCAATCCTCCCTCTTCAGGCTGCCAAGTAGCGGGGACTACAGGAATGCACCACCACACATGGCTGATTTTTAATTTTTGTTGGAGATACAGGGTTACCCTATGCTGCCCAGGTTAGTTACAAACTACTGGTCTCAAGTGATCCTCCTGCCTTGGCCTCTCAAAGTGTTGAGATTACACCACTGTGCCTAGCTTCTTTTGCTCACTTTTTAATGGGGTTAATTGAGTTTTTTCTTATTGCTCCTTATAGATTCTGGATTTTAGGACTTTGTCAGAAGCATACTTTATGAATATTTTCTTTCATTCTGTAGGTCGTCTGTTTACTCTGTTGATCTTTTTTTTATTGATTGATTGATTTATTGATTTTTGTTGTTCTTTGGTTTAATTAGGTCCTACTTGTCAACTTTTGTTTTTGTTTCCATCACTTTGGAGGATTTAGTTATAAGTTTGTTTCCATGGCTGATGTACAGAATGATGTTTCCTAGATTTCCTTCTAGGATTCTTATAGATTATGCTTGTACATTTAAATCTTTAATCCATCTTGTGTTAATTTTTGTATATGGAGAAAGATAGAGTTCCAGTATCACTCTCCTGCATGTGCCTGGCCAGCCATCTGAACACCGTTTATTGAATAGGTAGTCCTTTCCCCATTGCTTGTTTTTGTCAACCCTGTCAAAGATCAGATGGCTGCGGTGTACAGCTGTATTTCTTGGTTGTCTGTTCTGTTCCATTTATCTATGTGTCTGTTTTTGTGCCAAAGCTGTGCTTTTTGATTACTGTAGTCTTATAGTAATGACCTGACAGAACAATAAACTAAGAAAACAATCACTGTATGAAAGCTTAAAAAAATAAAATATTCAAAAATAAATTTAATCAAGGAGAGGAAAATATGTACACTGAAGACTATAAAGATTGATGAAAGAAATGGAAGAATACACAAATTAATAGAAAGATATTCCATACTCATGAATCAGAAAATTACTATTAATAAAATGTCTATGCTACACAGAGTATTATACAAATTCAACACAATTCCTATCAAAATGCCAATGTCATTTTTTACAAAAATTAAAAATATATATAGAATCTGTATGGAAACCTGTAAGACCCCCACATAGCCAAAATAATTCTGAGAGAAAAACAAATCAAAGTGAGAAGTATTATATCTTTTAATTTGAAATTATATTACAAGAAATCATATTACAAATTATAGTAAACTAAACAGTATGGTACTGCCATAAAAACAAACACATAGACCAATGACACAGATTAGGGAGCTAAAAAATAAATCCAAGTATGTAAGGTCCAAATAATTTATGACAAGGGATCTAAGAGGACACAATGGGGGAAAGAATACTCTCTTCAATAAATGGTGCTGGAAAAACTGGATTTCCACATGCAAAATAATAAAATTAGAATCTCACCTTACAACATGCACTAAAAACAGACAATGAATAAAAATATCTAAATTTAAGACCAGAAACTGCAAAACTCCTAGAAGAGAACACAGGGGAAAAGCTCCTGGATATTGACATTAGCAATATATATATTTTTTGATATAATGCCAGAAGCTCAGGCTACAAAATCACAAATAAATGAGTCTATATTCAAACTAAAAAGCTTCACAGCAAAGAAAACAATCAACAAAATGAAATAGCTTACAGATTGGGAAAAATATATTTGAAAACCATATGTCTGATAAGGGGTTGATATCCAAAATTCATAAGAAACTCACAATAAAGAGTAGAAAAGCAAATGGACTTTAAATTGGACAAAAGACATACAAAGAAGAGCTGGTAGCATTCTTATAGAAACTATTCCAAAAAAATTGAGGAGGAGGGACTTCTGCACAAGTCATTCTATGAGGCCAAAATCTGGCAAAGAAACAACAACAACAACAATAATTTCAGGCCAATATCCTTGATGAACATCTGTGCAAAAATTATTGACAAAATACTTGCAAACCAAATACAGCAGCCTAACAAAAAGCTAATCCACCATGATCAAGTAGGCTTCATCCTCAGGATGCAAATTTTGTTCAACATATGCAAATCAATAAATGTGATTCATCACATAAACAGAACTAAAGACAAAAACTACATGATTATCTCAATATATGCAGAAAAAGCTTTGATAAAATTCAACATCGCTTCATGTTAAAAACTATCAATAAACTAGGTATTGAAGGAACATACCTCAAAATAGTAAGAGCCTCTGTGACAAACCCTTAACCATCCTTATCTTGAATGGGCAAAAGGTAGAAGCATTCTCCTTGAAAACCAGGACAAGACAAGGATGCCCTCTCTCACCACTTATATTCAACATAGTATTGGAGGTCCTAGCCAGAGCAATCAAGCAAGAAGAAACAATAAAGGGCATCCAAATAGGAAGAGAGGAAATCAAACTATCTCTATTTGCAGATGCATGATTCTATATCTAGAAAACCTCATAGTCTCATCCCATAAGCTCCTACACCTTATAAACAACACCAGCAAAGTTGCAGATACAAAATCAATATACAAATATTACTAGCATTCCTGTATATCAACAACAACCAAACCAAGAGTCAAATCAGAAAGGTGATACCATTCAACTTGTCACAGAAAATAATAAAATACCTAGGAATACAGTTACCCAGAGAGATGAAAGATCTCCACAATGAGAATTAGAAAACACTGCTCCAAAAAAAATCAGTTAAGACATAAATAAATGGAAACACATCCCATGCTTATGGATAGGAAGAATCAATATGATTAAAATGGCTATACTGCCCAAAACAGTTGGCAGATTCAATGCTATTCCTATCAATCTACCAATGATATTCTTCACAGACCTAGAGAAAAAATTTTAAATTAATACGGAACCAAAAAAGAGATTGAATAGCCAAGGCAATCCTAAGCAAAAAGAACAGAGCTGGAAGATTCACATTACCCTATTTCACACTATATTACAGGGCTACAGTGACAAAAACAGCATAGTACTGGTACAAAAACAGACATATAGACCAAGGAAACAGAATAGAGAGCCCAGAAATAAGGCTACACATCTACGACCATCTGATATTTTGACAAAACTGACAAAAGCAATAGGGAAAAGATTCCCTATTCAATAAATGGTGCTGGGATAACTGGTTAGGTATATGCAGAAGATTGAAGCTGGACTTCTAAAAATCAACTCAAGATGGATTAAATACTTTAATGTAAAACCCAAAACTATAAAAACCCTGGAGGAAACCCAGGCAATACCATCCATAGAAACAGTCAAAGATTTCATGATAAAGACACCAAAAGCAACTGCAACAAAATAAAATATTGACAAATGGGGTCTAATTAAACTTAAGAGCTTCTGCACAGCAAAATAAACTATCAACAGAGTAAACAGACAACCTACAGAATGGAAGAAAATTTTTGCAAATTCCTATGCATCTGACAAAGGGCTAATATCTAATATTATTAAGGAAAAAAGAAAAACAAATAATTTCATTAAAAAGTGGGCAAAGGACGTGAACAAACACTTCTCAAAAGAAGGCATACATGTGGCCAAGAAGCATATGAAAAAAAGCTCAATATTGCTGATCATCAGAGAAATGCAAACCAAAACCAAAATGAGATACCATTTGATGGAGTTAGGCTTTGTGCTCCCACCCAAATCTCATCTTAAATTGTAATCCCCATAATCCCCATGTGTCTGTGGCAGGTCCAGGTGGAAGTAATTAAATCATGCGGCAGTTTCCCCCATGCTATTCTCCTGATAGTGAGTTCTCAATAGATCTGATGGTTTCATAAGCACCTGGCATTTCCCTTGCTTACACTAACTCTGTCCTGCCACCCTGTGAAGAACGTGCCTACTTCTCCTTTGCCTTCCACCATGATTATAAGTTTCCTGAGGCCTCCTCAGCAATGCGGAACTGGGAGTCAATTAAACTTTGTTCACTTATAAATTACCCAGTCCTGAGTATTTCTTTATAGCAGTGTAAGAATGGGCTAATACACCATCTCAACGCCAGTCAGAATGACTAATATTCAAATGTCAAATAACAGATGCTGGCACGGTTGTGGAGAAATAGGTACCCTTATACACTGTTGGTGAGAGTGTAAATTAGTTCAACCATTGTGGAAAGCAATACAACAATTCCTCAAAGAACTGAGTATATACCTAGAGTAATATAAAGCATTCTATCATAAAGACACATCCATGTGAATGTTCACTGTAGCGCTATTCACAATAGCAAAGATATAGAATCAACCTAAATGCCCATCAATGATAGACTGAATAAAGGAAATTTGGTACATATATGCCATAGAATATTATGCAGTCATAAAAAAGAATGAGTCATATCTTTTGCGGGAACATGGATGGAGCTGAAGGTTATTATCCTTAGCAAATTAATACAGCAACAGAAAACCAAATACTGCATGTTCATCGTTATAAGTGGAAGCTAAATGATAACAACTTAAAAACACAAAGAAGGAAACAACAGACACTGGGTTCTATTTGATGGGGGAGGGTAGCAGGAGGGAGAAGAGCAGGAAATATAACTACTGGGTACTGAGCTGATTATCTTGTTGATATAATAATATGTACAACAAACCCCTATGACACATGTTCATGGGTGTAGCAAGAAACCTTCACATGTACCCACAAACCTAAAATAAAAAATAATAAATAAAAGCAGGGACATGGATGAAGCTGGAAACTATCATCCTCAGCAAACTAACACAGGAACAGAAAATCAAACACCGCATATTCTCACTCGTAAGTGGGAGTTGAACATTGAGAACACATGGACATGGAGAGGGGGACAACACACACCTGTTGGGTGGTGGGGGTGAGGGGAGGGAAAGTGGAGGATGGGTCAATTGGTAGAGCAAACCACCATGGCACACATATACTTATGTAACAAACGTGCACGTTCTGCACATGTATCCTTTTTATTTTTAAGAAGAAATAAAGAAAAGAAAGAAAAATCCTAACACCAGAAAAAAAAAGTGAAATAAAATAAAATGAACAAAAGATCAGAATAGGTATGTCTTTTCAAAAGACACAAAAACGGCACATACATGAAAAGGTTCTCAACATTATCAATCATCAGGAAAATGTAAATTAAAAGCACTATGATATACCACCTCATACTCATTCGGATGGCTATTATCAAAAAATACACACACAAACACACACACAGAGATAGAGAGAAAGAGAGAGAGAGAGCGAGACATAGATAGAGAGATGTACAGAAGGGTTCCAACATATTTATCTGTGGAAACATTCTAAATATGAATGTGCTTGGCTAAACTGATCAATTAAACATTTTGACAAATTATTTGGTATACTCTGGATATACCACTTTAATTTCTTTTTCACTATTTTAAAAAAATCTAAAACTATTTCATGGACAGTAATGGTAATAGGTTTTATGTCTCCCAGGGAAGTGTCTTTGTGACTTGTTTTTTGTATAAAGTGGCACTTAATCTCTCAGCTTAATAAGTTTAATAAAACTTAATGAAACATCTTGAAACCTAATGAAGCACTTTAAAATGCAAAACAAAGGAAAATAAAGATTGGCTCACTACTAACCAAAAAATACATATGTAAGTTTGGGGGATGGAATGTGGATAGAGCATAAATCTAAAATAAGGATTATTTATAAGAAATTTAAAGTTTACTTGACAACATATGTAATGCTCACCCCCATAATTAAGAGAAAATAGTTCTCTAATATATTTTGAATTTATGTACACTTATATATAAATATGCTTTTATGTTAAATTTCATAATGCTGCTACATTTAAAAGCTCTTTTGTACAAAATTACACTGAATAAATAACTGCTGTATAATGTGTTAGATTCAAAATGAGAGTAGAAGTCTAAGAAGCTTATGGACAGCAGAATGTTAGGGATGTCAGAGTACTGCAGAAACCAAGGCTCAGCTAAAAGCTATCGACATTATTACAGAGCTTAAAATCCTGTTTCATGGTCCATTCTACAGATCAGAGTTTCAAACAATCTCTCTTTGTTAAAGCATCTCTGTTAGATATAACTTAAAAATTTAGTGCCACATTAAATAAGTAAGTAAACAGATACAGTGAACATTGATAATAAAGCTAAATTCAGGTAAAATGTACTCTAAAGTCATTTGACTTATACAAAACCTTAATAAATCAGCGTAAAGTCAGTAAAAAGTTGTGATGTATTTTGAATTACAAATTTTTGTAAAGTAAGAATAATTCCTAAATCAACAAACCAGATCACCAAAGTATCTGAGAGTTGAATATGTTGTTTTAATAAAAATGTTATAATTAGGGACATGCTGTGAATATTTTAACATTAATTACTCATTGTGCTTCTGAAGATGAGTCAGACAGGGCTTGAGCCCCAGGGTTGCCACTGATGGGCAGTGTGACCATGGTAAATCGCTTAACGTCTCAAATGCTGGCATCCTCTTTGGAAACATGAGAACTATAAATATGTCACCCACCTACATTGTTGTTTGAGGCATCACATAAATAATATAAACACAATACTTTTTAACTGAAACAGAATGTACACAATTTGGTTGCTATTCTTGATAGTATTATTTTCTCCTTGCTCTGCATAGTAGCCAAATATATGTGATGCATTTCAAGATATTGTGGAGCAATTAAAAACATGTTTATTTATTGGCTTTGTAAACACATTATCTCTTTATGAACAGATAGAGACTAAAATATTACTGCACTGCCTTCTAATAAATTACTCAGCACCATTGGTTCTTAATTCAGGTTGTCAGCAAGCATTATCAATCTTTGTCTCTATATTTCTTTCTATTTATACCATGGAAATTTAGTAAATGCAAAGTTGAACCATAATCATTGAGAATGAGAAAGAACTTTATAAAAACATTGGGAGTGATTGCAGTAGTGCTCAAAAATAACCTCTCAAATTTTCACTGCTATGAGGATGTATACTTCCCCACCCATGTGATTGTGGGTTTGGCCATGCAACTTGCTTTGCATAATAGAGAGAAAATGATGTTAACTAAGGATCAAAGTGCACCTGAGTAATTTGTCTAGCTTGTTGGTTTGGGTCATCAACCACGAGACAAACATCGTCCTGGCAATTGCTGTTATTTCAGCCTGAGACACTCACTTCAGACACGTGAAACAGAACTGAACCCCACAAAAGCCTGGGACAATCCCTGATGACTCACAGCCTAAGGCAGAGTCATGTAGCCAAGCATAGCCTACATCAGCCAAAGTTTAGCAATTGACTTGTATATGTACAAGCATAAAGTAAATGCTTGATATTTTAAGACTTTGCACCTTAAAATAACTGTTACTGCACATAACTGCAACAACAGCTTGTTAACACAAACAACTAAATTCAAAAGTGGATTTAAAATTTAACATATAGAAGATAAAGTTATGTGTTGGAAGATAATTATTTGAGGGTCTAATATTTCTGCACATCTTGTGAGCAGAGGCGTCCATAGCTTTTGCTCCAGACTAGAATTCCAGGGATGTTTGTATAGCAACCAGCTTTGGAAGATAAAAGTTTTATTCCAGAACAGAAAGCAGGATTGTCTGCTGTCTGGTAATATTAAGGTAATGTCTTTCTGAGGCAAAGGTTAGGCAAGGTTTCTGCCCATTACAAAATATTTTGATTCTCTAAGCCCAGAGTTCATCTCTTGTAACAAAAGCCATTGTGCATTCAATCCTTGTGTGGCCTTTGTCAAGTATTCTTGTGGGAATTTGAGCTCCAGAATCAGCATGTGAAAATAAGAATATTTTGACTACTGCTATTTATTTGAATAATAAACTGTCTGCTGCTCCTAAAAGTCATGTCTTTTTACACCATCTAAGAAATAGTGGCACACTAAGTTGTTAATTTGCAAGTAGAGTAAAATCTCAGGCCCTTTATAGTCTTGACAACATGATCAAGATGCAATAATTAGAGAAAGGGTCTGCTCTAGACACTAGATCTTGAAACTATACTGATTAAAGACAAATAAAACACATAGCTGTCATAGTTTTCTCTTTGTAATTAATCAAGACATTAAGAATAACTGAAAGGTCAATATATTATAACAAATTAAATGTTAAACTTAACTATACATATACACATATATATATAATGAACTCCTACATATATGAGTTCATGTAAGAGCCCTAGAAGGCAGTTTGAAATTTTACCTGAAAGAAACCTGATAATTTTCAAGTACTCATTGTTTAAGGAGAATCCTCAAATAAACTTGCTTAATCAGCTAGTATTTTATATTAGTAAACTATACAAAAGTAAATATTTATTATATTCTAAAAATCAGATCCAATGGAGTATTAATAGTTGCCAATTTGTATGCATTTGCTGAGGTTTGGGAATGAGACAGACAATATTTAATTAAAATACCAAGTTCAACAGCAATTTAAAATTATAAGCTGCAGTATTATATTTCATTAAACAATCAGCCTCAAAGGTTTCAAATAAGGTATATGCTAAAAGGAAAAAAGTAAAAAGCTATTGTGTGCCTGTGTATACTTACTGACAAAAGTAATAAAGTGTGTAGTTGGCATTGCCAGCTAAAGATTTCCTCTGTTGTATCTAATTTAATTCTACATCTTAAGCTTTTTTTTTTCTTTTTTTGGCCTGTGCTTTCTGTTGGAATATAGCTTTTCTCCACATGGAATGTCATATTTGACAACTTAGAGATCTGTTGAGGCAACTGCTCCATATTTTGTGTTAGACACAACACCAGTGCTATTTCTCTGCATGATAAATGACTGTTACTACGAACGCCATCAAATAAAAGATATAGTTGTGGGGTGTATGTTCAAAAGCCCACATTTTGGAGATGGAAAAAAATGATGTTTTTGATTCATTGCCTATGTGAATAGACACAGGCATACCTTGTTTTATTGCACTTCACTTTATTGTGCTCCACAGATATTGTGTTTTCTACAAACTGAAGTTTTGTGGTAACTCTGCTTTGAAGCAAGTCTATTAGCACCATTTTTCTAATATTATGTGCCCACCTCGTGTCTCTGTGTCACATTTTGGTTATTACCGCAATATTTCAAAGTTTTCCTTATTACTATGTATATTATGGTGACCCATGACCACTTATCTTTGATGTTATTATTGTAATTGTTTTGGGGTGCCATGAAACATGCCCATATAAGAGGGTGAATTTCATCGATAGATGTGTGGGTTCTGACTATTCCACCAACCAGTCATTTTCCCCCTCTCTCCTTCTCTCCTTGAGCCTCACTACTGGCTAAGACACAGCAATATTGAAAATAGTCTAATTAATAATCTTACAATGATCTCTAAGTGTTCAAGTGTAAAGAATTGCACATCTCTCACTTTAATTCAAAAGCTAGTTATTAAGCTTAACGAAAAAAGCATGTTGAAAGCTGAGATAGGCGGAAAGCTAGGCCTCTTGCACCAAACAGTTAGCAAAGTTGTAAATGCAAAGGAAAGGTTCTGGAACTTTTTTTCTATATCAACAATAAGGCTGTTTTTCTTTCTTATCATTCCAGTGAACACAGGAATATCAGCTTGTGGAAGGTTGAACATTTTCTATGTCAACCTTATTGTTGATATTGAAACAGTTTTAGTGGTCTGGATAGAAGATCAAGCCAGCTCCAACATTCCCCTAAGACAAAACTGAATCCAGAGCAGTACTCTAACTCTCCAATTATGTAAAGCCTTAGAGAGATGAGGAAGCTGCAGGAGAAAAGATTGAAGCTAGTATTGATTCATGAGGTTTAAGGAGAGCAGCCAATCTTCATAACATAACATAACATGTACAAGGTGAAGCAGCAAGTGTTGTGGGTAGAAGCTGCAGCAGATTATCTAGAAGATCTAGCTGAGATCATTGATGAAGGAAGCTAAATTAAACAACATATTTTCTATGAGAATGAAACTGTTGTACATTGGAAGAAGATGCCACTAGGCCTTTCATTGCTAAAGGGGAGAAGTCAATGCCTGACTTCAAAACTTCAAAGAACAGGCTGACTCTCTTGGTAGGGTCTAATGCAGCTGGTGTTGTTAAGTTGTAGCCAAAGCTTATTTACCATTCTCACAAAGAAACGAACATGAGAGCCCTTAAGAATTATGCTAAATATACTCTTCCTATGCTCCATCAATGGAAAACAATGCCTGGATGAAAGCACATCTGTTTCCAGCAGGGTTTAGTGAAAAATTTAAGACTACCGTTGAGACTTACTGCAAGAAAAAACAAATTTCCTTCATTTTCCTATTTTAAGAAATTGCTACAGTCACCCCAATCTTCAGCAGCCACCACCCTGATCAGTCAGCAGACATCAACACCAAGGCAAGATCGTCTACCAGCAAAAATATTGCAGCTTCCTGAAGGCTCAGATGATTGTTAGCAGTTTTTAGCAATAAAGGATTTTCAAATTAAGTTTGCACATTGTTTTGTAAGACATAACCTACTGCATACTTAGTATCTTATACTAAGTAGTTATCATATACTTTGTGAATTTTTCTGTTTCTAACTTTTATGTGCAGTAAGAAACAAAAATAAATCCACAAAACTTGTTTTATTATGATATAAACTTTATTGCGGTGCTCTGGAACAGAATCCTCAATATCTCTAAGATATACTTGCACATGCTTTCACTGATCATGACTAAAGCAAGATAAATGTATTGGTTTCATGTCATCATTGCCATGTCTAAATCCGTATGTCAACCCCGATCCATCTGTTACTAATCAGAATTTAAGCAGAAGTTTTGTTAGCTATTAGAAATGCACAAACTTTAGTAGTTAAGATTAAGTAGTATCATTTCCTGCTTTAATTTTTCAAAATTTCATCTAAAGAATAAAAATTACTTCATAGAACCTTTTCATTCATTTCATTTATGTATTCTATTCACTTATTTATGCATTCGTAAATATATTCATCAAAAATTTATTAGTGTTTATTAGATGTCAAAGGCTATTTTTTTTTTTTTTTTTTGAGGCAGAGTCTTGCTCTGTCACCCAGGCTTGAGTGCAGTGGTGCAATCTCGGCTCACTGCAAGCTCTGCCTCCTGGGTTCACACCATTCTTCTGCCTCAGCCTCCTGAGTTGCTGGGACTACAGGTGCCCGCCACCACGCCTGGCTAATTTTTTGTATTTGTAGTAGAGACGGGGTTTCACCGTGTTAGCCAGGATGGTCTTGACCTCCTGACCTCGTGATCCACCCGCCTCGGCCTCCCAGAGTGCTGGGATTACAGGTGTGAGCCCCCACGCCCGTCCGTCAAAGGCTATTTTTGATGCTGAGGAAATAGGAGGAATAAGAGAAAATGTTCTTGTCCTCATGGAATTTTCATTCTAGTGGAAGACATGGATAATAAGCAGATTTTAAAAATTAATATAATTATAAGAGACCTAACACAATTTTATCCCAATAAGGGGGCTATACAGTGAAGGAAGAGTTTATTTACAGAATGTCTAAAGAAGCCCATTCTGGGGAATGAAAATTGATATAACTCTAAAAGTTTTGATGGGACAAGTCATAAAAACATCTGGAGCAAGAGGGTTTCCCAGGCAAAGGTCTGAAGAGGAAACTTGCTGGTGTGCCTGAGGAAGAGCTAGAAGGCTGTATAACTGAAGTGGGTCACAAATAAGAGTCAAGGCCAAGGTTAATGTCATTTGTTCTAAAAAATACTTTAACAATTTCATCCAATTGAATACAAAAAGGCAGTTTCCATTTAATTCTGTGGAGTTAAGTGTTTATTGTGGATATTTTTCTGACAGTCTTATATTTAAAATGAGCCCATTTTGAAAGCCATGAGATTTTGGCAATGTCTCTCATATCTCACACCCTGAAAAGTTATAAACATTCAATATTTCCTTTTTTTGATGATTGAATGAATATATTAGAAACAAATGTAAAAGGATATAGGTAAAAAAAAGTCAGCTTTACAATATTGCTTTACAGTAAACAGAGTACCTTCTTATATATTTTTACATAATTAAATGCTTATTAATTTATGAATACATTAATCAACCAAGCTTATTCACAAGTCGTTTTTAAACTTTCATTGTCTATTCTTCATCTGCATATGTATTGTAAAGTCAGCAAGGGCTAGAGGTAAAAGACTCTAGAGAAAAGAAAACTACAATTTATACATGAACAGATACACTTCCTGAAGACCTACTTACTCATATTCTTCAGGAAACCATACAGAGGTATCAGCTTAATGCTAATAAAATAGACTACATTCCCCTTATCATCCTGCTCTCTCATCCCCAATTAATCAGGATATTATTTTAGGATTATATAAAAGGACTAAAATCATGGTATGGCATACATTTATTTTGGTAAATATAATCACCACAAAACAGAATCATGGTTATATTTTCCAGGAATTATTTGATATCCATTTTCCATCACCTTTAGTATAACAACCTCAGGCTACAGAAATGCCAACAATTATTGTCTTCCACTTACACATTAAAAAAAATGACCACAAATAACTGAATGACTTTCCCAAGACCCCTGTGATTAGTAAATGGTATATGTGGAAGATGAAGCCTCATCTTAATATTTGCTATTATTCTAATTACTCTACTGTGGACAATGTTGCTCATAGCCTATACTAAAATGCTTTTAGATAAAATGCTTATGGACTGTTGATGGGAAGCTAACTTAGTTAAGCCACCGTGGGAAGCAGTTTGAAGATTTCTCAAAAGAACTTAAAACAGCCCTACCATTCAACTTAGCAATGCCATTACTGGGTTTATATCCCAAAGAAAATAAGTCACTCTGCCCAAAAGGGACATGCACTTGTATGTTCATCATGGCACTATTCACACTAGCAAAGACATGGAATCAATCTAGGTGCTGATTAATGATGGATTAGATAAATAAAATGGCACATATACATTTTGGAATACTACATAGCCATAAAAAATGAAATCATCTTCTTTGAAGCAATATGGATTCAATTAGAGGCCATTATCCTAAACAAATTAATGCAGGATCAGAAAACCAAATACCACATGTTCTCACTTTATAGGATCTAAACATTGGGTATTTGTGAACATAAAAATGGCAACAATAGACACTGGGGACTACTAGAGGGAGGAGAGAGTTGTGGGGGAAGGACTGAAAAACTACGTATTGAGTTCTGTGCTCACTAACTGGGTGATGGGATCCTTTGTACCCCAAACCTCAGCATTACACAATATACCCATGTAATAAATGTGCAGTTTTATCCCCTGAATCTAAAATAAAAGTGGAAATTGTTTTAAAAATAAACAAATAAAATGCTTTTACTTGGGAATAAAAATAGTCATGACAAAGTCATCAATTTTTAATGATGTATATACTTTTAAGAATATATTAATTGGTAATAAGCTTTCCTAATGAACAATACAGTAACTATAAAAATAAAGTTGCCAGATTAGACCAACAGGTATTTGTGAGGAAATGTCACAAAGATAACAGTGAAGCGGCTTCCAAGGTTTACAAAACATGAGAAGTTGAGTGTCTTCATAAAGGAAATTGGTAAAATAAATTAGATTAGATACACACAAAAATAACTTACAGGTTCCAAATGGTTCCAAGCATTGAAATATGTTTGTAATAACATTTTCATTTCAAGAAAATTGTCATATAGCCAGGGTCTAAATTTAAAACTTATTCATCTTCACCCTATACTTCAGATATGTCCAGATAGCTCATATCACAAGCCCATCATTACTCTGTTCTACATGTACCTGTAGAACAGGGTAACTGCAGGGTTAAGAGAGAGGGCAGAGAGATTTAAGGTGCACACTTAGGTTTAAGCTGCCCCACAGATTAATTGCACTGAATGGTGTTCTCAAAATGGTGCTACCAAGCCCATAGAGTTGTGGTTCAGTCATCAGTAGAAACGTTTCAACAAAAAAAGCAGGTAAACACACACACACACAATAGCTAAATATGTTGAATTAAATACTATGAAACTACAAACAAAATACATTAATGATATTGATGTCAGCAGCTTTTAATATCCTTTGTATTCACAAATAGCATTCCTGAAGTAAATATTGGCAGGAGTAGGATCAATGATATGAGTAGCTTAGAGAACAAAGGCATAGGGATTTCATGGTTTCAATATAAACATGATATCCTGGACATCACCTAACCTGACATATAAGAGAACATAAAAAACTAATATATTGGCCAGTAAGGCTGTTATTTTTATTATCAGAAACAATACAAGCACAAATACATCAACAAGCATACACAGTACTGTGAGAAAGGAGGGAAATAATACATACCACATTAGGTCCAAGAGGATCTATCTGAAGAACACAGAGGAAATACCCTGAAAGTATGCTAAAAATGAACATGACGAGATTTGAGGAGGATTTAAGTATAGTGTTGTAGAAATAGTGTTTTACTGCTATGTTAAACGTTTTTCTTTTTTCTAATTGTGATACTGGCAGAACATTGCAATGTGTTTTATGCTTTAAAAAGGTAGAAAATATTGACATTCAATATTCTAACTGACAGTACTGGCAAAGTTCTGACTCAAGGACTCAGATTAGTTTTAGAGGCATATCTCTGTGGAATAATCATGCATTGGGCCATTTCAACTAATTGTACTAAGGATTAAATGTATATTTTTTTTCCAATGCCACACTGCATTTTCCCTAAAATACTCTAGTATAATTGCCGGTATCTTTGCTACTTTGAAATATCTTTGAAAGTAAGAAAACTTTGTCTTTTAAAAATATCATCTACCAAAAATTAGCTGGGTGTGGTGGCACATGCCTGTAGTCCCAGCTACTCAGGGGGTTGAGGCAGAAGAGTCACTTGAACCCAGAGGCGGAGGTTGCTGTGAGCTGAGATCACGCCACTGCACTACAGCCTGGGTGACAGAGCAAGACTCTCTCTCTCTCTTTATATATATATATATATATATATAGTATACCTTGTACATGACAGGTAGTAGGTATCTTAGAAGTATTCCTTGATATTTTTTTTTCAGTGAATATAGTGCTTGTCAATTACACAAATCCCTTGAATATTATATTCCCGTTTAAATTGGTCTGCTTGATTATCTATAATTCAATCAGTTTAGTTCCAAGTCTATTCCCCAGAGTCTGATAAATCCAAAACTCTAAGAACAATTTTGTGGACCCACGAGTTTGACTATAGTCTCTGAATAAGCCTCAATTAAACAATTCTATTCTGGGATGCCCTCTGGCATGAATCTTGACTTCCCATAGCAATGTATTTTATTTTCTAAAATTCTTCTTTCAAACAGTTTCAAGTTTTAAAAATTCAATTTAAGAAAAGATAATTATGTGTTTAACAAGT